>NC_000019.10:44513601-44816631 GCF_000001405.40 Homo sapiens | reverse complement strand
TAAATGTCTCTTCTCAGAGGCTTCCCTGACCTCCCCTATTGTGGACACCCAGATCTTTCCTACAGCACGGAAGGACTTATTCCACCAGCTGCTAAGAAGGATGACAGCTGTCAGCCTGCAGCTGTCACCCCTCTCTGGGAGCTGCCTCAGCTGCTGAGAGCCCCTTGCCTAAGGCCAGCACACCTCTGAGGACTGGTTGATGTAGAGGTTATTAAGGCCCAGCCCCCTCACCCCAACTGGGGACAACTGTGAAGGGCCATCCTGGATTCCAAGTACCCCGTGGGGCTGACTGAGGCCCTCTTTCTTTCTTTTATTTGTTTCTGAGATGGAGTCTCACTCTGTTGCCCAGGCTGGAGTGCAATGGCACGATCTCAGTTCACTGCAATCTCCGCTTCCTGGGTTCAAGCGATTCTCCTGCCTCAGGCTCCTGAGTGGCTGGGATTACAGGTGCATGCCACCACACCCGGCTAACTTTTAGTACAGAGGGGGTTTCACTATGTTGGCCAGGCTGGTCTCTAACTCCTGACCTCAGGTGATCCACCCACCTCGGCCTCCCAAAGTGTTGGGATTACAGGCATGAGCCACGGGGCCCGGCCTACTTTTTTATTTTTATTTTTCCTGAGACGGGGTCTTTCTCTGTCGCTCAGGCTGGAGTGCAGTGGCACAATCTTGGCTCACTGCAGTTTCAACCTTCCAGACTCAAGGGATCCTCCCACCTGGGCCTCCGAGTAGCTGGGACTACAGGTGTGTGCCACTATGCCTGGCTAATTTTTAATTTGTGTGTGTGTGTGTGCAAATGGGGTCTCCCTCTGTTGCCCAGGCTGGCCTCAAACTCCTAGGCTCATACAATCCTCCTGCCTCAGCCTCTCAAAGTGCTGGGATTATAGGCATGAACCACTGCACCCAGCCTGAGACCTTCCTTAGACTTCAGTCCAACTTCTCACCTTGCCAAATCTTGCTTCCTTTACCTCCCTAGACCCAAGAGGTGCGGAACCCAGGGTACTTCCCATAAACTTCTTGCCTGAAAACATCCAAGTCAGAATCTGCTTCTCAGGAAAGCAGACTGCAACACCTGCCACCTAAAATAATCCCCTCTCCTGCTCTCTCTCACTGGTGATATCACCTGTAGATACACTACTGTTACGAAAGGGCTTAGTTAGCATTTACCATCTGTCTCCCCTACTGAAATAACAGGGGTGGTCTGTCTTGTTCACAGATGTGTCCCCAGCATCTGGCGCAGGGTCTACCCCAGGAAGGGATATGTAAGAAGTGCCAAGGGAGAATACAGCCTTTCCCCAGGGCCTGGATGCGAATGAACTGAAAATCATTCTTAGAAGCCTGGGATTCAAGGGATTGGTGAGAAATAGACGGTAGGAAGGATGGGCAGTGAAGGTAGGAACCAGAGGAGCCTGGGGGGTGATGAGGAGATAGCCTTGACTGGGGAGAAGGATCAGCTAGCTAATGGTGGAACTGGCCAGGTGGACCTTGAAGGCCATGGTGAGACACCTGGGCTTCTCCCAAGGGTACTGGGGAGCCATGGCAGATTCTGAGCAGAGGAGGGTCAGGTCTGTGCTATGGAAAGAGCTCTCGACAAGATGCGGTGGCTCACTCCTGTAATCCCAGCACTTTGGGAGAGCAAGGCAGGAGGATCGCATGAGGAGTTCGAGACCAGCCTGGGCAACGTAGCCAGGTCCTGTCTCTGGGAAAAAAAAAAAAAAAAAAACAACCAAAAAAACCCCCAAGAAATGCAGAGAAAGGGTTGAAGGCAGAGTGTTTGGGATGACAGAGCAACTTCAGGGCTGTAGGGAGGAGGGCGCAGAGGCACTGATGCCAGGGCCCCTCCTGCCCGCCCGTTCACCCAGGGCTCTCACAGGCCACGCGCAGCTCCAGCGTCTTGGAGAGCTGCACGTCATCTGCCGCGTCGTAATCCTCCACTCTGCAGCCATAGGTCCCGCTCTGGCCCCGGGTCACTCCCTCCAGGGTCAAGTTCCCCTCGAGATTCACATTCAGCACTTCCTCCTGCTCATCCTGGGAGACGGGGGACGAGGAACCAGGCTCAGAAGCCACCCCGGTTCAGCGGGCTCATGCTAGGTCAGAAGCCACCAGGTTAGTGTCATGCTAAGCCAGAATCAGGGGTCAGGGGCCATCAAGTCAGGTGGCATGCTAAGTCCTGACTCTCTCAAATCAGGGGTCAGAGGTCCTTTTAGTTCGTGGGCCACCAGATCAGGTGGCTGCCTAAGCCATGGGGACTCCCAGGTCCCACATTAGAAGTTATGCAGGTTAGCAGGTCACAGAGGTCAGGGGCTGGGGGGTGGATCCCAGAGGGACCCTTGGGTGGGTCACCTGAAGGCGGAAAAGCGTATACTCCGGGCTGGGGCTGCCGTCCCCCCGGCAGAGCAGCTGGACAGTGTCACCCTCGCGTACCCAGCCTGCTGGGGTGGACGGGCTGCCCACCCAGAACTGCACGTGCTCCGTGGGATCTAAGGGAAGGGCAGGGAGATGGGAATTGTGATCAGGGGAAGGGTCAAGGCTAGAGGACAGGCGAGAGGTCAGCCCTGCATCCCAGGTGAGGGCTATGGCGGGTCAAAGGTTACGGGTCATAGGTTTCAAGCCTCAGGTTCACAATTATTCTGAGTGCCAGAGTTCAGAGGTTGAAATAAACTAAGAGTATAGGTCAAGAGTCAGAGGTCCGTATGGGCGATGGGTCAGTGTGAGACTTGGAGCCAGATGTCATGGGGGGACCCAATTCAGTGTGAGAAGGTGGAAAGCACCATTTAGTCATAAACTTCATGGGGTCCAGGGTGCTAAGTGGAGGTCGGAGGTCAGAGGTCAGGATGGGGCTTGTGCGACCAATTGAGGTCAGAGGTCAGTGGCCAGCACTAGCACATTTTTTTTTAGCATGAAGTAGGGAGGCAGAGGGTCAGAGGGGAGTGTGAAGCCCCCGGGTGGAGGGTCAGGCCTCATGAGGTGTGGAGCCTGAGGTCAGAGGTCAAAGGCCAGCACAGACTCACAGTGCAGGGTGAGGTGGAAGGTGGGGCTGTCCAGGCGGCCGTGGCGGCCCTCGGGCAGGCTGTAGTGGGCGGCGCAGTGGAAGCTGGCGTCTCGGTCATCCTTGCGGAGCCGCAGGTAGAGGGTGCTGGTGAGGGAGAGCAGGCCCGAGGCCTCCCGGACCGTGCGGCTGGTCATGTAGCCCTCTGGGAGAGATCGGGGGAGGTGGCAGTCAGCCAGGCCATAGCCCCGCCACCCACCCCAGCCCACGTCCCGCCGCGCTCCTGCGCTGCTCACCTGGGTTCATCTCTACGGGCACCTCCAGGCGCTGCCCGTTGCGATACCACGTGATCTTGGGGGCCGGGTTCCCGTTCCGGCTGTTGCAGGTGGCGATCTGAGGCAGACACGGGCATGGCCCTGGGCTTGGAGCTGGGACTCTGAAGTCGGGGCTCCTCTCTCAGGAGTTCTCCCCACTCAGACTCATGAGCCGGGCTCCTAACTCCCGACTCTCCCAGGACCCAGGAGTCCAAATTCCTAGTCCCCGACTCAGACTAAAGAGTCCAGGCCTCCAGCACCATCCTCCAGGGACCAAGGATTCTGGGTCCCCCAGCTCTCTCCTTCCTAGGACACAGGAGTCTTCCCCCTCTGCCCTTCCTTTCTTTTTTCTTTTCTTCTTCTTTTTTTTTTTTTTTTTGAGACGGAGTATTGCTCTGTGGCCCAGGCTGGAGTGCAGTGGTGTGATCTTAGCTCACTGTAGCCTCTGCCTTCTGGGTTCGAGTGATTCTCCTGTCTCAGCCTCCCGAGCAGCTGGGATTACAGTTGCACACCAACACACCCAGCTAATTTTTGTATCTTTAGTAGAGACGGGGTTTCATTATGTTGGCCAGGCTGGTCTGGAACTCCTGACCTCAGGTGATCCGCCTGCCTCTGCCTCCCAAAATGCTGGGATTACAGGCATGAGCCACCTCGCCTGGCCTTACCCCTCCTCCTTTATTACCCAGGGGTCCCCAGCCCCTCCTCCCTCAGACCCAGGAGTCCAGGGCCCTGTCCCCTCCTCCTCCAGGACCCTGGGGCCAAGGTCCACCCGAGAGGTACCTCCTGGGCAGAGTCCTCCATCACAGACAGTGTCCCTTTGTTGGGGGAGACCTCAGTGGCCTCTGGCTTTGCTGTGAAAAAGACGTTCACGTCAGGAGCCCCTGCCCTGCGCCCCTCCCTGCCTGCCTCCCTTCGGGGGATGCCCGAGGACACTTACCAAACACGTTGAGCCGCGCAGTGGCCTCAGCAGTGCCTGCCGCCCCTGCCCTCACCACGCACACGTAGTCTCGCTCGTCGCCCACCTGGGCCTCAGCCAGCACCAGGCGCCCCTGGGAGTCCAGCTGGTATGGGGGACTGCGGCCCCGGGTGTCGTGCATTGTGACCTGGAGCTCAGAGCCCTGCATCTCAGCCGAGGCTAGGCGGGGGCGAGCTCCCGAGCGGTCGGTCTGTGGGCGCGGGGCAGGCTCTCAGCTCCGGGTGTCCCAGCGCTCCTCAGTCTCTCTCTCTCTGGGTCCTTTCTCTCTGCAGCTCCTGGCTCTGCCTCTTTTCCTCTTGTTATGGGTCTCCCTGGTCCCTCTGTCCCTCCCCACCTTCTCCTGCCCCCATTCCCTATCAGTTCTTGATTTTTCCTGTCTCCTTTTCTCCATCTCATTCCGGTCCCATCCCTTCTCCTCTTGGTCTCTCCCTCTCCCGATTGTCTCTCATTTTCTTTCCTCTTTTTTTTTGAGATAGAGTCTTGCTCTGTCGCCTGGCTGGAGAGCATTGGCTCGATCTCGGCTCACTGCAACCTCTACCTCCCAGGTTCAAGCGATTCTCCTGCCTCAGCCTCCTGAGTAGCTGGGATTACAGGCACATGCCATCACGCCCAGCTAATTTTTGTATTTTTAGTAGAGACGGGGTTTCACCATGTTGGTCAGGACAGTCTTGATCTCTTGACCTCGTGATCCACCCGCCTCGGCCTCCCAAAGTGCTGGGATTACAGGCGTGAGCCACCGTGCCTGGCTTCTGCTTTCTTGATGTCTGTCTCTGTTCTCTCTCTCAAGAGCCCGCAGTCCAGAGCAGGTCAATGTCATTCTAGACTTGGCTGTGCCTAGACACGGGGCACCTTGCAGATCCCTTCCCCTCAGTGGGACTCAGTGACCCCATCTGTAACAAGGAGTGTGGCTTGGTGGATCTCTACAGGCCTTAGGCACTGATGAGAGAATGAACCTTTGCTGCCCTGCTGTGCCCTGACTCCAGGCCCCCCAGCCCCAAGCACTCACAAGGAACCATTCCAGCATATAATGGTCGTGGGTTCCCGTAGGGGTGCAGTCCAGAATGACAGACTTTCCTCGCATCACCTCCACCAGCGGGGGTACAGACAAGCGCACCTCCGCCTGGGCATCTGCAAGAGAGCAACTGAGCTATCATCCACCACACCAACAGGAAGAGCCCTCCAGACAGGGTCCCCTCTCCCCCAGGACACAAGCGTCCAGGTCCCAGCCCCTCCTCCCTCAGACCCAGGAGTCCAGGTGCCAGCCCCTCCTCCCTCAGACCCAGGAATCTGGGCCCCTGTCCCCTCCTCCCTCAGACTCAGGAGTCTAGGCCCCAGCCCCTCCTCCCTCAGACCCAGGAGTCTAGGCCCCAGCCCCTCCTCCCTCAGACCCAGGAGTCCAGGCCCCAGCCCCTCCTCCCTCAGACCCAGGAGTCTAGGCCCCAGCCCCTCCTCCCTGAGATCCTTTCGCCCTCCATCCCTTCTCCCTGCATCTCTGGGTCTCAAATCCATCTCTCCCTGCACTTGCAGAGCTCAGGGCTCCTCCTCTGGGCTGCACAGGGCCCTGTGGCCTCCGCTGAACACTCCTGGGGTAATACTGCACCAGCCTTTGCTTATCCCAACAGAGCACACGCCACCCCCCAGGGCAGGGCCAGGCCTGGCTCAGCCATTTGCCTCCAGCACCCTGGGCAGGGCCACCTCTGTGATGATGGATAAATGTTTCTCTCCATCCTGGTCTCCACCTTTGCGTGTGTCTCTCCTCTTGGGTCTCCATCTCTGTCCCTGTCTCTGCCTCTCTCTGCACCTGCACCACTCAGTCCCTGGGTCTCTTCCGCTCTCCCATGAGTGAGGGGCTGGGGTGTGGGCTGCGGCTGGGCCCGGAGCTTAGGCGGGATGGATGTGTGGGGGCGGTGAGGGGGGACAGGGCTGGGCAGGTTTCAGGAATGTGGGAGGGACAGGCTGGCTGAGACCTGCCCGGCCTGGAGCCAGAGCCCCCAGCCGCCTCTTGGCCCCCCTCAGTTTGATACAACAGCAAACGGGATAAGTCGAGTCATCTTGCAAAAGGATAAGGTTGAGGCCCAGGATCTTGGGAAGCTGGGCACCTGGACTCCTGGGATCAGAGGGAAGAGGAGGCTGGGGCCTGGTGGAGTAGTTATTGTAGAAAAACCACCACCCTCCCTCACCCTCTGGGCTGGCATCCTGGCATCAGCTCTCAGTGCTTCTTAGAAACTCCCTTCCCTTCTCTGCTCAATCTGGCCCAGCCCTACCCCTGGGGACCCACTGTTGACCATGAGTGTGCCAGGGGCCTGGATTCCCAAGCGCTCACCTCTGGCCCCAGCCTGTCCCCAGGGAGGGGTGACGGGGTCCAGGCTGGTGCCTAAGGCTGGGTCTGATCTGCAGACAAGTGGAGGCAGAGAGTTCCTCTCTCTTCCCCAATCTCTCTCATCTCTCTGTCCCTCTGTCCCCAGCACCCCCACCCCCACCCCCCAGCCCCCGGCCTCCTCTCCTTCTATCCTCATGCAGGTGTGTAAATGTAGCTGAGGCCCCAGGAAGGGGGCCTGTCACTTGGAAACACTTTGTTCCACTGTCACTGCCCGGGGCTGGTGCTCCAGCCCTTTCCTGAGGGAGGCGGGTTCTTTATACTGGACTCTGGAAACTCCTAAATACATGTGGATCGCTGGTGTGGGGACACATGGTCCTCGCTTCTCTAAGGGGTCCCTGGACCTCTCAAAACTTGAGGACCTTTGAGGGAGAGAGCCCTGGGGTTTTGATCCTCTGTGCCCTGGGGGAAGCTATTCTAGCCACTGGAGGCCTGGACTCCTGGGTCTGAGGAAAGAGGGGCTGGGGGCCCAGATTCCAGGGTCTGAGGGAGGAGGCAGGTGGGACCCAGATTCCAGGGTGCTGAGTGGGAAGGGGGCTGACTTCTCTGGTTGTCTCTGATCCACCGCCTGGGTATCCCCAGCTCTCCTGCCTGGCTGTCCCCAGATCTCTCTCACTGGAAGGCGTACCTTCCAACACTCCCATATCCCTCCTCCTTGGGGTCCCCACATTTTGCTTCCTGGGGTCAGGGTAAAGCCCTTTCTCCTCGCTTTCCCGGGGTCCCCAGGGGCCTCTCCCCAGTCCCACCTTGCCCTCAGCCCGAGCCATACCTGGGTGCGCCGCCAGCAGGACTGCGAGCAACAGCAGCCGCGGGGCCCCGCGCGCCTGGGCCGGTGCGTCCGGGGGCTCCATGTTCACGGCGGCGGCGGAGACTGAGCCCGGGCTGCAGCTCGGCCGCTGCGGGGCTGGGAGCCAGAGGCCCCGCCCCCGGCAGCCCCGCCCCGCCCCGCCCTCCAGGCCCCCCTCGTCCCCCGATGCCCGGGCGCGGGGCCAGGACCTCCCACTGCCCGGAGCGGACCTCCCAGTGCACGGGGCCAGGCTCGGGGCTCGTCCGCCCCCAAGCCTAGAGCTGTCCGGGCTTACTGACCAGCGCCTGCAGCGGGGGGCCTGATCGACCAGCGTAGCCAGTGACCCGAGCTGGGATCTCACCAGGCAATCGCGGACCTTCTCCTCGTTATTCTGACCAGGGGCCTTGGGGACTCGTCCCCACTGTGACCAGCAGCCTGGGCTGGCATCGTCGATTTTAACCAGAGGACCCCACTGCAACCTGTGGCCTGCGATGGCCTCTCCCAGTGTAACTAATGGCCCCAAGCGTGCCGTCCGAGTGGCCTGCACTGGCCTCTCCCAGTCCAACCAGTGACCCCCGCAGCCTGACCAGTGGCCCCCAGCAGCTGCTCCCAGTATGCCCGGAGATGTTTTCCCCTGTGGTCAGTGCTCTGGGCTGCTTTCCTCGTCTGACCAGTAGCCTGGAATCAACCGGTTTAATCTCTTATTTTCAATGGTCTTCAAATCCAGGTCCTCCTAGGCCGCTTCGATGATGGGGCTGGGGGTGGGGTACGGGGTGCCCTCTCTGCTTGCTCACCCATGGAAGGCCCTCCCACTCTTCCCCCTATCCAGGGAATCCCAGGAATGCCACCCTCCCTTCCTCCTTCCCGCTCTCTCCTTCATTCCCTCCCAACCTTGTGGGGAAGGGAGGAGTCAGACTGGCCAGAGCAGGTGAGGAGGGCAGGGGAAGAGGCCAGGGCACCTGCGGGAAGGGGGAGGAGTCCAGCCACTGCTAGGAAGCGTGGGTCACAGGTCCGACTGCCCAAGGCCCCTACAGGCCAGGTCAGACTGGGACAAAATCCCCCACTAGATGTCACTAGTTGCCCAGGACAGTGGTCAGAACGTGGGAGGGTGGGGGGTCGCTGGCCACACTGGGAGAGGTTACCCAAGCTTCTGATCAGCCTGGGGGTTGAGGTAGCCCTGGAGCTGGGCTTTGCCTGCTCAGACATACAGAGAAGGCTTGGATTACAGGTCAGCCTGGGAGTTATTAGACTGGTCAAGGTTACTTTATCCATTGGTCATACAGGAGACCAACGTTTTTTTTGTTTGTTTGTTTTGTTTTTGACAGGGTCTCGCTCTGTTGCCCAGCCGGGAATGCAGTGGGCGCAATCATAGCTCATTCAAACCTCAACCGCCTGGGCTCAAGCAATCCTTCCACTTCAGCCTCCCAAGTAGCTGGGACTATAGGCTTGTGTTACCATGTCCAGCTAATTTTTGTATTTTTTTGGTAATAGAAACAGGGTATTACTATGTTGCCCAGGCTGGTCTCCAACTCTTGGGCTCAAGTGATCCTCCTGCCTTCCAAAGTGCTGGGATTACAGGCATGAGCCACTGCATCCATCCTACAGAGCAACTGTTACATTGGGAAAGACCTTTTAGGATTAACTGTACCATCCCCTCCTCCAGGAAGTCCCCTCTGCCTTCCCTGGCTGGGTCAGGTTCCCCCTCTGGGCTCCCCCACCTGAGCCCGGCACACTCTGGGGGTCCCTGGCTGGGGATAGGTCTGTCTCCCTCAGTGGACTGTGAGCCTGTGAGGGCAGGGCCAGGGATGTCTTGATCACTGTGGTGAGCTAAGGGCTCCTCCCCTGGGCACCCCGCCCAGCACAAGACCAGACACAGTGCAGGTGCTCAGGGAAGGTTTGTTTGCAAGGCACACAAACTCACGTGCAGATTCCATCCAGACTGGAGCATCCCAGGATATACAATACAAACTCACTCATGGGGAATGCGGCGGCACTCCAAGACAGTCCCAGGTGCTGTCAAGCTCACACACTGTGAGCACCGACACCCATACCCTAGCTCTTCTGTCCCCAGCCTGTGCACCTTCTGTTTGGGCTGGACCCTGGTACATGCCCTCTCAGCAGCCATCGCCCACTTCCACCTCCCTCAAGAACCCAGCCAGCTGAGGCTGGGCGCTGTGGCTCATGCCTGTAATCCCAGCACTTTAGGAGGCCGAGGTGGGTGGATCACCTGAGGTCAGGAGTTCGAGACCAGCCTGACCAACATGGTGAAACCGCATCTCTACTAAAAATACAAAATTAGCTGGGCGTGGTGGCACATGCCTGTAATCTCAGCTACTCAGGAGGCTAAGGCAGGAGAATCGCTTGAATCTGGGAGGTGGAGGTTGCACTGAGCTGAGATCGTGCCACTGCACGATGTTGCCTGGGCAACAAGAGTGAAATTCTGTCTCAAAAAAAAAAAAAAAAAAAAGAAGAACCTAGCCATCTGAGGTTCTGGGTGAGGGAGGAGAACTCTATGGCATGTGTATGAAGGAGAAAAGTCAGAAACACCAAAACAGCAGCCGTGGACCCTTGCAGACTTGCAGAAACTAGTCTTGTAACATCATCTGCCTTTGTCCCCTGTAATTTATTCTCACAAAACAGCCTGAAGGATTCCTTTTACATGTGAATCAACTCATGTCACTCTTCTGCCCCAGGGTCCTCCCATGACTTCTGTCTCACTTAGGGTAAAAGCTGAGGTCCAGGTCAGCCGCAGGGACTCACGTCTGTAATCCCAGCAATTTAGGAGCCTGAGGCGGGAGGACTGCTTGAGCCCGGGAGTTTGAGACCAGCCTGGGCAACATAGCGAAACCCCGTCTCTACAAAAAAATATAAAAATGGCCAGTCATGGTGGCCCATGCCTGCAATCCCAGCACTTTGGGAGGCCGAGGTGGGTGGATCACCCGAGGTCAGGAGTTTGAGACCAGCCTGGCCAAAATGGTGAAACCCCCTCTCTACTTAAAATAAAAAAATTAGCCAGGGGTTGTGGCAGGTGCCTGTAATCCCAGCTACTCGGGAGGCTGAGGCAGGAGAATTGCTTGAACCTAGGAGGTGGAGGTTGCAGTGAGCTGAGATCATGCCATTGCACCCCAGCCTGGGTGACAGAGCGAGACTCAGTATCAAAAAAAAAAAAAAAAAAAAAAAAAGTTCTAATTCCATCCATGCGGCCGCAGGTGTATATCCTCACATATTTTAACTAACAAGGCTTATCTTTTCTGAAACTCTGGGCTCAAGCGATCCTCCTACCTCAGCCTCCCAAAGTGCTGGGATTATAGGTGTGGGCCACCACGGTTGGCCAGACTTACCTTTTCATTGTTTTTGAGACAGAGTTTCACTCTTGTTGCCCAGGCTGGAATGCAATGGCGTGATCTTGGCTCACTGCAACCTCCGCCTCCCAGGTTCAAGCAATTCTCCTGCCTCAGCCTCCCAAGTAGCTGGGATTACAGGCATGCGCCACCATGCCCGGCTAATTTTGTGTTTTTAGTAGAGACAGGGTTTCACCATGTTGGCCAGGCTGGTTTCGAACCCCTAACCTCAGGTGATCCACCAGCCTCAGCCTCCCAAAATGTTGGGATTACAGGCGGAAGCCACAGTGCCTGGCTGACTTATCTTTTCTTGACCTTTTTTCCCATTATTTTTCACACAGTGTGTGACGATTAACTTTACAACTAGCTCACAGCTTGTGGAATATGGGGAGAATGACATATTTGGAGGGGAATGGTTCTTCCCTGATTCCAGTCTCAGATCTGGAAAATGGAACTATTGAAATTTTTTGTATTGGGTGGCAGTGTGAATGCATTTTTTGATTGTACAATGAGAGACGGTTGTGCGGGGAAAGTTTCGATAAGAACTTCTGCAAAGGGCCTATTGATATTGAACATTCAAAGCCAGCTGTGGTGGCTCATACCTACAATCCCAGCACTTTGGGAGGCTGAGGCAGGTGGATCGCTTGAGCCCAGGAATTTGGGACCAGCCTGGGCAACATGGCAAAACCCTGTATCTACAAAAAATACATATTAACCGGGGGTGGTGGTGGTTTGTGCTCGTAGTCCCAGCTACTCAGGAGGCTGAGGTGGGAGGATCGCTTGAACTGGGGAGATCAAGGCTGCAATGAGCCAAGATCGTGCTACTACACTCCAGCCTGGGTGAAAGAGTGAGACCTTGTCTAAAAAACAAAACACAACAAAAAAAACCAAAGGAGCGGGCTATAGTACATATTTTGCGGGAAGGATTACCTAGCATCTGCAGCTCCTTCCCACATTTAAGGAAATTCCTACTGTCTGAAAGCCTCTGTTGCCCACTCTTGAAGCCAACAAGAATGGATGTTTGCTTTCCTGCATCTGTTGGAGCTAAGGTGACTTAAGCTTGGCAAATCCTTCCACACTTTTGAATATCAGGAATTGGCCACCTCTTCCAGCCATGCATGGCAGCTGGGACAGATTCTGTTTTCCAAAGACGGCTACAACAATCTCTTTCTTTTTTCTTTTTGAGACAGGGTCTTGCTCTGTCACCCAGGTTGGAGTGCAATGGCATGATCATGGCTCACTGCAGCCTCGTCCTCCAGGGCTCAAGTGATCCTCTCACCTCAGCCTCCTGGGTAGCTGTGAGTACAGGTGTGCACCACCACTCCTAGTTAATTTTTTTTTTTTTGTAGGAATGGGGTTTTGCCATGTTGTGACAGTGTCTTTCATCCCATGTGTGTTTCCACAATGAGAGCTTGATACTCTTTCCATCAAGAGCTGGGGTCTATGGCACCCTCCTCTCAAATCTGTGCAGTTTGGTGACTTGCATACAACCAACAGAATTCAGCTGAAGTGAAGTTGCGGAACTCCCAAAATGAGCTAGAAAAGGCCATGCAGCTTCTGCCTGGGTCTTCAGCGGCCATATAAAGTTTGACTACCTTGAGGCAGCCATGCTGTGGGGAAGCCCAAGCTGGCCAGTGCAGAGACTATATGGTGGGGGAGGCCCTGAGACCACAGAGAGATGCCCACTTGTCCAGCACCCCCAGCCGCCCTGTGGCAAGCATCACTGATTGCACTGTTTGTTTGCATCCTGAGCCAAAACAAACCAGCCACGCCTTTCTTCAAATCCCAGCCCACAGCAACCATGAGACTTAATGCAATGATTGCTGTCATTTGCGGCTAAGTTGTGAAGTGATTTATTACCAGCAACAGCTAATGAGAAGAGCAGCCATATCCTATTTCTGGGGCAGCAGAGGCAGCGAGACAACTACAGTGTCTAGTGGCCATCGCCAGCATGGCCTCATCAGACCGGTTCCGTGGTGTCACTGTGGCTGGGTTACCATTGCTGGCCAGTTGCCAGGATTCTTCCTGCTCACTTTCCAATCCTGATTCCCCAGTTCACTCCTGGGATTCTGTGAGTGACCCCAAATCCTCTCAATAAATTCCCTTTCTGCCCCTGAGGTAGCATCTGTTGCTTGGAACTAAATCTGTGAAAATTCTCTTTCTTTCTTTTCTTTCTTTCTTTCTTCCTTCCTTTCTTTTCTTTCTCTCCTTCCTTCCTTCCCTCCTTCCTTTTCCTCTCTCTCCCTCCCTTCCTTCCTTTTTTTTTTTTTTTTTTCAGAGTTTCGCTCTTGTTGCCCAGGCTGGAGTGCAATGGCACAATCTCGGCTCACTGCAACCTCCATCTCCTGGGTTGAAGTGATTCTCTTGCCTCAGTCTCCCGAGTAGCTGGGATTACAGGTGCCCGCCACCATGCCTGGCTAATTTTTGTATTTTTAGTACAGACGGGGTTTCACCATGTTGGGGTGAAAGTATAGACGGGGTTTCACTCCTGACCTCAGATGATCCACCTGCCTCGGCCTCCCAAAGTGCTGGGATTACAGCTGTGAGCCACTGCGCCCGGCCCTGATACATTCTTTCAAGCCTCCTGTCCATTGGAATACTTTTTCATCATTTAAAAAATTTTCTTTTCTTTTTTGAGACAGGGTCTTGCCATGTTGCCCAGGCTGGAGTGCAGTGGTGCAATCTCGGCTCACTGAAGCCTTGACCTCCCAGGCTCAAGCCATCCTCCCACCTCAGCCTCCTGAGTAGCTAGGACTTACAGGCATGTGCCACCATGCCTGGCTAATTTTTCCAAAATTTTTTGTGGAGATGGAGTTTCATCACGTTGCTCAGGCTGTTCTCAAACTTCTGAGCTCAAGCATCCCGCCTGCCTCAGTCTCCCAAAGTGCTGGGATTACAGGCATGAGCCACCACGTCTGGCCTCATCATCTTTTAAGTATCAGCTCAGACATCGCCTCCTCCTGGAAGCACTCCCTGACCTCCCAGGCTGAGTCAGGTGCCCACTCTGGGTTCCTGTAGCCCCCTGGGATTCCCTACCCCAGCCATGCCCACTCTGGGTCATCACTGTCTAGGGACAGGTCTCTTTCCTCTAGTGGAAGGTGAGCCCTAGTGGGGCAGTGATCACTGCTTCCTGGTCAGCATTGCTCAGCCCAGCGCTGGGCACAGGGCAAGGTCTCCGGGAATGGGGCAATTTAAACAAGGTGGAGGGAGGCTTGGGCCACTCCAAGATGAATCATGAGGTGGTATCTCTTCTTCCTCAGCAAGATTTAGACTGGAAGTTAGCAGTTACTCTGGGAGAAAGATGTCAGAGAGGAATGAAGGACAGAGAGAGGGATGAGCACAGACCGTGGCAAGGCAAGGTGGATAACCATCAGGGAAATGTGTGGTCCTTTTGACCAGGGACTTAACCTGGATATCTGGGTCTAGGTCCAGGGATTTTTTTTGCCATGATGAAGCAGGAGGGTTGGATGCCCGATTCTCAGAAAACTTGGGATTCTGGACTTCTAAATCCTGAGAGCAGGACTCCTGGGTATCACAGAGAAGGCTGGGGGCCCAGTTTCTTTTTTTTTTTTTTCTTTTTTTAAGACAGGATCTCGGTCTGTCACCCAGGCTGGATTGCTGTGGCACAATCACAGCTCCCTGCAACCTCAGCTTCCTAGGCTCAGTCTTTCCCACTTGGCCTCCCAAAGCCTTGGAATTACAAGCGTGCGCCACCGTGCCTGGCCCCAGATTCCATTTGAAGATCTGAGGGTGGAGGGGCTGGGGACCTGGACTCCTGGGTCTGAGGGAGGAGGGGCTGGGGCCTGGACTCCTGGGTCTGAGGGAGAAGGGGTTGGGGGTCTGGACTCCTGGGTCTGAGGGAGGAGGGGCTGGGGCCTGGACTCCTGGGTCTGAGGGAGAAGGGGTTGGGGGTCTGGACTCCTGGGTCTGAGGGAGGAGGGGCTGGGGCCTGGACTCCTAGGTCTGAGGGAGGAGGGGCTGGGGCCTGGACTCCTGGGTCTGAGGGAGGAGGGGCTGCAGTATGGACTACTGGGTCTGAGGAAGGAGGGGCTGCAGTATGGACTCCTGGGTCTGAGGGAGGAGGGGCTGCAGTATGGACTCCTGGGTCTGAGGGAGGAGGGGCTGGAGTATGGACTCCTGGGTCTGAGGGAGGAGGGGCTGCAGTATGGACTCCTGGGTCTGAGGGAGGAGGGGCTGGGGCCTGGACTCCTGGGTCTGAGGGAGAAGGGGCTGCAGTATGGACTCCTGGGTCTGAGGAAGGAGGGGCTGCAGTATGGACTCCTGGGTCTGAGGGAGAAGGGGCTGCAGTATGGACTCCTGGGTCTGAGGGAGGAGGGGCTGGAGTATGGACTCCTGGGTCTGAGGGAGGAGGGGCTGCAGTATGGACTCCTGGGTCTGAGGGAGGAGGGGCTGGGGCCTGGACTCCTGGGTCTGAGGGAGAAGGGGCTGCAGTATGGACTCCTGGGTCTGAGGAAGGAGGGGCTGCAGTATGGACTCCTGGGTCTGAGGGAGGAGGGGCTGGAGTATGGACTCCTGGGTCTGAGGGAGGAGGGGCTGCAGTATGGACTCCTGGGTCTGAGGGAGGAGGGGCTGGGGCCTGGACTCCTGGGTCTGAGGGAGAAGGGGCTGCAGTATGGACTCCTGGGTCTGAGGGAGGAGGGGCTGGAGTATGGACTCCTGGGTCTGAGGGAGGAGGGGCTGCAGTATGGACTCCTGGGTCTGAGGGAGGAGGGGCTGGGGCCTGGACTCCTGGGTCTGAGGGAGAAGGGGCTGCAGTATGGATTCCTGGGTCTGAGGAAGGAGGGGCTGCAGTATGGACTCCTGGGTCTGAGGGAGGAGGGGCTGCAGTATGGACTCCTGGGTCTGAGGGAGGAGGGGCTGGAGTATGGACTCCTGGGTCTGAGGAAGGAGGGGCTGCAGTATGGACTCCTGGGTCTGAGGGAGGAGGGGCTGGAGTATGGACTCCTGGGTCTGAGGGAGGAGGGGCTGGAGTATGGACTCCTGGGTCTGAGGGAGGAGGGGCTGCAGTATGGACTCCTGGGTCTGAGGGAGGAGGGGCTGGAGTATGGACTCCTGAGTCTGAGGGAGGAGGGGCTGGGGCCTGGACTCCTGTTGTTCAGGTGGGGACCAGGCCTGGGGACGGCCCTTTCCCAGTGCCTGCTGCCCTCTGCTGCCCCCTGCTGGCCACTGCACTCTTCCTTTGCACCCTGGAGGACAGACCAGGCTTGGCAGTTTATTTCGGTTTCACAACCCCCTTCCAGCCCTTGGGGCTCCCTTGAGCAGCACATCTGGGTGCCCTGTAGGCGGAGAGAGGGGTGGGTTAGATGAGGTCACCTCCAGGTGGAGGAGGGTGGAGTGGGGTGGAGTGGGCCAGGGAGGGTTAGGGAATGGACTCACCTGGCCTTCAGGCCGGGGCAGGGTCCTGGGGTCCCAGCGCAGCTGGAGGGGAGTTCCCCTTTAGGAGTCTCTGCAATGGAGATATTTTGAGAGGGCGGTTGATTCCCGGCATCCAATCTTTCCCTCTGCCCCTCTTCCCTGTCCCCTTTGTCTTAGACCTGGGAGTCCCAGACCACCTGGGGGCTGGAGGTGGCTTCCTGCGCGGCTGAGGCCACAGCCTTAATTCTTGGCAAGAGAAGAGGGGCCCGAAGTCTGGGGAGGGCCAAAAGTGCCTGGGGGGAGGAGATGAAGAAATGTCTCTGCTAGGCTGCAGCCTGGGTGGACGTCCTTTCACAGGCCCTGGACAGGGGTGACACAGTGGTGGCGGCCACCATCTGACAGGACCTTTGGCCTTGTCCCTAGTCCATGCTGCCTTTTCCCTCTCACCTCTAACTCGTGTAGGATGAAGTTTCAGTTTGTCTGTCCGCCTGTCCATCCATGTGTCCACCCTTCTGCTCACTTGTGTGCCCCACAGACAGTTCCCAAGCCTCTCCAGTGGGTCAGGCCCTTTCTTTCTTTTATTCTCTTTTCCTTTTCTCTTTCTTTTTTCTTCTTTTTCTTTCTTTTCTTTTCTTTCTTTCTTCTTTCTCTCTCGCTCTCTCCTTCCTTCCTTCTTTCTTTTTTCTCTTTCCCTCCCTCCCTTTCTTTCTTTTTCTATTTCTCTCTCTTTCCTTTCTCTCTCCCTCCTTCTTTCTCTCCCTTTCTTTCTCTCTCTCTTTCTTTACTTTTCTTTCTTTTTTAAAAACAACAACAACAACAACAACAAACCGAAAAAACAGGGGCCACGCGCGGTGGCTCACACCCGTAATCCCAGCACTTTGGGAGGCCGAGGTGGGTGGATCACCTGAGGTCAGGAGTTTGAGACCAGCCTGGCCAATATGGTGAAACCCTGTCTCTATGAAAAATACGAAATTAGCCAGGGGTGGTGGCACATTCCTGTAATTCCAGCTACTTGGGAGGCTGAGGCAGGAGAATCGTTTGAACCCAGGAGGTGGGGATTGCCATAAGCCAAGATTGCACCACTGCACTCCAGCCTGGGCAACAAGAGCGAAACTGTCTCAAAACAAAACAAAGCAAAACAGGGTCTCGCTCTGTTGCCTCGTCTGGAGTGCAGTGATGGGACCATAGCTCACTGCAGCCTTGACCTCCTGGGCTTAAACCATCCTCCTGCCTCAGCCTCCCAAAGTGCTGGGATTACAGGCATGAGCCACCGCGCCAGGCCAAGGCCCTGTTTTTCGCTCTGAGAAGACAGCTGTGAACAAGACAGAAAACTATCTTTGTCCTGGTGGAGCTGATGCTCCACTGAACCCGAGGCTCGCAGTGACTGATCAGCTCCTGAACAAGGAAATGTCCCAGAGCAAGTTCCATGTCCTTCAAAGTGCCTGGGAGAGGGAAGATGCCGGGGAGGCCTCTTGGAGATGGGAATGACCCAGCTGATGCCTGAGTGCAAGAAGGATCCAGACAGAGGCTCCGAGTGAGTGGAGGCTTGCTGGCAAGTTAGAAGAGCAGCAAGGGTCCAATGTTGCCGGAAAGGAGGTGGAGTAGGGGAGATCAGAGAGGTGGGGAAGAGTCAGATCCCCAGCCCCAGGTCTTTGGGCGGCGGAGAGGACTTTGGCTTGAGTTCTTAGAGCCCTGGGGAGCCAGTGGGGATTTCTTTCTTTCTTTCTTTCTTTTTGAGACGGAGTTTTTGCACCGTCGCCCAGGCTAGAGTGCAGTGGCACAATCTTGGCTCACTGCAACTTCCACCTCCTGGCGGAAGCGATAATCAAGCGAGAATCAAGCGATTCTCCTACCTCAGCCTCCCGAGTAGCTGGGATTACGGGTGCCCGCCACCACGCCTAGCTAATTTTTGTATTTTTTAGTAGAGACGGGGTTTCACCATGTTGGCCGGGCTGGTCTCGAACTCCTGACCTCAAGCAAAGGATTTGCCCACCTCGGCCTCCCAAAGTGCTGAGATTACACGTGTGAGCCACCGCGCTTGGCTGCCAGTGGAGATTTCTGAGAGGTGAGGGAGGGGATATGACTCAGGTTAGAGATGACTGAGCTTGCTGGCTTCATCAAAACTCATGGGGAGGCTAGACGAAGTGGCTAATGCCAGCAATCCCAGCACTTTGGGAGACTTGAGCCCAGGAGTTAGAGACCAACTTCGGCAACACGGTGAGACTCTGTCTCTAATTAAATTAAAACATTAAAACAAACAAACAAACAAACAAAAAAACCCAGCCTGTGGGGCTTGTGTCAGGCTGGTCCCCATTTTCCCCATGAAAACACTGAGGGTCAGAGAGGTCCTCAGTGGTCAGTGGGGTGATGAGATCCAGCTCAATGGCAGTGTCGTCCCCTAAAGGGAGGTTTCTCAGATGGAGAACAGCAGCGTGCAGACAGCAACCCCAGGGGCCACAGCACCATACACAGATCACAACCACGGTGACACTGACCACTGACACAGTCCCATCACATCCAGTGTCCACAGCAGCCCCAGCCTCACTGCTCAAAAAATTTAAAAATGATTCGGGTGTGGAGACAGGCACCTGTAGTCCCAGCTACTCTGGGGGCTAAGGAGGGAGGATCACTTGAGCCCAGAAGATTGAGGCTATAGTGAGCTGTGATTGTACCACTGCACTCCAGCCTGGCTGACAGAGACCCTATTTTTTTTTTTTGAGATGGAGTCTTGCTCTGTCGCCCAGGCTGGAGTGCAATGGCGCTATCTTGGCTCACTGCAACCTCTGCCTCCTGGGTTCAAGCGATTCTCCTGCCTCAGCCTCCTGAGTAGCTGGGATTACAGGTGCACGCCACCACACTCCGCTAGACAGAGACCCCATCTTAAAAAAAAAAAAAAAGCAATGCCAGGCACATAGCAAAAGTTATGACAGGCGGGGCCCACTCCTGTAGTCCCAGCACTTAAGAAGGCCGAGGCAGGCAGATGACCGGAGGTAAGGAGTTCAAGACCAGCCTGGCCAACATGATGAAACCCTGTCTCTACTAAAAATACAAAAATTAGCCAGGCATGGTGGTGAGCACCTGTGACCCCATCTACTCGGGAGGCTGAGGCAGGAGAATCGCTTGAACCTGGCAGGCGGAGGTTGCAATGGGCTGAGATCGTGCCACTGCACTCCAGCCTGGGTGACAAAGTGAGACTCCATCTCAAACAACAACAACAACAACAAAAGTTATGACAGTGCCTTGCTGAGAAGTAACAAACCCAAGGCTGTCTCTTCTGTGGTATGTTTTGAAGAATGAAAGACTAGGTGGGAGTGGACTGGAATTTTAATCAGGCAGGGTTTGGGGAGAGGAGGAAAGGGTGGGGGAGGCGGAGGGTATGGCCTAGGCAAAGGTGTCACCATCAGGCCCGAGGTCCCTGTCAGCCTGCTGTCCTGGCTGTGTCCCCCATCACTGTCCTCTGGGAGCCGGCTGAGTGCCTCCTAATGTTTCCATTTGCTTTTGGCGGCAGGTTGGATCTGTTTTTAGCTTCCCTGGCTGGTTTCACCGCCACCCTCCCCCCCACCGCCCCGCTTCCTGCTGGCTCTCTTGTTTGCTGTGGTCGAATAATGTTCCCGGACTTCCTGAGCTGTTTGTTTGAAGACAGCTCAGTATTGATCGAAGCCTGTGTGTACTCAGCCGGAGATACTAAGAGATCTGCTTCTCCCCAGCAATCCAGGGTCCCAAAAATCCTGGGGTGGCAGCGTAGGGAGAAAAGAAAGCCAGGACAGGGCTTATTAAAAAATAAGTAGGCCGGGCGCGGTGGCTCACCCCTGTAATCCCAGCACTTTGGGAGGCCGAGGCAGGCGGATCACCTGAGGTTGGGAGTTCGAGACCAGCCTGACCAACATGGAGAAACCCCATCTCTACTAAAAAATACAAAATTTGCCAGGCGTGGTGGCACCTGCCTGTAATCCCAGCTACTCAGGAGGCTGAGGCAGGAGAATTAGCTTGAACCCCAGAGGCGGAGGTTGCAGTGAGCTGAGATCATAATATTTCACTCCAGCCTGGGCAACAAGAGTGAAACTCCATCTCAAAAGAAAAACAAACAAACAAAGAAACAACAAAAAAATAAGTAGATGGTTTGGGGGCCTTAAAGACTCCAACGCTGACTTCTCCTCTTTCAGGCTGTGTGGTTTTGGGCAGGTACTGTCACCTCTCTGAACTTTTTTCCTCTGGAAAATGGGGAGAGGAACATTCATTTGTTTGTTTGTTTTTTGAGACAGGGTCTCACCCTCTGTCATCCAGGCTGGAGTGCAGTGGCGCGATCTTGGCTCACTGCAACCTCCACCTCCCGGGTTCAAGCGATTCTCCTGCCACAGTCTTCCAAGTAGCTGGGATTACAGGTGTGCGCCACCACGCCCAGCTAATTTTTGCATTTTTAGTAGAGACAGGGTTTCACCATGTTGGTTAGGCTGGTCTCGAACTCCTGAACTCAGTGATCCACCTGCCTCACCTTCCCAAAATGTTGGGATTACAGGCATAAGCCACCGCGCCCAGCCGGGAGAGGAACACTTTTGACTTCATAGGGCTGTTGGGAAGACTCACTTCAGTGTATTCATTTGGCATCTATTTATTGAGCACCTATGACGTGTATGTGTGCTAGGCACTGTTCTGCACTCTGGAGATATGACGGAGAAGACAACAAAGGCCTGACCTGCAGGAAGGTTGCAACCTGACAGTGATAAAAGCCGACAAAACCAACCCTAAGCTCTGCCGGGTGGCGAAAGATCTTTGAACATACAGCAGAGCAGGGCCCCGAGGGACAGCGGTGCTATTTTCATCTTTTCTTTTTTTTTTTAGAGAACGGGGTTCCGCTATATTGCCCAGAAAGGTCTCAAAATCCTGGGCTCAAGCTTTCCTCCTGCCTCTGCCTCCCTAACAGCTGGGATTACAGACTCTTTTTTTTTATTGGTTTAGAGACAGGGTCTCATTCTGTTGCCCAGGCTGGAGTGCAGTGGTGTGATCACGCCTCACTGGAGCTACCAACTCCTGGGATCAAGGGACCCTCCCACCTCAGCCTCCTGAGCAGCTGGGACTACGGGTGTGCGCCACCACTTTGGGCTAATTTTAAAATTTTTTTGTAGTGTTGGGGTCTTGTGATGTTGCCCAGGCTGGTCTCAAATGCCTGGGCTCAAGCCGTCCTCCTGCCTTGGCCTCCCAAAGTGTTGGGATTGCAGGCCGGGCATGGTGGCTCATGCCTGTAATCCCAGCACTTTGGGAGGCCAAGGCGGTGGATCAGCTGAGGGCAGGGGTTTGAGACCAGCCTGGCCAATGTGGCAAAACCTCGTCTCTACTAAAAATCCAAAAATTAGTCGGGCATGGTGGTGGGTGCCTGTAGTCCCAGCTACTTAGGAGGCTGAAGCAGGAGCATTGCTTGAATCTGGGAGGCAGAGGTTGCTGTGAGCCGAGATTATGCCACTGCACTGCAGCCTGGGCTACAGAGTGAGACTCCTCTCAAAAAAAAAAAAAAAAAGTACTGGGATTGCAGGCATGAGCCACCACCCCAGCTAGGGGTGCTATCTTGAACAGAGTGGTCAGGGAAGGCCTCCCTGAAAAGGGATGGGAAAGCAAGCCTCAGGAAAGACTGTGCAGGCCAAGGGAACAGCTTATGCAAAGGCCCCGAGGTAGGACACATCTGGGATGCTGGAAGGAGAGCTAGAAAGTCCTTGAGGCCAGGCGCAGTGGCTCACTCCTGTAATCCCCGCACTGTGGGAGGCTGAGGGGGGCAGATAATGAAGTCAGGAGTTCTAGACCAGCCTGATCAACATGGTGAAATTCTGTCTGTACTAAAAATACAAAAATTAGCGGGGCATGGTGGTGGGTGCCTGTAATCCCAGCTACTCAGGAGGCTGAGGCAGGAGAATTTCTTGAACCCGGGAGGTGGAGGTTGCAGTGAGCCAAGATTGCGCCACTGCACTCCAGCCTGAGCGACAGAACAAGATTCCGTCTCAAAAAAAAAAAAAAAAAAAAAAAAAGAAAGTCCCAGAGGGGGAATGAAAACAAGGGAAGAGGTCACAGAGGGGATGGGTGCCTTGGAAATGGGTGCCAAGGATGAGTCCCTGCCCTGGCACCCCTGAGTGCACAGGTGAACCAGGGACCCTGGAGGTGAGTGAGACCCCAGCCCCCAACCTCAGACCAGCGCCTGACTCACCACTTTCGGCTGGGCATTTCTGGGCTTCCTGGGGGGCAGATCTGGCCGTGGGGGCAATGGAGGAGCCGAAAGGGGCACCTGGGGTGGGACAGAGGAAGGAGAAGGGGCTTGTGAGCTGCCATTTTCTTCTCGCCTCCATGTTCTCCTGCCTGGGACTCAGCATTCAGGCACTGTTCTAGACTCAAGATATAACAGAGACCAAGACAACGTATGAACACTTAGGAGGGTTACAGCCAGGGAAAGCCACAGCCCCAGCCCTTGGGGAAGCAAAAGACCAGTTCCCTAGGACCTGAGAATCTTGTTATCAGCCCCCTCCTCTCCTAGAACCCAGGAGTGTGGGCCCTCAGCTCTTCCTCCCTCAGACCCAGGAGTCCGGGCCCCCATATTCTCCTCCCTCAGACCCAGGAGTCCAGGTCCCCATACCCACCTCCATCAGACCCAGGAGTCCAGGCCCCTAGCCCCTCCTCCCTCAGACCCAGGAGTCCAGGACCCCCAGCCCTCCTCCCTTAGACTCAGAGTACAGGCTCCAACCCCTCTTCCCTCAGACCCAGGAGTCCAGGCCCCCAGTCTCTCCTCCCTCAGACCCAGGAGTCCAGGCTCCAGTCCCTCCCCACTCAGGCCTCAGGAATTTGGATTCCAGCTCCCGGCTGGCCCTGCTCACCTGCCCCAGCTCCAACTCCCTGCCTTCCTGGTCACTGCTGTTCCCTGAGTCCTCAGCAGTAGCCTGACCGTGGAACTGGTAGATACTCACGGCCTCCCAGCCCTTGATCTCGCAGCGGCAGAAGGGGCAGGTCTGGCTGTCCGAGTGCTGGGGGAGGTCGGGAGGGAAAGGGTCAGTGCTCCCCTGCTCTCCATCCTGTCCCTTGGGCCAACGAGGAGCTCCCCGCCCAAAAGATTGATGTGGGGAAGACAGACAGAGGAAGGGAGACGGAAGGAGAGAAGAGTCGTGGAGAGCAGAGGAATGTGGAGGGAAATGCTGGGAGGGAAGGTGAGAGAGGAACGGAACCAGAGCCGAGGTCAGGAGGGGGCACACAGGCCAGGGATCCCCATGGAGCTGTGGCCACAGCTTCCGGGCCAGGCCTTTCCAGGCTCAGACCCTCAGGTGGCCCTTGCTGTTGTTGTTTTTTAAAAAAACGGAGTCTCGCTCTGTCACCCAAGCTGGAGTGCAGCGGCACGATCTCTGCTCACTGCAACCTCTGCCTCCCAGGTTCAAGTGATTCTCATGCCTCAGCCTCCCGAGCAGCTGGGATTACAGGCCCCTACCACCACACCCGTCTAATTTTTGTATTTTTTTTTTAGTAGACACGGGTTTTCACCATGTTGGCCAGGCTGGTCTCGAACTCCTGACCTCAAGTGATCCACCCACCCCGGCCTCCCAAAGTGCTGAGATTACAGGCGTGAGCCACCGTGCCCAGCCTCACTGTGGCCTTTGGGAGGTCACTATTCTCAGCCCCGTTCTCCAGGGGACGAGGCTAAGGCTCAGAGACGTGAAGCCACTGGCTGGGGATCACCTAGGCAGAGAAGGAAGGAGAGCTTTCCACTGATAACATTGCCGGAGAGGGAGAAACAGAGGCAGCGTGTGCAGAGTGGGATGGAACCAGAGGCCCTGGGAAAGACAGCCGGGCTCCTGAGTGGTTGCCATCAGCTCTTTGCCCTCTCTGGCCTTCGGTTTCCCCATATGATCAATGAGGCATGGAGATCCTTTTGGGGCTTTCCCTGTAGAGAGGGGGAGACCAGAGGGGAAGGCGCCACAGGGGTCAGACCCACCTGCCAGGCAGCCAGGCAGCAGCTGCAGAGCAGGTGCCCGCACGGCTCAATCTTCACATCCTTGTTGCTCTCAGCACAGATCTTGCAGAGCTCAAATGTGGAGTCCATGGCCCAGTAGAGCTGCAGCTGCTCCTGGCAGGTGAGAGGATAGAGAAGACAGCGAGGGGCATGCGTCAGCCACGGGGACACAACTTGGGCCACAGGAAGAAAATCCCAAACCTCGGCTGGTTGTGGTGGCTCACGCCTGTAATCCCAGCACTTTGGAGGCTGAGGCAGGGGGATCATCTGAGGTCAGGAGTTCGAGACCAGCCTGGTCAACATGTTGAAACCCCGTCTCTACTAAAAATACAAAAATTAGCTGGGCATGGTGGTGCATGCCTGTAGTCCCAGCTACTCAGGAGGCTGAGGCAGGAGAATCGCTTGAACCCGGGAGATGGAGGTTACAGTGAGCTGAGATTGCACCATTGCACTCCAGCCTGGGTAACAAGAGCAAAACTCCGTCTCAAAAAAAAAAAAAAGAAAGAAAGAAAATCCCACACCTCCTCTATCTTGGCGCTGTGGCTCATGCCTGTAATCCCAGCACTTCTGGCGGCCAAGGCAGGTGGAATGCTTGAGCCCAGGAGTTCTGGACCAGCGTGGGCAGCATAGTAAGACCCCGTCTCTATTTAAAAAAAAAATAATAAACCAAACCTCTGTGCCAGAACTGAACCCTCTCCTAAGTCCAAGGCTGGCATGTCCAATGGCCTCCTACATGTCTACACTCATTTTTTTTTTTTTTTTTTGGAGACGCAGTCTTGCTCTGTTGCCCAGGCTGGAGTGCAGTGGCGCGATCTTGGCTCACTGCAACCTTTGCCTCCAGGTTCAAGCGATTCTTGTGCCTCAGCCTCCTGAGTAGCTGGGACTACAGGCATAAGCCACCATACCTGGCTAATTTTTGTATGTTTAGTAGAGATGGGGTTTCACCATGTTGGCCATGCTAGTCTCGAACTCCTGACCTCAAGTAATCTGCCCGCCTTGGCCTCCCAAAGTGCTGGAATTACAGGCGTGAGCCACCTCGCCCGGCCATGTCTTCACTCCTTGTTATGAGACTTCTTCTCCCCAGTTGTCTACACCCAGTGGTGCCAGATTTAGCAAATAAAAGTATTGGATGCTGATGCTGCTAAATTTGAATTTCATTATTTTTCTTTCTTTCTTTTTTTTTTTTTTTGCGGGACAGAGCCCCACTCCGTTACCCAGGTTGAAGTGCAGGGTCGCAATCTTGGCCTACTGCAACCGCCAACTCCCAGGCTCAAGTGATCCACCCGCCTCAGCCTCCCAAAGTACTAGGATTACAGGCATGAACCACTGTGCCTAACCTAAATTTGAATTTCTTTCTTTCTTTTTTTTTTTCTTTCTTGAGACCAAGTCTCACTCTGTTGCCCAGGCTGGAGTGCAATGGTGTGATCTCAGCTCACTGCAACCTCCGCCTCCTGGGTTCAAGTGATTCTCGTGCCTCAGCCTCCCAACTCAAGTGCCTCAGCTGGGACTACAGGTGTGAGCCACCACACCCAGCTAATTTTTGTATTTTTGGTAGAGATGGGTTTCACTATGTTGGCCAGGCTGGTCTTGAACTCCTGACCTCAGGTGATCTGCCGGCCTCGGCCTACCAAAGTGCTGGGATTATGGGTGCGGTGGCACCCGGCCTCCAAATTTGAATTTCATGTAAACCGTGAATACAATTTGAAGTATAAGGATGTCCCAAATATTGCACGGGATATATTTATACTAAAAAAAATTTAGGGCCAGATACAGTGGCTCATGGCTATAATCCCAGCACTTTGGGAGGTGGAGGCGGGAGGATTGCTGGAACCTAGGAGTTCAAAACCAGCTTGGGCAACATGGCGAAACCCCATCTCTACAGAGAAATACAAAAATTAGCTGGGTGCAGTGGCTCACACCTGTACTCCTGGCTGCTCGGGAGGCTGAGGTGGGAGGCCTGCTTGAGCCCAGAGGTCGAGGCTGCAGTGAGCCATGATCGCACCACTGCACTCCAGCCTGGGCGACAGAAGAGATTCTGTCTCTAAAAATAAAAATAAATAAAAAATAAATTATTTATTTGTTATTGTTGTTTTTCTCACTCGTAGGGTGGCTGTGAAGATTAGGAGCTGGCACGGGGCTATTGCTGGCAAATGCTCGAATGCATTAGCTGTCCTGATGATCTCAGCAGCATCAGTTCCTTATTTAATCCCCGTGATCACCCCTGGGAAAGAGGCAGGAGGAGCCGTATTTTCCGGAAGAATAACTGAGCCTCAGAGAGGTCAAGTGATTTACCCAAGGTCACAGAGCCACCAAGCCAACATTCCAACCCCAGGCCTCTGAGCCAAGGCAACGTGGGGGTGGCAGGGTCAGGGAACTGGGACTGCGGGTGCAGGTGCGGGTCTCACCTCTGACACGTGGATGCGCTGCTGGGGTTCTGCCTGGCCGAGCTCAGTCAGGTCTGGGTTGTGGGTCTTTCCATCTGGGTAGAGGTAGCTGGGGGAAGGGAAGAGAGGGGGACTGGGGGGCCATCCAGTATTTCCCACCCCCAGATGAACAAGTACCTTTACCCCCTACAGGGCCCCATATTTCCCTGAGTTGAGGATCTGTCCCAAATCCATTGCTGGCCTGGGCTTATTTTCCCTCCACCCACCTCTAATTGGGACTGTGTCTTCTCAGATACCCCAGGGCAGGGCTATGTCCCCTCAGACTCCCAAGGTAGGGCACACAAAACCTCAGTGACTCAAGCTCCAGAAACAAGGATGAGATAGACTAAGAACCAGAAAACGATATGAAAATTTCTGGCTTAGGGCAGGTGTGGTGGCTTACGCCTGTAATCCCAGCACTTTGGGAGGCCGAGGTGGGTGGATCATCTGAGGTCAGGAGTTCAAGACCAGCTTGGCTAACATGGTGGAACCCCGTCTCTACTGAAAATATAAAAATTAGCTGGGCGTGGTGGTGCATGCTACTCAGGAGGCTGAGTCAGGAGAATTGCTTGAATCCAGGAGGCAGAGGTTGCAGTGAGCCAAGATCATGCCATTGCACTGCAGCCTGGGCAACAGAGTGAGACTCTGTCTCAAAAAAAAAAAAGGGAAAATCTCTGGCTTAGCTCTTCTAGAACCTCACCCTTCTCCACGCCCAAGCATAACAGATTTTAGTGTCACAGATCATGAAAGTGATCAAATCCTAGAATCTGATAATATCAGGATGGAAAGATCCTCTGAGAGCACCTGTACCACTTCTTCCCTCACAGACAGTGACCCAAGGCTCAGGGTGGGAAAGGCATTTGCCCAAGGTCACACAGCAAGGACCAGAGAGACCGAGAACCAGGGTTGTAGGCGAGATCTCAGCACTGGGCTCCAGGACACCGGAGAAGCAAGCTCTGGGCTCCCTGGGTCTCCCCCTGGATCATTTCCTCGGCCTATCTGGCATGCCTCAATGCTACTCCAGTTATTCCGACATGTATAGCACATGAAATATTGGACCCTCAGACTCCCTGAGGCTAGTGGCCCTGCCTGGCCTGTCATGTGGAGCAGTGCAGGATCCCTGACCTGGGCCCCACAGTGGCTCTCTCACTAACACACTGTGTGACCTGGCTGGGGCCACTCGACCTTTCTGGCCTCAGTTTCCCCTTCTGTAACATGGACATGATCATGCCTGAGGCAAAGATTTGTGATGGATTAAATAAGACAGTGCTGGCCGGGTACAGTGGCTCACACCTGTAATCCCAGAACTTTGGGAGGCCAAGGCAGGCAGATCATTTGAGGCCAGGAGTTTGAGACCAGCCTGGCCAACATGGTGAAACCCCGTTTCTACTAAAAATAGCAAAATAAATAAATAAATACAATAATAATTAGCCAGGCATGGAGGTGCGTGTCTGTAATCACAGCTACTTGGGAGGCTGAGGCAGGAGAATTTCATGAACCCAGGAGGCAGAGATTGTAGTGAATGGATATCGCACCACTGCACTCGAGCCTGGGCAACACAGCAAGACTCTGTCTCAAAAAAAAAAAAAAAAAAGAAATTTTAAAAATAAATAAATAAGAAAGACAGTGCTTATAAAACATGCAGCCCTGGCTGGGAGCAGTGGCTCATGCCTGAATCCCAGCACTCTGAGAGGCTGAGGCGGGAGGATTGCTTGAGCCCAGGGGTTCGAGACCAGCCTGGGCAACACAGAAAGACACTATGTCTAAAAAAAAAAAAATTAAAAAAATTAGCTGGGCATGGTGGCATGTGCGTGTGGTCTCAGCTACTCAGGAGAGGCTGAAGCGAGAGAATCCCCTGAGCCTGGGAGGTCGAGGCTGCAGCAGTGAGCCGTGTTCATGTCACTGCACTCCAGCCTGGGTGACAGTGAGACCCTGTCACAGAAAAAAAAAGAACCACCAAAAGAAACATGAAGCGCTGGCCAGGTGCAGTGGTTTACACCTGTAACCCCAGCACTTTGGGAGGCCGAAGAGGGAGGGTCGCTTGAGCCCAGCAGTTTGAGGCCAGCCTGGACAACATAGTGATACCTTGTCGGTAACTAATTTTTTTTTTCTTTTTTTCTCTTTATTGAGATGGGGGCTCACTATGTTGTCCAGGTTGGTCTCAAACTCTTGGGCTCAAGTGATCCTCCCACAAAGTTCTAGGATTTCAGGCATGAGCCACCATGCTTGGCGAATAAATTTTTTTTTTTTTTTTTTGAGATGAAGTCTCACTCTTGTGCCCTAGGCTGGAGGGCAATGGCGTGATCTCGGCTCACTGCAACCTCTGCCTCTCGGGTTCAAGCAATTCTCTTGCCTCACCCTCCCAAGTAGCTGGAATTACAGGCGCCTGCCACCATGCCTGGTTAATTTTTGTATTTTTAGTAGAGACGGGGTTTCACCATGTCGGCCAGGCTGGTCTTGAACTCCTGACTTCAGGTGATCTGCCCGCCTCGGCCTCCCAAAGTGCTGGGATTACACGTGTGAGCCACCGTGTAATCCCAGCACTTTGCTGGGTGCCCGGTGCAAATAAATTTTTTAAATTAGAAAAAAATTTTAAATGCAGCGTCCTCCTCTGTGCATAAACACCCAATAAGAAGGGACTTCTACGATTGACTTTATTTTATTTTTATTTTTATTTTTTGAGACAGAGTCTGGTTCTGTCACCCAGGCTGAAGTACAGTGGCGCGATCTCGGCTCACTGCAAGCTCCACCTCCCGAGTTCACGCCATTCTCCTGCCTCAGCCTCCTGAGTAGCTGGGACTACAGACGCCCGCCACTGCGCCCAGCTAATTTTTTGTTATTTTCAGTAGAGACAGGGTTTCACCGTGTTAGCCAAGATGGTCTCGATCTCCTGGCCTGGTGATCCACCCACCTCAGCCTCTTAAAGTGCTGGGATTACAGGCGTGAGCCACTGCGCCCAGCTTATGATTGACTTTATTTTTATGTTTTTGAGATGGAATCTCACTCTGTCACCCAAGCTGGAATGCAGAGGCGTGATCTTGGCTCACTGCAGCCTCAACCTCCCGGGTTCAAGCAATTCTCGTCTCAGCCTCCTGAGTAGCTGGGATTATAGGCATACACCACCATGCCTGGCTAGATACCAGGTTTCACCATGTTGGCCAGGCTGGTCTCGAACTCCTGATCTCAAGTGATCTGCCTGCCTCAGTCTCCCAAAGTGCTGGGATTACAGGCATGAGCCACCATGCCCGGCCTCTGATTTTTCTGTTTTAAATGGTCCCCAAGAGTAGCTGAAGTGTTGTCTCCTGTTCCTAAGTGAAAGAAGGCTGTGATGTGTCTTATGGAGAAAACGTGTGTGTTGTATAAGCTTTGCTGAGACACAAGTTATACTGCTGTTGGTTGTGAGTTCAATGTTAGCGAACCAACAATAGGTACTGAATAAAGTGTCAATTTTTTTTTCTTTTTTTCTTTTTTTTTTTTCTGAGACGGAGTCTTGCTCTGTCGCTCAGGCTGGAGTGCAGTGGCACGATCTCGGCTCACTGCAACCTCCGCCTCCAGGGTTCACGCCATTCTCCTGCCTCAGCCTCCTGAGTAGCTGGGACTACAGGTGCCCGCCACCACGCCCGGCTAATTTTTTTTGTGTGTTTTTAGTAGAGACGGGGTTTCACAGTGTTAGGCAGGATGGTCTCGATCTCCTGACCTCGTGTTCTGCGCGACTCGGTGTTCCAAAGTGCTGGGATTACAGGTGTGAGCCACTGCGCCCGGCCTTGAATAAAGTGTCTTTAAACGAAAACATACATAAAGGTTACTATGTTGTGACTGGTTGACAAAAATGTGGTGACCCAGCCGGGCGTGGTGGCGTGCACCTGTAGTCCTAGCTACTCAGGACCCAAGAATGTATTTCCCCTGGGAGCAACGGCTTGATATTCAATAATTCAGGGTGTGTGGTGATTTTATAGAAGATAATTACTATAAATTGGCCAGGCGTGTGGTTCACACCTGTAATCTGAGCACTGTGGGAGGGTGAGGCGGGCAGATTGCTTGAGTTCAGGAGTTCGAGACCAGCCTAGGCAACATGGTGAGCCACACCCCACCCCCATCTCTACCAAATATACAATAAAATTTTTTTGTTTTGTTTTTTTCAGATGGAGTCTCGCTCTGTCACCCAGGCTGGAGTGCAGTGGCGTGATATCAGCTCACCGAAACCTCCACCTGCCAGGTTCAAGCAATTCTGCCTCTGCCTCTGGAGTAGTTGGGATTACAGGTGCACGCCACTGCACCCAGCTAATTTTTTTTAATTTTTAGTAGAGATGGGGTTTCACCATGTTGACCAGGCTGTTCTTGAACTCCTGATCTCAGGTGATCCGCCTGCCTTGGCCTCCCAAAGTGCTGGGATTACAGGCGTGAACCACCGTGCCCCACCAAAAATGTTAAAAAAATTATATATTAAAAAATTAATAATAATTATTGCAAATAATCAACAGCATATCTACCTATCTGCCTATCTATCTATCTATCTATCTATCTATCTATCTATCTATCTACCTATCTGACTATCTAGCTAGCTACCTACCTTCCTATCTCCTCTCTTGTATGTCAGTAGTCATATAGATATGACTGATAAGAAAATTCTGGCTAAAGGTGAAACTCTGAAAAGAAACCTGTCTTCCTGGCCGGGCACAGTGGCTCACACCTGTAATCCCAGCACTTTGGGAGTTCGAGAAGGGAAGATCACTGGAGGTCAGGAGTTTGAGACCAGCCTGGCATGGCAAAACCCCATCTCTATTAAAAATCCAAAACTTAGGACCGGGCATGGTGGCTCATGCCTGTAATCAGCATTTTGGGAGGCCGAGGTGGGTGGATCATGAGGTCAGGAGTTCGAGACCAGCCTGACCAACATGGTGAAACCCTGTCTCTACTAAAAACACACACAAAAAATTAGCCGGGTGTGGTGGTGGGTGCCTGTAATCCCACCTACTCAGGCGGCTGAGGCAGGAGAATCGCTTGAATCTGGGAGGCAGAGGTTGCAGTGAGCCGAGATCATGCCATTGCACTCCAGTCAGGGCGACAGAGCAAGACTCTGTCTCAAAAAAAAAAAAAAAAAAAAAAAAAAAAAAAAAAAAAAACACCTGTCTAGCAAGTTCTCCAGTTCTGTTTCTGCCCCATCAATCTAGATTCTAGAGCAGGATCTCATATCTAGAAACAAAAGCTGGCTGGGCACGGTGGCTCACGCCTGTCATTTCAACACTTTGGGAGGCCGAGGCAGGAAGATCGCTTGAGCCCAGGAGCTCCAGACCAGCCTGGGCAGCATGGCGAAACCCCATCTCATTTTTTAAAAATTAACTAAAGTAAAAGAGGAAGAAAATAGAAGCAAACGCTCTTGAGCTCAGTTCCAAGGAATGGAGCCCTTGCGGTTGTGCCCAATGCCCCACACACTTCTCCTCGGAGCTGTGGCTGGGCCCGATCTATGGCCACTTTGTGCGACCCTCAGAGGCGCCCCTTCCTCAAGACCTTTGACTGCCACCTGCTGGAATTTTGTAGTACTGCAGATTTGAGATGTCCCCTATGTGAATGGTTGCACCCTCAAACGTGGTGGCCACCGGCAGTGCACAACATGCAAGATCTTTCCAACCAGATTTTGCTGACACCCTCCTCCTACCAGAATGGAGACTCACAAGCCGTCCTTCTGTCCCTCCAGGAGCACCTGGGACAGGGGTTTGTTGGCAGGGATGGTCTGCAGGATGCTGCCATCTGAGCTCACATAGCCGATGGCCCACTGCCCCAGGCGAGTACAGCTGGGCCGGAAGATGTAACTGGAGGGAGAGGTAGGTAGGATGGGGTGAGGGAGTGGTCACTGCCATCCCTTTTGTGAACTTCCAGTCCCCTGGCCTGTTGGGAATCCAGGTGTCTAGGTCCTCACCCCCAGCTTCCCATCCTCTAGGCAACGGCATGTGCTAGACCCCTGCCTGCCTCTCTAGGGGATATATGCTGTTTTTGCCTGCTTGGCTCTTTTATGATAAAAACAGCCCTGATTCCATTTGGAGATCTCTCCTCGCTTCACTGGAGTTTAAACAAGGCTGGGGTGGCCAATCAGTGCATTTCAGGACCCCTGACCACAGTGATGGGAGTCCGTTCTGGGACTTTCGCTGCAAGTGTCAGAGCAAGGTGCCCCCTTTCTTACAGAGGTTGCTAAGAAGGTAGGGTACACAGCTGGGACTTCTAGAAGTCATTTGCCACAATGAGGAGAAACCATGTTTGAGAATGAAGCAAACAGAGGAAAGCAGAGAAAGGGGATGAACAGGAACTGATTCCTGACAGTAGCCATTGAGCACCTGGATCTAGCTGTGCCTGAAACCCACACCCTAGGCTTCTTTTCTTTTCTTCCTTTTTGTTTTTGAGACAGAGTCTTGCTCTGTTGCCCAGGCTGGAGTGCAGTGGCGGGATCCTGGCTCACTGCAACCTCCACCTTTCGAGTTCAAGTGATTCTTGTGCCTCAACCTCCCAAGTAGCTGGGACTATAGGCACGCATCACCATGCCAGGCTAATTTTTGTATTTTTTTTTTTTTTGAGATGGAGTTTCACTCTTGTTGCCCAGGCAGGAGTGCAATGGCGTGATCTTGGCTCACTGCAACCTCCACTTCCTGGGTTCAAGTGATTCTCCTGTCTCAGCCTCCCAAGTAGCTGGGATTACAGGTGCACGCCACCACGCTTGGCTAAATTTTTGGTATTTTTAGTAGAGATGGGGTTTCACTATGTTGGCCAGGCTGGTCTTGAACTCCTGACCTCAGGTGATCCACCCACCTCGGCCTCCCAAAATGCTGGAATTACAGGCGTGAGCCACTGCGCCAGGCCTAATTTTTGTATTTTTAGTAGAGATGAGGTTTCACCATGTTGGCCAGGCTGGTCTCGAACTCCTGACCTCAAGTGATTTGCCCGCCTCGGCCTCCCAAAGTACTGGGATTACAGGTGTGAGCCACTGTGCGGGGCCTGGCCTTTTCAATTATAGGAATTTATTCTTTCCTTTTTCTTTTCCCTTAAATAAGTTTGAAGTGTAACTGGAAGAATGCTAACGCACTCACCGTCCTACCCCTGCACCTCAGCCCTGCAGAGACTCACAAACCTGACCTTCTCTTCTCTTGGTATCTAGACAGCTCAATTCTCAGCCCTCTAGGGGGACCCAACAGCTCAAAACTCCTGGTTGAAATAATTTAAGGACTCTCATGTCTTGTTTTTCAGTCTCCTATGCCAACAGGTGGGAAATTCATACTCAAAATACTGAACAGATGGTACAACATGACTCTGACCTACCAGAAACGGACCTTACCCTCAAGCGGGTCTTTGGGCTCCTTGCTAGAGCGGGCACTGTCCCTTAGCTGCAGGATTATGGGACAGTACAGGAGGCCTCGAGAGAAGAGGCGGGCTGGGAGGGGCACTCAGTGTCCTGCCTCTGAGTTATCAACTCTCTGGGGTCCTGGGTACCTCTGTTCCCACTCTTGGAAGGACATCTGGGCTCCACCACGCACCAGCCCAGAGCCCAGATCCCTGAGCCCTGCAGCCTTGTTCTGCTGAGCCCTGGACCCTTTACCTGCCTGGCTTGTCCCTGCAGGCCTGCAGACGCTCTTGGACCTCATCATAGGTGAGGAAGGCCATGTAGCCTGGGTGGTTGACTGCCAGGAGCTGCCAGTTCTTGAGGAGTGTTGGCCATGGCTGGGGTGGGGCAGGGCTTGGGTCAGGGAGCGACCAGGGAAGCAGCTCACATCCCTAAGTAGTCCCTAGGGCTCGAGGATCCAACCACCTCCTTCACACCCATGGTGGGCCTCAGGCATATCCCTTTTACAAGACCCCAAGCTCTTCTTTCTCCAGAACTCAGGAGTTTGGGACCCTAGCTTCCTCCTCCCTCAGACCCAAGAGTCCAGGCCCCCAGCCCTCCCCTCCCTCAAACCCTGGAGTCCAGGCCCTCACCCCCTCCTCCCTCAGACCCTGGAGTCCAGGTCTCCAGCCCCTCCTCCCTCAGACCCAGGAGTCCAGGTCTCCAGCCCCTCCTCCCTCAGACCCTGGAGTCCAGGTCTCCAGCCCCTCCTCCCTCAGACCCAGGAGTCCAGGCCCCAGCCCCTCCTCCCTCAGACCCAGGAGTCCAGGCCCCAGGCCCTCCTCCCTCAGACCCAGGAATCCAGGCCCCAGGCCCTCCTCCCTCAGACCCAAGAGTCCAGGCCCCCCGCCCTCTCCTCCCTCAAACCCTGGAGTCCGGGCCCTCACCCCCTCCTCCCTCAGACCCTGGAGTCCAGGTCTCCAGCCCCCTCCTCCCTCAGACCCAGGAGTCCAGGCCCCAGGCCCTCCTCCCTCAGACCCAGGAGTCCAGGCCCCAGGCCCTCCTCCCTCAGACCCAGGAGTCCAGGCCCCAGGCCTTCCTCCCTCAGACCCAGGAGTCCAGGTCCCCGGCCCCTCCTCCCTCAGACCCAGGAGTCCAGGTCCCCAGCCCCCTCCTCCCTCAGACCCAGGAGTCCAGGCCCCCAGCCCCTCCTCCCTCAGACCCAGGAGTCCAGGTCCCAGCCCCCTCCTCCCTCAGACCCAGGAGTCCAGGCCCCGGCCCCTCCTCCCTCAGATCCAGGAGTCCAGGTCCCGGCCCTTCCTCCCTCAGACCCAGGAATCCAGGATTCAGCCCTCTACTTCCTCCTGGACCCAAGTCTAGCTCCCAGCCTTGGCCTTCCCTGACCTGAAAGAGCCTGGTGAAGACGTCGAACTCGAAGATGGACACGTGCCCGCTGCAGGTGAGGTCAATGGTGGTGCGCAAGGCCAGGGCTGTGCAGCCTGGTTCCACAGGGTGGCAGGTGCCCAGGAGGGACTCAAACTCAGCCCAGGGCAGCACACACCTGGGTGGGAGAGGGGTGGGGGAGACACCGCTGAGGCCTCCCAGAGCCTATGATGGGAGGGTCTCCAGGAAAGAAGCAGCTGTGGGCCTGGACCCCTGGGTCCCTGGGCCAGGGCAGGATGGGGCTCCGGGAGCTGAGGACAAGGGCTTACTCACCGGGCTCCGCAACTTTCCCTCCAGAAGGTGTGGGCGGGGGCCTTGGTGAGCTGGTACATGTGTCCACAGTACTTTCCCCCGGGGAAGAGTGCGTGCAGCTCTGCGTGCATGTGGCTGAAGATGATGGCCAGCTTGGCCAGCTGTCGCCTGTGGGGATGGGCAAGGACTCTGGCTATCCTTGGGGCTCCCACTGACACCCTCTTCCTCCCCTCATGGGGAACACCTGCAGGGATAAGGCTCTGGACTCTATCTCAACAGTGTAAGGTAAGAGTCCATTCCTGCTGGGCGTGGTGGCTCACGCCTGTAATCCCAGCACTTTGGGAGGCTGAGGTGGGTGGATCACTTGAAGTCAGGAGTTTGGGACCAACCTGGCCAACATGGTGAAACCCTGTCTGTACTGAAAATACAAAAATTAGCCTGGCGTGGTGGCGCCCGCCTATAATCCCAGCTACTCAGGAGGCTGAGGCAGGAGAATCGCTGGAGCCCGGGAGGCAGAGGTAGCAGTGAGCTGAGATCACGCCACTGCACTCCAGCCTGGATGACAGAATAAGACTCCATCTCAAAAAAAAAAAAAAAAAAAAATTAAAAACGATATACATGGCTTTTATTAGATTTTGGCCAGAAGCAGTGGCTCATGCCTGTAATCCCAGCACTCTGGGAGGCTGAGGTGGGTGGATCACTTGAGGTCAGGAGTTTGAGAACAGCCTGGCCAACATGGTGAAACCCTGTCTCTAATAAAAACTATAAAAATTATCGCTGCGTGGTGGCGGGTGCCTGTAATCCCAGCTACTTGGGAGGCTGAGGCAGGAGAATTGCTTGAACATGGGAGGCAGAGGCTGCAGTGAGTCAAAATTGCGCCACTGCACTCCAGCCTGGGCAACAGAGTGAGACCATGTCTAAAAAAAAAAAAAAATTACGCTGAATTTTGCAGAAATCCAGCTCTCCTATATATTAAGGGAAGACTATTTGATTCTGTATGACAGTGGTTCTACCTACAGGTACGAGTGTCTGACTAGTCAGCTCTGCCTTCCAAGAATAATTGTGCCTTGGCATTTTCATTTAAAACATAGATAATATTTATGAAAAAAATTCCTTTGATCACTCTCTTATAATTTGGGCATTATAGTGATTAAAAAACTATAGGTGGGTAGGTTGTTGAACCTCTGCATGTCCTCTCAGGATGAATTAAGGAAACACTTGGCTGGACATGGTGGCTCTCACCTATAATCTCAGCACTTTGGGAGGCTGAGGTACGAAGATCGCATGAGGCCAGGAGTTTGAGACCGGCCTAGCCAACATAGCAAGACCTCCTCTCTACCAAAAAATAAAAAGATTAGTCTGGCATGGTGGTGCACGCCTGTGGTCCCAGCTACATGGGAGGCTGAGGTGGGAGGATCACTTGAGCCCAGGAGTTGGAGGCTGCAGTGAGTCATGATGGTGCCACTGCCCTCCAGTCTGGGCGACAGGGCCAGACCTTGTGTCCAAAAAAAAAAAAAAAGAGACACTACAAAATATTTAATATAAAGAAGTGGCATGGGTCCCTGAACTAGACCTTGTTCTGGGCTCTGGGCCCCAAACCTCATCTGCCTGGTCACTCTGAGATTCCTTCCTCAGTGCAGAACAGCAGAGGGGTGGCCTCCAGGCAGGTCCTGGGTCTGGAGCCAGCTGTTCCTCAGGAACTAAAGACCAAGTGGGTAGTCCAGGCAGAAACCGTGATGGGGGCCTAATGATCAGTTTCTTTGGGTGTGTCCATCTACCTCTCCTCCACCTAGGAGCCCATGGGGTCTCCACATTCTGAGGCCTGATCCTCCCAGCTGGGCCTCCCAAAGAGCTGGGATTACAGGTGTGAGCCACCGTACCCAGCCAGACCAGGCCAAGTTCTGATCACAAATGTGCACACATCTAGAAAACTTTGAATCAGAGAATAATAGTAATAGCTAACTTTTATTTTATCCTCAGTGTAGGAAACCCCATGGGGTCCCTGAATTCTGAGATAGTGGGATAGTGGGAACCAGAATTGGGCTGCTGGGTGACCAAGGAAATGGCAAAATCGGGCTGAGGGCATGGGTGCCCAAGGAAGGAGAAAACTGGGTGGCCCATTTTCCAGGTTCCCTTAGGAAGGAGGGGCTGGGGCCTGGACCCCTGGGTCTGAGGGAGGAGGGGCTGGGGCCTGGATCCCTGGGTCTGAGGGAGGAGGGGATGGGGGCCTGAGTTTCTGGGTCTGAGGGAGGAGGGGCTGGGGCCTGGACCCCTGGGTCTGAGGGAGGAGGGGCTGGGGGCCTGGACCCCTGAGTCTGAGGGAGGAGGGGATGGGGGCCTGAGTTCCTGGGTCTGAGGGAGGAGGGGCTGGGGCCTGGACCCCTGGGTCTGAGGGAGGAGGGGCTGGGGGCTGGAGCCCTGAGTCTGAGGGAGGAGGGGGTGGGGGCCTGAGTTCCTGGGTCTGAGGGAGGAGGGGCTGGGGCCTGGACCCCTGGGTCTGAGGGAGGAGGGGCTGGGGGCTGGAGCCCTGAGTCTGAGGGAGGAGGGGGTGGGGGCCTGAGTTCCTGGGTCTGAGGGAGGAGGGGCTGGGGCCTGGACCCCTGGGTCTGAGGGAGGAGGGGCTGGGGGCTGGAGCCCTGAGTCTGAGGGAGGAGGTGGTGGGGGCCTGAGTTCCTGGGTCTGAGGGAGGAGGGGGTGGGGGCCTAAGTTCCTGGGTCTGGGGGAGGAGGGGCTGGGAGCAAGACCTGGGCCTCACCCCAGAGGACTTTGTTCTGGGGCGAAGGCTCACCTGAGTCTGGAGCCCGCCCGGAAGAGCTCGTCGTTGGCACTCCTTCGGCCCCGGGGAGGCAGCAGCGCGGCCACCTGCCTGCTCTTGGCCTCCAGATTGGCCAGGTAGATGAGTAGAAAGTCCCCAGAGCCGCCGGGACCCCCGGGGCCGCCTCCGCCGGCCGCCCGCCGAGAATGGGCCACCTCTCGAAGCAGCTGCGCTGTGCGGGGCAGCAGGTCCCGCAGCGAAGGGGGACTCACGGACAGCCGGGGGTCGACGCATTGCTCTTCTAGGCGCTGCAGCATCCTGACTGCCCGGCCCAGGGCGCGGGCCTCTTCCCACTGTCGCCCCCACGGGGCCACCGCCAGAGCCATGGGAGCCTCGCGTGTGCCGGGAAGGACCGGTGCGGCTGGGATAGGGGCGGCCTCGCCCAGAGTGAAAGGAGAGGGCGGGTCCTAGAGAACCGGGGAGGGGCCTGCAGGTACCAGTGTCTCCAAAGGGGGCGGGGGCTGGAGGACCTGGCACGTGGGTCTTCAAGAGGTGGGATTTGGAGGCCGGGAGCGGTGGCTCATGCTTGTAATCCCAGCACTTTGGGTGGCCGAGGTGGAAGGATCACCTGAGCCCAGGAGTTCAAAACCAGCCTGGGCAACATAGTGAGGCCCTATCTCTAAAAAATTTTTAAAAATAAAATAAAATGTGGCTGGGCGCGATGACTCACAACTGTAATCCCAGCACTTTAGGAGGCCGAGGCAGGCGGATCACCTGAGGTCAGGAGTTCGAGACCAGCCTGGCCAACATGGTGAAACCGTGTCTCTACTAAAAATACAAAAAAGAAAAAAAAATTAGCTGGTGCGGTTTGAGTTTGATTCTCAAAAAGGAGCAGGGTGGGGTGGCTTTGGTGGGTAGCGGTAGGAGGGGGCTTCTCAGTGTGTGGGTGGGAAGTGCAGGTAGGATATCTGGGTCCCTTCAGAGAGGGGCAAGGGGCTAGGGGAGGCCTGGGACTTTTTTTTTTTGAGACAGGGTCTTGCTTTTTCACCCAGGCTGGAGTGCAGTGGTGAGATCTTAGCTCACTGCAACCTCTGTCTCCCAGGCTCAAGTGATCCTCCCACCTCACCCTCCTGAGTAGCTGGGGTCACAGGCGCGCATCAGCAGTCCTGGCTATTTTATTTTATTTTATTTTTTGTATTTTTAGTAGAGACGGGGTCTCACCATGTTGCCCAGGCTGGTCTTGAACTTCTGAGCTCAAGCGATGCATCCGCCTCGGCCTCCTAAAGTGCTGGGATTACAGGCGTGAGCCATTTTGCCCTGCCACGGGACTCTTCTTGGAGAGGGGAGGGGAAGGGCTGGGAGCTACCGAGAGGTGGGACTTGGACACAGCGCCTTGTCGAAGGTATGGGTCTTTGGTCGTGGCATGGGATTAAAGGTCAGATAACTGAGATTTCAAGGAGGAACCGGTCAGGGAGGCATTGCTCTCTCTCTGTCTCCGAGGAAGGAGGCACAGAGCCACCAGGCCCTTGGGTTCCCTAGAAGCAAGGGTTTGAAAGTGGGTGTCTGAGGGGGCAGGAATTTGGCAACAAGATTTCTGGGTGCCCCTAATGGTGTGGCATGGGAGAAATCAGGCCAGAGTTAAGATACTCCTGAGTCCCGAAGAAGCCAGGCGGGAGGATGGCGTTCAAGACTGTGGGGGCGGGGAGCAACTCATTTGTGTAGGGGTGGCCGGGCGTGGCTTTCACCCAACCTGTAGAACCTGTAACATCAGCCTGGTTGCTCAGTTGCTCGCTGGGCAGCCATCGGGGCGCTGTGGGCCTCGCCCCTAAGCAAGGCATTCTGGCCGCGCCCCATCCTAGGCCAAGCCAAGTTCTTTTTTTTTTTTTTTTTTTCCTGTGATACAGGGTCTTGCTTGGTCTTGCTCTGTTGCTTAGGCTGGAGTGCAGTGGCCTGATCATAGCTCACTGCAGCCTGGATCTCCTGGGCTCAATCAATCCTGCCTGCTCGGCCTCCTAAAGAGGTGGGATTACAGGCGTGAGCCACCATGCCTGGTCAGACCAGGCCAAGTTCTGATCGCAAATGTGCACATATCTAGAGAACTTTGAATCAGAGAATAATAGTAATAACTAACTTTTATTTTATTTTATTTTATTTTTTTGAGACAGGGTCTTGCTCTGTCTCCTAGGCTGGAGTGCAGTGGTTGTTGGATCACCACTCATTGCAGCCTTGACCTCTGGGGCTCAAGTGGTCCTCCTGTCTCAGCCTCCCTAGTAACTAGGACTACAGGCATGCACTGCCACGTTGGCTATTTTTTTTTTTTTTTTTTAGTTTTTAGTAGAGATGATGTCTCACTGTGTTACACAGGCTGGTCTTGAACTTCTGAGCTCAGGCAATCCTCCAGCCTGGGCCTCCCACAATGCTGGGATTACAGGCATGAGCCACTACACCCGGCCATAGCTAGCATTTATTGAATGCTTGCTGTCTATCAGGCCCTGTGTGTAATGCTTTGCAAACATTGGCACACTGAATTCTCAAAAGTCCTTTGAGGTCGGCGGGTAGGGGGCATAGGATGAGAGCCGAACCTCCCAATGCACCCTGAGCCCCTCCTTAGCCCCACCCCCATCTCGTAGGAATTGAAAATCTTAAAATTTTTCTTTAAATTAAAAAACGACCAAAAAGAAAATAAATAAAAAAATAAAATAAATAAATAGATTGGGCCGGGTGTGGTGGCTCATGCCTGTAGCCTGTAATCCCAGCACTTTAGGAGGCCAAGGCGGGTGGATCACTTGAGTTCAGGAGTTTGAGACCAGCCTGGCCAACATGGTGAAACCCTATCTCTGCTAAAAATACAAAAATTAGGCTGGGCACAGTTGCTCATGCCTGTAATCCCAGCACTTTTGGAGGCTGAGGTGGGTGGATCACTTGAGGTTAGAAGTTGGAGACTAGCCTGGCCAACATGGCAAAACCCCCTTTCTCAAAATACAAAAATTAGCTGGGCATGGTGTTGCGTGCCTGCAGTCCCAGCTACTCAGGAGGCTGAGGCGGGAGAATCGCTTGAATCCAGGAGGCAGAGGTTGCAGTGAGCCAACACTGCAGCACTGCACTCCAGCCTGGGTGACAGAGTGAGACTCCATCTCAAAAATAAATAAATAAAAATAAATAAATAAATAATTAAAATAATACAAAAATTAGCTGGGCATAGTGGTGTGCCTGTAATCCCAGTTACTTGTGAGGCAGAGGTAGGAGAATCGCTTGAACCCGGCGGGGGGAAGAGGTTGCAGTGAGCTGAGATCATGCTGCTGCACTACAGCCTGGGCGACAGAGCGAGACTGTCTCAAAAAACAAAACAAAACAAAACAAAACAAAACAAAAAACAAAACAGGATGAAAACCCATTAGCCTGAAAAAGTTCAAAGTGTTGACTGGCAAGTATTGGCAAGGAGCTGCTCTGAGTGCAAATGGACAAACTACATTGCAGAGCAATTTGGCAGCATCCACGAGACCTTTGGACAAATGGACAGGTCATTTGTCCAGTTACCTCTTTCAGAGCTGTGGCTTGTAAACACTTTTGCTGGACATTAATACAGCTATAGACACCTGAAGCAAAAGTTTCACAGAAGAGCTCTCACTCCGACTATGAGCATGCACTCTAATAGCTTCTATTTAATTCCATTTCATTAAAGGAAAAATTGTTTATAACCCACTAAATTGATTTCACAACCCACTAATGGATCTTGTTTGGCCGTTTGAAAGATACTGCCCTAAGAAACTCCAAGAGACATGTTCAGGGATGTTAATTGCATTCTTGTTGGAAGTGGAGGAAATTGGCAACAAGGTGGGTGTTCACCACCAGCAGCCTGACATAAATTGTGGTGTACTCTCACAATAAACTCTTGCGCAGCAATTAAGGTGAATGAACTGGACACAAATACCAACAGTGTGTGTCATAAACACATAATAATGAGTGGCCTGGGTTGAATCATTCCCCTCCCCACCAAGTTCATGTTCACTGGAATTTATGAATGTGACCCTATATGGAAATAAGGTCTTTGCAAATGTAATCAGATCAGGATAAGTTTCTACTGGATTAGGGTGGGTCCTAAATCTGACTGATATCCTTATGAAAAGGAAATTTGGATACAGTTACAGGTGCACACACACACACACACACACACACACACACACACAACATATGACGATGGCGGCAGAGAGATTGGAGTGATGCATCTATAAGCCAAACAACACCAAAGATTACCAGTGAACACCACAAGCTGGAAGAGGGGTGGTGCTCACGCCTGTAATCCTGTCACTTTGGGAGGCTGATGTGGGAGGATCGGTTGAAGCCAGGAGTTTGAGACCAACCTGGCAACATAGCAAGGCCCTGTCTCTACAAACAAAAACAAAAACAAAACAAAGCAAAACCAAAAAACCAAAAATGGTTGGGTGCAGTGGCTCACGCATGTAATCCCAGCACTTTGGGAGGCCAAGGCAGGCGGATCATGAGCTCAGGAGTTCGAGACCAGCCTGACCAACATGGTGAAACCCCATCTCTATGAAAAATACAAAACTTAGCTGGGTATGGTGGCACGCACCTGTAATCGTAGCTACTCAGGAAGCTGAGGCAGGAGAATCGCTTGAACCCAGGAGTCGGAGGCTGCAGTGAGCCAAGATCATGCCACTGCACTCCAGCCTGGGCGACAGCGCGAGACTCCGTCTGAAAAAGACAAAAACAAAGAACAACAACAACAAAAAAAAACTGGGCATGCTGGGATGCTGCCTGTGGTCCCAGCTACTCGGGAGGCTGAGGTGGGAGGATTGCTGGAGCCCAGGAGTTTGAGGCTTCAGTGAGCTATGATTGTGTTGCTGTACTCCAGCCTGGATGACCCAGTGAGATCTTGTCTAAAAAAGAAAAAAAATCTGCAACTATATGAACTCTTTTCCTAGATTTGACAGGTTTTTTTGTATCCACTTTGCAACTATAATAACTCTTTTTCCAGATTTGACTCAAAGTGGATACAAATGAAGTGAATGACATGAAAAGATGCTCCACAATGTGATCCACTAAGGAAATGAACATCAAAACCACAGTGAATGCTGCTTCACACCCACTACGATGACTGTCATAAACAAGACAGACAATCACAAGTGTTGGCAAGGATATGGAGAAATAATTGGAACCCTCTACGCTGTTGGTGGGAATGTAAAATGGTGCAGCTGCTTTGGAAAACAGTTTGGCAGCTCCCCAAAATGTTAAACACAGGGCTAGAGCATTCCTACGTATATATATATCCCAGAGAATTGGAAGCATATATCTACCCAAAGACTTGTGGAAACAACCTAAATGTCCATCAGTTGAAGAATGGATAATCAAAATGTGGTCTGCTCATACAACGGAAAATTCTTTGGCCATTAAAAGGAATGATTTTTTGTTTGTTTGTTTGTTTTGAGATAGGGTCTTGTGCTGTCTCCCAGAGTGGAGCGCAGTGGCACAATCTCAGCTCACTGCATCTTCGATCTTCCGGGCTCAAGCAATCCTCCTGCCTCAGCCTCCTGAGTAGCTGGGACCACAGGTGCATGTCACTCCCTGCTAATAGGAATGAAGTATCTCAAAAAAAACATAATGCTAAGTGAAAGAAGCCAGTCACTGGCCAGCCTGGGCAGATCACAGCTGTAATCCCAGCACTTTGGGAGGCCAGGGCAGGCAGATCACCTGAGGTCAGGAGTTCGAGACCAGCCTGGGCAACATGGTAAAACCCCCTCTCTACTAAAAAACAAAAATTAGCCAGCCGCAGTGAGATGCGCCTGTAATCCCAGCTACTCGGGAGGCTAAGGCAGGAGAATCTCTTGATCCCGGGAGGTGGAGGTTTCAGTGAGCTGAGATAGTGCCGTTGCACTCCAACTTGGGTGACAGAGCAAGATTCCATCTCAAAAAAAAAAAAAAAGGTGGGGGGGCCGGCCGCAGTAGCTCACGCCTGTAATCCCAGCACTTTGGGAGGCAGAGGCGGGTGGATCACGAGGTCAGGAGAACAAGACCATCCTGGCTAACACGGTGAAACCCCGTGTTACTACGTCTTACCGTGTTACCCACGTCTCTACTAAATATACAAAAAATTAGCCGGGCCTGGTGGCGGGCGCCTGTAGTCCCAGCTAGTCTGGAGGCTGAGGCAGAGAATGGCGTGAACTCGGGAGGCGGAGCTTGCATTGAGCTGAGATCGCGCCACTGCACTCCAGCCTGGGCGACGGTGCGAGACTCCATCTCAAAAAAAAAAAAAAAAAAAAAAAAAAGCTACAAGAGAATAATTGTGATGTTCTAAACACAAAGAAAAGATAAACGAGGTGATGGATATCCCAGTTACCCTGATTTCATCATTGCACATTGTATACATGTATCAAAACATCACATGTACCCCCACAATATGTACAACTATGTTATGTCCAAAAATACAAAAAAGGGAGAGTATGTTATGGGTTGTCTAGAGCTGGAAGGGTGTTGAGGGGAAATAGGGAGTGACTACTAATGGGTATGAGGTTTCTTTTTGGGGTGAACAACTGTTTTAAAATAGAATCTGGTGAGGCAGGCATGGTGGCTCACGCCTGTAATCCCAGCACTTTGGGATGCTGAGGCAGGTGGATTGCTTGAGCTCAGGAGTTCGAGACTAGCCTGGGCAACACAGTGAAACCCTGTCTCTACTAAAGTATAAAAAATTAGCCGGGCATGGCGGCATGCACCTGTAATCCTAGCTACTCGGGAGGCTGAGACAGGAGAATGGCATGAACCTGGGAGGCAGAGGTTGCAGTGAGCTGAGACTGAACCATTGCACTCCAGCCTGGGCGACAGAGCTAGACTCCATCTCAAAAAAAAAAAAAAAAAAAAAAGTCTGGTGATAATTGCACTATTTTGTGAATATACTAAAGTCACTGAATTGTACACTTTTTAAAATTTTATTTTTATTTTTATAGAGACGAGGTCTCTCTGTGTTGCCCAGGCTGGTCTTGAACTCCTGAGTTCAAGTAATTCTCCCACCTCGGCCTCCCAAAGTGGTGGGATTACAGGCATGAGCCACTGCGCCCGGCCAGAATTGTACACTTTAAAGAGGTAAATTGTATGGTATACACATTATATCTCAATAAAACAGTTAGGCTGGATGAAAAAGCCAAATACCGCTCATTCTTACTTGTAAGTGGGAGCTAAACGTTGAGTACTCAGGGACATAAAGATGGCAACAATAGAAACTGGGGACTGCTAAAGTGGGGAGGGAAGAAGGGAGGGGGCAAGGGTTGAAAAACTGTTGGGTACTATGCTCAGTACCTGGGTGACGGGATCAGTCGTACCCCAAACCTCAGCATCATGCAATATACCCAGGTAACAAGCCTGCACATGTACTCCCTGAATCTAAAATGAAAGTTGAAAAAAATAAAACGAAATAAAGCTATTGAATAAAAAGTGGAGACCTGAGGATAGCCACAAGAGGGCGCTCTGAGCACAGAGTTACCACCTCCCTTGGGAACGGAGTTTCTCGGCCACGCCTCAAACTATGGCCATACCTTCGAGGCCCTGGCCACGCCTCTGGGACTGTGGTCCCACCCCCAAGGGCCTAGCCCCACCCCTACACCTTAACCACACCCTCAGGTCCTGGTCACACCCTCAAAGCAGTGTCTGAAGCAGCCCATTCACGCCCCCAGCTCCCCAGACTCTGACCACAAATGCATGCACAGACTTAGAGATACTCGGAAACACAGAACCTTAAACCATAGACTTTTCTTTTCTTTTTTTTTTTTTTTGAGACTGAGTCTCGCTCTGTCGCCCAGGCTGGAGTGCAGTAGCGCGAACTCTAGTCACTGCAACCTCCGCCTCCCGGGTTCAAGCGATTCTCGTGCCTCACGCTCCCGAGTAGCTGGTATTACAGGCGCATCTCACCACACCTGGCTAATTTTTTGTATTTTTAGTAGAGACGGAGTTTCACCATGTTGGCCAGGCTGGTCTCGAACTCCTGACTTCAAGTGATCTGCCCGCCTCGGCCTCCCAAAGTGCTGGGATTACAGGCGAGAGCCACCGCGCCTGGCCAAAATCACAGACTCTTAAACCATGACTTTTACTTTGAAATCATTTGTTTTTCTTTTGAAATTATTTTAAAGTTACAGAGAAGTTGCAAGAATAGTTTCAGACATTACGTCCCTTTGCCTCTAAATGCTTCAGTTGCATTTCCAAGTGTAAGGACGTTCTCTTACACCACCACAGTACAGAGGAGCAGTGTACATTTCTCAGTGACAGTAGTATCCAACAGTGCAGCCTGTATGCAAATTGCCAGCTGTCCCCAAACTATCTGTCATAGCAAAAAGTTTTCATCTCTTCGGTTTCCTTCAGTCTGGTACGGTTCCTTGGCCTTTCTTTGTTTTTCATGGAATTGACATTTTTGAAGATTATAGGCTAGTTCTTTTGGAGAAGGTCTCCTTGATTTGGGTTTGTGTGATGTTTCCTTGTGATTAGATTCTGGTGGCAGGAGTGTTACAGAAGTGATGCTGTGTCCTTCTCTGTACATGATATCAGGAGGCACACGATGCTGGTTGTCCCAAGAATGCTGACAGATTTGGTCGGTTGGTTATGGTGAATCATGGAATCCCAGACCTATCGATTCACCAAGTCAGTCTCTTCCATCCCTGGGCCACAGTTTCCCTTTCTATAAAGTAAAAGTCTGGCTTATGTGAAGGTCTGAAAACACACTTAAAGAACAGATGTGTTCGGCTGCGCGGTGGCTCATGCCTATAATCCCAGCACTTTGGGAGGCCGAGGCGGGCGGATCATGAAGTCAGGAGATCGAGACCATCCTGGCTAACACGGTGAAACCCCATCTCTACTAAAAATATAAAAAATTATCCGGGCGTGGTGGCGGGCGCCTGTAGTCCCAGCTACTTGGGAGGCTGAGGCAGGGGAATGGCATGAACCCAGGAGGCGGAGCTTGCAGTGAGCTGAGATCACGCCACTGCACTCCAGCCTGGGCGACAGAGCGAGACTCCGTCTCAAAAAACAAACAAACAATGAAAAAAAGAAAAGATGTGTTCTGTTTACCTCTCACACTCTTTTTTTTTCTTTTTGTTTTTTGAGACAGTCTCCCTCTGTCGCCCAGGCTGGAGTGCAGTGGCTGAATCACAGCTCACTGCAACCTCTGCCTCTGGGTTCAAGCAATCCTTCTACCTCAGCCTCTCAAGTTGGTGGGTGCCACCATACCTGGCTAATTTTTGTAGAGATGGGATTTTGCCATGTTGCCCAGGCTGGTCTTGAACTCCTGGCCAATCCACTCACCTTGGCCTCCCAAAGTGCTGGGATTACAGGTGTAAGCCACCGTCCCCTGACTCTGTGTGTGTGTGTTTGAGGCAAAGTCTCTCGCTGTCACTCAGGCTGGAGTGCAGTGGCATGGTCACAGCTCACTGCAGCCTCAACCTCCTGGGCTTAAGCGATCCTCCCACCTCAGCCTTCTGAGTATCTGGGACTGCAGGCACGTGCCACCATGTTCGGGGTTAGAGCCGGGGTCTACCCATGTTGCCCAGGATGGTCTTGAACTCCAGGGCTCAGTCTGTCCTCCCACCTCAGCCTCCCAAAGGGTTGGGATTACAGGTGTGAGCCACTGTGCCCGGCCAATGCTCTTAAAGTCACTTTTTGGAATGTCCCAGGCATTTAGAATCTGGCAGATTTCACACACGCATCTAGGAGAGATGTCCTCTGTCTTTCTGGGTTTACTCAATGTGGTGAGGACAAGCGAGTGGAGCCCCGAGAAATGCATTGAAGGTATGACTTCTGGCGTTAGAGCTGTCCCCGGAATGCTGGGACTGTCACCCATGAGGAGCTTTGGAAGTTGAGGGGTGAGTGATTGAATTATTATTATTATTTTTCTGTCACCCAGGCTGGAGTGCAGTGGCACGATCTTGGCTCACTGCAACCTCCCCCTCCCAGGTTCAAGCAATCCTCCCACTTCAGTCTCCCTAGTAGCTGGGACTACAGATGTGTGCCACCATATCCAGCACATTTTTGTATTTTTAGAACAGACGGGGTTTCACCATGTTGGCCAGGCTATGAGTGCTTAATTCTGTGAAGGCTGGGAGGCTGGAGACCCCAAGCAGGACCCTTCCTCCATCTTTGGAGTCTGCCTTTCTCCAGCGGAAGGGGGAAGACTGTGGAAGGACATGTGCCTAGTCCCAAGGTCTAGGAGGCTGAGTGGGGATTTCCATGTGTACAGAGGCCAGATCCCTTGTTTTAGAGAAGTTACTTATAAAGTTCAGTGCTGGGTTCAGCTCTCAAGCCCCGGGACGGTTTCTCATACACGAAAAGCCACATCACCCACAGCCTAGACCCACAAGCACAAGAGGACTTCCAACACACTCCAGACTGATGATGGGCCAGGTCCTGGGCTAAGTGCCTGACACTCACACTCTCATTAAATGCCCAACAACCCATCAACCCCAAGGGGTCGGGGGGATTCCCTTCTTACAGGTGAGGAAACTGAGGCTCAGTGTGGTGAAGTCACTTCACCTTGAGTCATTTAGTCATTTGGTGGCAGAGCCCTGGTTGTGACAGATACATGTGCGGCCCCTCAATAACCATTCTCTCCTCTTCCTTTTGTAGCAGAACCCCTGAATTTTGGCTGGGTACATGCTGCCCAGATAAAACCACATTTCCCAGCCTCTGTTGTGATAGGTGTGGTCATGTGACTAAATTCTGGCCAAATAGGATGTGATGTGTATGATGTGTATGACTTCTGGGTTGTAGCTTTAAAGGTAGGGGCATGCGATTGACTTTTGTTTCTTCTTCCCAGTGGTTGGAATGTGGATGTGATGGTGGGAGCTGGAGCAGCCATTTTGGACCACACAATGGAAGTGTGAGGTGAGGGCAGCAGAACAACCAGGTAGAAGGAGCCTCGATCTCTGACATCCTTGGCTACTATTCTAGATGCGGGTGTTCGCTGGGCCTTTACATGAGAGAAAAATAGACTTTCATCTTATTTAAGCTACTATTGGGTGGACGTGGTAGCTCATGCCTGTAATCCCAGCACTTTGGGAGGCCAAGGTGGGTGATCACCTGAGGTCGGGAGTTCAAGACCAGCCTGACCAACATGGCGAAACTCCATCACTACTAAAAATACAAAAATTAGCCGGGCGTGGTGGCAGGCTCCTGTAATCCCAGCTACTCGGGAGGCTGAGGCAGGAGAATCGCTTGAACCTGGGAGGCAGAGGTTGCAGTGAACTGAGATTTTGCCACTGCACTCCAACCTGGGTGACAGAGCAAGACTCTGTCTCAAAAAAAAAAAAGCTACTATATTTCTTCTTTTATTTATTATATTTTTAAAGACAGGGTCTCACTCTGTCACCCAGGCTGGAGCATAGTGGTGCAGTCATAGGTCACTGTAGCCCTGACCTCTCGGTGTCAAGTGGTCCTCCTACCTCAGCCTCCTGAGTAGCTGGGACTACAGATGCACGCTACCATGCCTGGTTAATTTTTGCGTTTTTTTTTGTAGAGATAGGGTTTCGCCATGTTACCCAGGCTTTTGCCATGTTACTCAGGCTCTTTGTTTTATATATTTTTTAAAGATAGGGTCTCTCTCTGTTGTCTAGGCTGGAGTGCAGTGGTGCAATCATAGCTCATTGCAGCTTCAAACTCCTCTCGGCCTTTTTTTTTTTTTTTTTTGAGATGGAGTCTCCTCTGTCACCCAGGCTGGAGTGCAGTGGTGCGATCTCAGCTCACCGCAAGCTCCGCCTCCCAGGTTCACCCCATTCTCCCGCCTCAGCCTCCCGAGTAGCTGGGACTACAGGTGCCTGCCACCACGCCTCGCTAATTTTGTTTTTGTATTTTTAGTAGAGACGGGGTTTCACCATGTTAGCCAGGATGATCTGGATCTCCTGACCTTGTGATCCGCCTGTCTCGGCCTCCCAAACTTCTGGGATTACAGGCGTGAGCCACTGCACCCTGCCTCAGCCTTTGAATAGCTAGGACCACAGGCACCTAATATAATTTTTTTTTTTTTATTGTAGAGAGAGGATCTTGCTATGTGGCCCAGGCTGATCTCAAACTCCTGGGCTCAAGCAATTCTCCTGCCTTGGCCTCCAAAAGTGCTGGAATTACAGATGCGAGTCACTTCACTCTTTCAAGAGATGGGGTCTCACTACATTGCCCAGGCTGGTCTCAAACTCCTGGGCTCAAGTGATCCTCATGCCTCAGCCTCCCTCCCGAGTAGCTATGACTACAGGTGTGTGCCACCATGCCCAGCTATATTATTTAATTTAATTACAACCGTGGAATAAAAAAAATGTAGCTAAAACACACATCTAGGCTATGACCTCATTGTTCCATTTTTCTACCAGGACAAAGAATAGGTCTCATCGTCTCTACTGTGTTTCCTCTGACCTCAAAACTGTCAAAAATTCTTAGATGATGGCAACAGCAATTCCCATTTATGAAGCTCTTACTCAGCACCATGGCCTGTAATAAGTATTGCACAAAATTTACTTCCCCCCACCTTTTTCCTTTTTTGAGACAAGGTCTCTCTCTGTCACCCAGGCTGGAATGCAGTGGCGCAATCTTGATTCACTGCGGCCTTGACCTCTTAGGCTCAAGTGATCCTGCCACCTCGGCCTCCCCAGTGGGTGGGACTACAGGCGTGCACCACCATACCGGCTAATTTTTGTTTTTTTTTTGGAGAGACAGGGTTTCACCATATTGCCCAGGCTTGTCTTGAACTCCTGGGCTCAATCGATCTGCCCACCTCCAGCTCCCAAAGTGCTAGGATTACAGGCGTGAGCCACTGTGTCCCGTTCATATTTTTTTTTTTTCGGTTTGGACAGGAAGGAGGATTTATTGGTGGGTGTGAGTAAGCAGGGCTCGCCACTATTCCAGGGGCCTATGATTGGGGATGTATCTGATGCCACAGCCATCCAGGATGAGCTACTTCTCAGCCACCGTGTCTTCACATTCATCTGCACTAAACTTGGTAAAGTCCCACCGCCTTGAGATGTGGGTCTTCTGGTGGCCAGGGAGCTTGAACTTGGCCCTGGGTAGGGCCTCAATCACGTGTTCCATGTTCTGCAGCTTGGTGCGGATGGACGTGATGCCTTAGCCAATGTGAACCCTGGCCACCACACCCTGGGGCTTTCCAAAGGCGCCTCGCATACCTGTCTGGAGTCTAGACTGGGGTGAGGTCAAGATCAGAAACATGAACATGCATCGGAAAGGGCTATCTCCAAGGTCTCTTAAGGCCACCGCTACACGCAGCAGGCTGCGTATACTACTGAGGGCACTGCTGTTTGCCGCCACTGCATAGGAGGAGAGGAGCACAATTAGCTTGACTAGTGTTCATGTTTAAACCTTGGAGCAAACCTGCAAGTTGCTCTAAGGATTAAACATAAATATTGGCTGGGTGCGGTGGCTCATGCCTGTAATCCCAGCACTCTGGGAGGCTGAGCCAGGAGGATCTCCTGGGGTCGGGAGTTTGAGACCAGCCTGACCAACATGGTGAAACCCTGTCTCTACTAAAAATACAAAAAATTAACTGGATGTGGTGGCGGGTGCCTGTAGTCCCAGCTACTCGGGAGGCTGAGGCAGGAGAATGGCGTGAACCCGGGAGGTGGAGCTTGTAGTGAGCTGAGATTGCGCCGCTGCACTCCAGCCTGGGCGACAGAGCGAGACTTCATCTCAAATAAATAAATAAATAAATAAAATTAAAAATTAGCTGGGCATGATGATGCATGCCTGTAATTCCAGCTACTTGGGAGGCTGAGGCAGGAGAATTGCTTGAACCTGGGAGACGGAGATTGCAGTGAGCAGAGATTGCACCACTGCACTCCTCCAGCCTGTGCAGCAGAGTGAGACTTAGTAACAACAAAACAAAACAAAACAAAACAAAACAAAACAAAACAAGAGACAGGATCTCCCTCTGGCACCCAGGCTGGAATGCAGTGGCGTGATCATAGTTCACTGCAGCCTTGACATCCCGGGCTAAAGTGATGCTTGAACCTCAGCCTCCTAAGTAGCTGGGACTGCAGGCACACACCACCAGGCTCATGCTCAGCCAACACATTTTTTGATCTTCTGTAGAGACAGCGTCTCACTATGTTGACCAGGAAACATAGAAATAATCTCTCCCTCCCTCCCTCCCTCGCTTGCTTCCTTCCTTCCTTCCTTCCTTCCTTCCTTCCTTCCTTCCTCTCCCTCTTTCCTCCCTTCCCCTCCCCTTCCCTTCCCTTCAAGACAGGGTGTTGCTATGTTGTCTGGGCTGGTCTTGAACTCCTGGCCTCAAGTGATCCTCCCACCTTGCCTTCCCCAAAGTGCTGGAATTGCAAGTGTGAGCCACTGTGCTCAGTGACAAATGTCCTCATAAGAGACAGAGAAGAAGACATGGACACACAAAGGAGAAGATCATGTGAAGACAGAGGCAGAGACTGGACTGATGCAGCCAGAAGCGGAGGAATGCTTGGGGCTACCAGAAGCTGGAAGAGGCAAGGAAGGAGTCTCCCCTACAGTTTTTGGTGAGTGCGGTCCTGCCGACGCCTTGATTTTGGACTTCCGGACTTCAGAACTGTAAAGGAATACATTTCTGTTGTGTTAAGCCACCTAGTTTGTGGCAGTTTGCATGGCAGCAACAGGATTTTTTATTTCTTATTTTTTATTTTTTTGAGACGGACTCTCGCTTTGTCTCCCAGGCTGGAGTGCAGTGACGTGATCTTGGCTCACTGCAACCCCTGCCTCCTGGGTTCAAGCTATTCTCCTGCCTCAGCCTCCTGAGTAGCTGGGATTACAGGTGCACACCACCACACCTGGCTAATTTTTGTATTTTTAGCAGAGACGGGATTTCACCATGTTGGCCAGGCTGGTCTCAAACTCCTGACCTCAAGTGATCTGCCCGCCTCGGCCTCCCAAAGTGCTGGGATTACAGGCATGAGCCATCGTGCCTGGCCAGCAACAGGACATTAACATGCCCTTCAAGCCTGGCAGCTTCAGAGATACCAGAGCACAGGGTCTGGGTCAGAAACACTGAAACATAGTTGCAAACAGAAAGACGCATGGACGTCCCAGTCAGGCGGGCCAGGCACACACAGGTCACCCAGTCAGTGCTCACACAGGCCATCCAGAAGTGCGTGTGCATGAGTGTTTGTGTGCACACACACAGCCCTTCACAGACCCCAGTGATGCCATCCAGGAAGTTGTTAAGGCAGCTGGCCCCACAGATGCAACTACATTACAGAGTGATGGGGATTAAATGTTCACTATCAGCAATTCACATGACGACCCAGAGAAGCCCCCACAGATTAAACAAACAAACAAACCAAAAAACCCCATAAAAAACAAAAAACACTCAGTGCTATGGTTTGAATATTTTTTCCTTCAAAACCTCATGTTGAAATCTGATCCCCTCACTTGAACCCAGGTCGAGGTTGCAGTGAGCTAGGATCTCCTGCTGCACCCCAGCCTGGGTGATAGAGTGAGACTCTGTGTCCAAAAAAATGAAGAAATTTGGGCCTGGCACGGTGGCTCACACCTGTAATCCCAGCACTTTGGGAGGCCGAGGCGGGTGGATCACTTGAGGTCAGGAGTTCAAGACCAGCCTGGCCAACAGGGTGAAACCCCGTCTCTACTAAAAATACAAAAATTAATTGGGCATGGTGGTGCATGCTTGTAATTCCAGCTACTTGGGAGGCTGAGGCTGGAGAATCGCTTGAACCTTGGAGGCAAAGGCTGCAGTGAGCCGAGATTGGGCCTCTGCACTGCAGCCTGGGCGACAGAGTGAGACTCTGTCTCAAAAAAAAAAAAAGAACTTTGATTCCCAAGGTTGGAGGTGGGCCTGATGTGAGGTGTGTTTGGGCCATGGGGGCAGGTCCCTCATGAATAGATTAATGTCCTCCCTGGCGGGTGAATGAGTTCTCCCCATTGACGCCCATGAGAGATGGGTGTTAAAGGGAGGCTGGCACTTCTCTCTCTCTGTCTCTCTCTCGCTTCCCCTCCTGCCACTTGATCCCCACACACGTGTGGTTCCCTCGGCCTTCTGCCATGAGTAGAAGCAGCCTGAAGCCTTCACCACAAGAAGCAGATGCTGACACCATGGTTCTTTTATTTATTTTTTTGAGGCAGGGCCTCACCTGTTGCCCAGGCTGGAGTGCTGTGGTGCGATCATAGCTCACTGCAGCCTCGAACTCACAGACTCAAGCAATCCTCCCACCTCAGTCTTCCGAGTAGCTGGGACTACAGGTGCCTGCCACCATGCCCAGCTAATTTTTTTTTTTTTTTTTTTTTTGTACAGACAGGGTCTCACTATACTGCTCGGGCTGGTCTCAAACTTCTGGTCTCAGGGGATTCTCCTGCCTCAGCCTCCCAAAGTGCTGGGATTACAGGTGTGAGCCACCAGGCTTGGCCTCAATTTTGGACTTCTTTTTTTTTTTTTTTTTTTTTGAGACGGAGTCTCACTCTGTCACCCAGGTTGGAGTGCAGTGGTGCGATCTCGGCTCTCTGCAAGCTCTGCCTCCCGGGTTCACACCATTCCCCTGCCTCAGCCTCCCGAGTAGCTGGGACTACAGGTGCCCGCCACCATGCCCAGCTAATTTTTTGTATTTTTAGTAGAGACTGGGTTTCACCGGGTTAGCCAGGATGGTCTCGATCTCCTGACCTCGTGATCCGCCTGCCTCGGCCTCCCAAAGTGCTGGGATTACAGGCGTGAGCCACCGCGCCCGGCCGATTTTGGACTTCTTATGCCCAGAACTGTAAGAGAATAAATTAGTATTGTTTGGCTGGCACGGTGGCTCACACCTTTTGTAATCCCAGCACTTTGGGAGGCTGAGGTGGGTGGATCACTTGAGGTCAGGAGTTCCAGATCAGTCTGGCCAACATGTCAAAACCCTGTGACTAGTAAAAATACAAAAAATTAACCGGGTGTGGTGGTGCACGCCTGTAGTCCCAGCTACTTGGGAGGCTGAGGTAGGAGAATGGCTTGAACCAGGGAAGTGGAGGTTGTAGTGAGCTGAGATTGTGCCACTGCACTCCAGCCTGGGTGACAGAGTGAAACTCTGTTTTAAAAAAAAAAAAAAAAAAGTTAGCATCATTTCAAGCCACTGAATTTGTGATTTGTTATAGTGGCAACAGGAAACCATTACAAACCCCGACTGACACACAGAGGCATACCCCAGAGTCAAAGCACAGATGTGTGGCTGGGCGCGGTGACTCACGCTTGTAATCCCAGCACTTTGGGAGGCCAAAGCAGGCAGATCGCCTGAGGTCAGGAGTTTGAGACCAGCCTGGCCAATGTGGCAAAACCCCCTCTCTACTAAAAATACAAAAATTAGCCAGGCATGGTGGTGGGTGCCTGTAATCCCAGCTACTCTGGAGGCTGGGGCAGGAGAATCTCTTGAACCCAGGAGGCGGAGGTTGCAGTGAGCCGAGATCACGCCATTGCACTCCAGCCTGGGTGACAGAGTGAGACTCCATCCCCCCCCAAAAAAACAACAACAAAACCACAGATGTGGTCCATTAGAGGGGCCCCATGGAACCACTAAGTAAAACTGTCTCACGCCATGTGAGGCAGTCACAGGGCAACAATCACAGCATCACCCCAGATCTCAATGTTAGGAACACTCCCAAGCACCACGCACTCGGACAGCCAGAGACGATTGGGGCTGAAGTCAGCTGTGGGTTATCACCAGGACCCCCACACTACAGAAACACACATGCCCAGGGTCACTACGGAATCCAACAGGGTGCCCTGGAAAGATATCACACACCGGCCAGGTGCAGTGGCTCATGCCTGTAATCCCAGCACTTTGGGAGGCCGACACAGGAGGATCATGAGGTCAGGAGTTCAAGACCAGCCTGACCAACATGGTGAAACCCCGTCTCTACTAAAATTACAAAAATTAGCCAGGTGTGGTGGTGCACACCTGTAATCCCAGCTACTCGGGAGGCTGAGGCAGGAGAATCGCTTGAACCGGGGAGGCGGAGGTTGCAGTGAGCCGAGATCGTGCCACTGCACTCCAGCTTGGGCGACAGAGCAAGACTCTGTCTTGAAAAAAAAAAAAAAAAGATATCACACACCACGTCCTCCTTAGAAACAATGGTACAGTGACAATGATGGCAACATTCACAACCAAACACACCAGAAGTCCCAGAGTGACACACAGGAGATTGTCTGTCTGAGACTCACAACATCACTCTGGGAGTCAACTGGATTCAGTGCACGGGTGTGCACACACACGAAGGCACTTCCGCCAGGTCCATCTCATGAAAGAGGCCCATGCACCCAAGGGATATGGTACAAAAATAGTTTATTACAAAAGAAATCCAACCAAAATGCTTAATAATTTACATCGTGATCCGTGCCCGTTACGGCCCACCTCTCCCCTCCTCAGTTATCTGGTAGAGAGTGGAGGGGAGTGGCTGTTCCCTGGGTCCACCAGCTCTGGGAGGGGACATGGAAATGGAAGATGTGGGTGGCATTCCGGACAGGGACTGGTGCCTGAGAATGCTGGGGTCAGAGTCCTGGGAGGGAGCGAGATGGGGGAACATCTGTGCTCAGAAGAGGGGGTGTATGGGTAGGTGCATGTGCTTCTGTGCAAATCCTGGTCCCGAAGATGGGGGGGGGGGGCAGAGTGAGATCTTCACAGTTTCCAGAAGGGTTGACCCCACAGGGCAGGGGGGCCCCTCCTCATGAGTCCAAGATCTGCCCCCCCATCCCCCTCAGCTGCCTCCTGGAGCTGGGGAGGGGGGCACCGGCCGGCCAGGGCCTCGGAGGACCCCAGCAAAGGGCAGGAAGGCGGGTGGAGATGGGGAAGGAAGGAAGAAATTGGGAGGAGCCATGGGGAATCCAGGGGGGTCCCTGGGGGGAGACTGGGAGGGTGAGGAGGATGGTGATGCGGAGAGAAGACCTGAGGAAGGAAGAGAGACAGAGGGGTGGGTGGTGAGAGGCTAGACCCAGAGAGCAGGGGCTGGGGCCTGAGATCTGGGTCTGAGGGAGGAGGGGCTGGGGGTCTGGACTCGGGTCTGAGGGAGGAGGGGCTGGGGATTTAAACTCCCGGGTCTGAGGAAAGAGGCATCTGGGGACCTAGACTCCTGGGTCTGAAGGAAGAGGGGCCGGGGGTCAGAAGGAGGAGGGGCTGGGGGTGTGAGGGAGGAGGGGCTGAGGTCTGAGGGAGGAGGGTCTGGAAATCTGGACTCCTGGGTCTGAGGGAGGAGGGGCTGAGGTTTGAGATAAGAGGGGCTGGGGGTATGAGGGAGGAGGGGCTGAGGTCTGAGGGAGGAGGGGCTGGGGGGTCTGAAGGAGGAGGGGCTGGGGTCTGAGGGAGGAGGGGCCAGGGGTCTGAGGGAGGAGGGGCTATGGGTTGGGATTCCTGGGTCAGAGGGAGGAGGCTAGGGGCCTGGACTCCTGGATCTGAGGGAGGAGGGGCTGTGGGTTGGGATTCCTGGGTCTGAGGGAGGAGGCGCCAGGGCTGGAGGTTGGGAACGGTTTCTCACCATTGGAGCTGAGGCGGCTGCTGCTCTCGGGGGAGGTGTTGGCGCTCCGGTCAGGGGAGGGGTCTGGCTGGGAGGTGGAAGCAGGCCGGGTGGCCTTCCCCCTCAGGATGTCGATGACCTGTAGGAAGATGGGCGTGACCATAGAGCCACCCATGCCTCACAGTCCTCTCTCCCATCCCTCCTAGCTCACTGGATCCAGGTGGTGGCCTCTCCACTTCTCAGTATGAAAAGATGGGCAAGGCACTTTTTTTCTTGGTGCCAGTCTCTCCTCATTTCTGGAACTCACACCCGCGCTTTCAGAGGCTCACCCACTCCCCTCCACGCAACGGCACAGACACCCTCACTCCTCTGCGCTCTGGCACACTCGCCTGCAACCAGCCCGCGGACACACGTGTGCAAGGGGCATGTCCACAGCTGCCCCGGCTCACCCTGCGGCTGCGCGCCACCATGAGCGGCGTGTCGTTGTGGCAGTTCTTGAGGCTGCTGTCAGCGCCGCTGCGGACCAGCGTGCGCACCAGCGGGAGGAGCCCGCGGCCGGACGCTGAGTGCAGGGCGGAGCTGCCGGAGTACATTTGCGCGTTCACGTTGGCGCCGTGCTGCGGGACGGGAGGGCCGGGTCAGGAGGGCGCGCGGGCCACCCGGGGTAAGGGAACAGAGGCTGGAGGCCCGGGTGGGTGGCCGGCACGTGGGGCGGCACCGGATCGGGGTGGGGTCACAGGAAGGTAGGAGCGAGAGCCAAGGGCAGGCCAAGCGGGACTGCGTTGGCGGCGATGAATTAACCGGAGCTGGACACCGAGGCCCGCGCCCCAAGGAGTCGGGGGAGCTGGAGGGGGGAAGGACAATGCGTGGACAGGGCCTAGCTGGAAGGCGGGGTCAGCCAGGCCATCGCAGGGCGGGGCCTAGGCCGTTGAGGTGGCAGAGGAGGAATGGGACAAGTTCGTAGCCAGGGGCGTGGAGCCCGAGGGTCGAGAAAACTAGGCCTTAAAGGATCAGAGCTGGACGCGGAGCAGGAGCCGGAGCCAGAAGTGGAAGGCGGGGTCAGAGCTAGGGGCTGAGGCCAGAGCCGGGTTGGGGTCAGAGGATAGGGTGGGCGCGAGGCTCAGGGGGGCTGTACGCACCTGCAGCAGCAGCTGCACCATGCTAAGGCTGTTGTTTTCCACGGCGTGGATGAGCGGGGAGCGGCCGCTCTTAATGTCCTGCGGCGGGGAGGGAAGGTCTTAGTTTCTCCAAGCTCTGCTCCAGCAGCCGGCGACCCGCATCCCGTCCACATCCCATTCGCGGGGTCCAGCCTCTCTCTTGGGTCTGATACTCCAAGCCCCACCCCACCCGGGTGCTCTCCCACGCCAGCCCCACACTGGCCCCGCCCCCGCCAAGACCCCGCCCCTGCTAAGGCCCCGCTCCCTCCCAGCTCCTAGTGCACGCTCACCACTGCGTCGATGTCGGCACCGCGCTCTAGCAAGAGCTGCACGGTTTCTTGGCACTCGGTGTTCACTGCCACGTGCAGGGCGGTGAGCCCTGAGGGAGAGGAGGGCTCGGTGAAACCTAGGCCCGGGCTTTGCGGCCGCTGATGGACTCCAGGTCCGCTGGACAGCCCAGCGGTGCCCCGCGGTAAATGCTTACCGTCATAATTGCGGGCCTCCAGGTCCAACGTGCCCGGAGCTGCGCTGTCCAGCAGGGCTCGCAGGCAGGTCGGGCTGCGGTGCTCGCACGCCAGGTGAGCGGCCGTCTGGCCATGGCGGTCCAGCGCCATGGGGCTGGCACCAGCTGTCACCAGGAGCCGGACCACAGACGGTAATGTGGTGATCACAGCCAGGTGGAGCGGTGTCTGGGGAACAGTGACTGTGAGGGACCTGTGTCCAGCCCTGCTCTCTAGTCCTGCCTCCCCCAGGTTTTCTGAACCCTTATTCCTCATCCTGCAGTCTTCCCCAGGAACAGAAACCTGAGACACCTCCTGTCTCAGATTCAAGAGTCCGGGCCCCATGCTCCTCCTTCCCCAGGACCCAGAAGACTGGGCCTCCAACCTCCTCTTTCCCTAGTACCTGAATTCTGGGTCCCCAGCCCCCTCCCTCCTCACTAGGAGGTCTTTAGGCCCCCTCCCTCTCAGGAACAACCAGTCCGAGGCCCCAGAGCCCTTCTTCCCCAGGAACCAGGAGCCTGGAGCACCTCGCTACTTAGAGTCCAGACCCCAGCCCTCCTCCCTCAGACCCAGGAGTCCAGACCCCCAGCCCTCCTCCCTCAGACCCAGGAGTCCAGATCCCCAGCCCTCCTCCCTCAGACTCAGGAGCCCAGGACCCAGCCCTCCTCCATCAGACCCCGGATCCCAGGCCCGCAGCCCTCCTCCATCAGACCCAGGAGTCCAGGCACCAGTCCCTCCTCCCTCAGACCCAGGGGTCCAGGCCCCAGCCCCCCTCCCTCAGACCCAGGAGTTCAGGCCCCCAGCCCCTCCTCTGTCAGACCCAGGAGTCCAGGCCCCAGCCCTCCTCCCTCAGACCGAGCCTCACCTGCCGTAGGTTGTTGTAGATGTCGAGCTCCCGGCCCCCCTGCTGGAAGAGGTTGACCAGCCGGTGCACAGCTGGCAGGTTACCCTGCACCACAGCAATATGGAGAGGCCTGGGGGTGGGGGAGTGAAGGAATCACAGGCATTAGGGGTTGTTCACCTCTCACCCTCATGCTGTTGGCAATGCTAACTCCAATGTGTTGAATACTTTGGAAATGTCCCCAGTATTCAAACACTTCTCCCCACCCACTCCCTCCATCCTGATTTACCACCCGCTCCCTCCATCCTGCTTTAGCCACCACTGGCTCCCTGCTGGTCTAGTACAGTTCCATCCTCATGGCTTCTCTGCTTCCACCTATGCTCTACTGTCTGTCCCCCACACAACAGCCAGAGGGACCCTTTTATTTTATTTTATTTTATTTGTTTGAGACGGAGTGTTGTTCTATCGCCCAGGCTGGAGTGCAGTGGTGCTATCTTGTGCTCACTGCAATCTCTGCCTCCCAGGTTCAAGCGATCATCCAACCTCAGCCTCCTGAGTAGCTGGGATTACAGATGTGTGCCATCGCGCCCAGCTAACTTTTGTATTTTTAGTAGAGACATGGTTTCACCATGTTGGCCAGGCTGGTCTCTAACTGCTGGGTTCAAGTGATCCTCCTGCCTCAGCCTCAGCCTCCCAAAGTGCTGGGATTACAGGCGTGAGCCACCACGCCCAGTCTGGAACAAAAGTTTTGACTAAAAGGGAGGTGAGGACAAACTGGGATGGGGCCATTGTTCTGGAGGCGGTACAGTCCAGAACCCCCTTCTAGACTGAAGGACTCACTCCCTCAGCTTCTGGGAAGATTGTCAGCTTTCAGACCATTTGGGAATTACCCTCAACTCAAGAGAGCTGCTTGTCCAAGGTCACGCCCCATGTGAATCAAGGGCAGCTGCCCTTCAATGGCATCCAGTCACTGGTTAATGCCAGCATAGAAGGCCTAGCCTCCTGACCCCAATGCTGAAGGCCATTCCAGCTTCAATATTCCCTGTGGGACAGCTGAGGCCGTGTGGAGGCGACACAGCAGCTCAACTTCTCCCTCTGCCCAGATGGGCTTCCTTCATCCCACAGGTGTTGATGGAGAGCATTTCCAATAAACTTCCTGCTCAGTTTCCAGAGACCCCAACCTAGAACAGCTATTCAGAGACTGGTGTGTGTGCATGCGTGCGTGCTTGTGCACGCCTGTGCTGTTTGCATGGGGTGGGGGACAGAGTGGAGGACCCAAGGAGGACTGCGTGTACACAGTGGGTGGCAGGATCTTTATTTAAAGTTTACTAAGTAATTCCTTTCTCACCAGCACCCGTTTCTCTTGTGGAATGTGTCTCTAGAATCCAGTTTAAACTAGCCTCCCAGGTGGTTCTGATGGAGTGCAGAAATCCCGGGGCCAGAGTTGCAAATTGGGCCACAACCCCTCCTAGCGTAGCCGCGTGCTAGGGCAAAGCCATGGGGGCCTTTCGGAGCCTCAGTTTTCTCTTATGTAAAGTACAGCGTCCACATGCCAGGGTGAGATCACGCAGGTGAATCGCTGAACCTGACTCCTAATCCGTGAAAGCCAAATTTAAAAATAAAATGTTGAGGGAGGGGCCGGGGTCCCTGGGAAGGGTCCCCCCTTCTCTGCATCTCCCAGGACGCCTGGCCTGGGTCCCTCTCGGGGCGGCCAGGGTTAAGTGAGGGCAGACGCAGCGAATGATTTCAGAGAAACCGTCCAGGCCTGAGTTCCCATAAACGCGCGGGCCGCAGGGGGTGGGGCGGGGCTGGAGGAAGTGGGGACGGGAGGGGCGACCCAGCCCTCGGACTTCCAGTAACAGGTCTGCTGGGCGGGGCTCTGCTTCCTGCTCCCGGGGGAGGGAAGCCTGTCCCGCCGGGGATCTACCCTGGCCACCCCTGGCACCCCAACTTCCATCCTCGAATGGGGCGGGGGAAGGGAGTGCCCAGCCCAAGAAGACCTAGCTCCCTTGAGGTGTGTGTGTGTAGGGGGGGCGCATAATCCCGAGTCCTCCCGCCTGGGGGACCCTCTGGAACTCCACCCCGCAGAGCTCAGGCTCCAGCTGGCTGCAAGTCCTCCTTATCCCGGCATCCACCCCCAACATCTCTTGGGAGCCAGAAATAGCCCTAACTCTTCTTTAAGAATAAGGACTTCCCCCGTCCTTCAGAGCTCCAGGATCCCAAACTACCTTGCCAGTCCTTGTCCCCTCAGAGACCCAGAAATACAGCGCCTCAAACCCTGGCCCTTTGGGAACACAGACTTTCAGGCCCCTTGGCGTGACCAGTTTCACCAGCCCAACGTCCTGCTGCCGCTGTCGTGAAATTCTTAAGTTTTGAACAAGGGACTCTGCAAATTTCTGTATCTGGTCCTGCCCGTAAAGCCCCTCTGAGTGCCAGGTCCCCAAGCTGCCAAGCTGCTCCTCATCCCCTCGGAGATTAAGGAATACAGTTCCCCAACTTCTGCCTTCTGAGAATCAGAACATCACCCCCCCCCCCCGCCCCCGCCTTCCTGCCCCCTCCCCAGGTTTCTGGCTGCCCAGTCCCTAACCTCTTGGGGGTCCAAATGCCCCAAGGCTCGTACCCGCCTGTGAGGAGATGGAAGCCCAGCCTCCCAACCTTTTGGCTTCTGCGGGGACCCAGACTTAGCGTCCCCCGCCCTCCTCGCCCCCACTGCCCTCCCCCGCGGGTGTGAAGAGGAGCCGGTGGCGCAGGCTGGGGCCGGGCCGCTGCCCGTTCCGGTAAAGTCTCAGCCCCAGCGGAAGGGGTTAAGGTTGGAGGAAGCGCCAGGAGGGGGGAGGCTGCGAGTGAGTGACGGGTGCTGACGTGGGGGAGGCAGAGCAGCTGGGTTGCGGTCAAGTTCTGCGGGAAGGGATTTCCCCCAGCAGGCAGCTGAGGCAGAAGTGTTTGCCTTGGGGGAGAGTCGGAGAGGGAGGGTGTGGGGAGGGCCTGGGGCTGGAGACTGGTGGGCCGGGTGGCCTCTGGCAAGCACCCTGCTTTTCAACAGCATGGACAGCTCACCACTGGGGGCAGAGACTGTCTGATTAAGCCCATTTCATAGATGACCCCCCAGAGGTACCCAGAAGGGGAGGGAACTAGGTTTTATTAGCTCTTTATAATCTAGGCCACTTTCTCCTGCTAGGGCTCTGGAGATGGCCTGCAACCACCCTGGGAGCTCTGCTCAAACATTACCCATTTCCATGCATTGAGCACTTACTGTTTGCCCAGCCCTGTTCTGTGCACTGTATTAATACATGTGTACAAGATCTCACTGAATCCTAATTGTGATAGGTGCTATTATGAGACCCAGTTTCCAAATAGGGAAACTGAGACTCAGGGACATGAAATCACTCAGTGGGCCAGTGGCGGAGCAGCCCTCTGCTACTTCTCTGCAGAAACAGGCCTGTTCATCTCTACCTGTGGTTTCCAGGCCCCAAACTAATTCTCACAGAAGTGCTTTGTATAAATCATGTCATTTCTTCCTCCCAGAGACCCTCACACGCGATGGTTCCTGTTTTTACAGAGAGGGAAACTGAGGCACAGAGGGAGTAGAACGTGGCCACGCTGAGATTCCAACCCAGGTCAATAGAATAATAAGAATCATGATGATCAATTGCAGTGAGTGCTTACTATGTGCTAGGCACAGACCAAACCCTCCCGTGCAGGACTTCTCAGCAGCCTCACAAACATGTTCTTCAGACTGCAGGTGATAAACCATGGGGGTTGTGAAATCAATTTAGGGGATCTTCAAATTAATGTAGTGGGCTGTGACCATGAAACAATGAAGTCGACTAGAATAGAAAATGGCAAAGTAAAGCTGTAAGCTGGGCTCGGTGGCTCACATCTGTAATCTCAGCACTTTGGGAGGCTGAGGTGGGAGGATCACTTAAGCCCAGGAGTTTGAGACCAGTCTGGGCAACATAGCAAGACTGCTGTGTTTCTACAAAAAAAAAATACAAAAATTAGCCAGGTGTGGGGGTAGCGTCTGTGGTCCCAGCTACTCAGGAGGCTGAGGTGGGAGGATCATTTGAGCCCAAGAGATCAAGGCTGCAGTGAGCTATGATTGCACCACTGCACTCCAGCCTGGGTGACAGATCGAGACCCTGTCTCAGAAAAAAAAAAAAGAAAAAGAAAAAAAGAAAAAAAGAAAATGTCACAGTAGAACCCACATAGTAAGGGCGAGTATTGTTTCATTTTGTGCAATTTTAATTTCAAGTTTGTGTGTGTGTGTGTGTGTGTGTGTGTGTGTGCTGGGTTTGAGATAAAATAATAGTAATATTAACAAACACTTACTCAACATTTATGCCAGGTCCAGTGATAGTTTTACATGTATAATTCATATAGTAAGTTAATCAATGAACTGTCTTTCTTGTTTTTAGGTTGTGACAAAATATCTAAAGACCACCGTTCCAAAAATAGTGTTCTAGGGGTGGGCTTGGGGCTCATGCCTGTAATCCCAGCACTTTGGGAGGCCAAGGCGAGTGGATCACTTGAGGTCAGGAGTTTGAGACCAACCTGGCCAACATGGTGAAACCCTGTCTCTACCAAAAAATACAAAAATTAGCCAGGCTTGGCAGTGGGCACCTGTAGTCTCAGCTACTCGGGAGGCTGTGGCATGAGACTCACTTGAACTTGGGGGGCAGAGGTTGCAGTGAGCTGAGATCGTGCCACTGCACTCCAGCCTGGGCGACAGAGTGAGACCCTGTCTCAAAAAAACAAAAACAAAAACCAAACAAAAATAGTGGCCTAGGAGGTAAATGCTCTCAAGGTGCCCATTCTTCAGAGGAGGAAACTGAGGCTCAGAGCAGGGAAGGGCCTTACTCAAGGTCACACAGCCTGTGGTGGAGACCGAGTTCTGACTCAGGTCCACTGGGAGCTGAGTGGCCCTGTGTTATGGACGGCTGGTCTTCCCAACCACCCCTCCCCTTAATAGGGGACTGTCACTCACGTGTCTCCGTCCTCATCTGCACGGGTGGCCATGGCGATGTCAGCAGAAAGGGGGTGTTCCATGGGGCACATCATGGGGTATAGGGGTGTAGGCAGGTTCACCAGAGGAAACGGGGAGCCCATGGCCCGAGTGGGGTACAAAGGCAGTAAGGCTCCTGGACAATGGAGGACAGAGAAGGGACATGGGTGAGGCCACACCCACAGACCCTCAACCCGCCCCCCACTTCTAAAACTTTGCTCCTGTGGTGTCACCTGCCCTTTCTCCTGGGTCCCTTTTGCATCCCATACAGGGTCCTCAGGGCCTAAAACAAACCCCCTTCCACGTCCCTCCTCTGGGCTCTGGCAGCTTCCTCTCCCTCTAGGGCTGGTCACCCTCATTGTCACTTATCTTCTGACCTCAATCTCCAATCAGACAAAGGGTCCCTTAAGAACAGAGGGTGCACCCATCATCACCTAGCAGGGGACCCCAGGGACTGTCTGCAGAGTGATTTTGTGGCTGATGAATTGCTGGGTGCAGGGTGTGGGATAAATGTAGAGTGGGTTTGGGGAGAGTGGAGGCAGAGAGGAGGTGTTACCAGAAGCCTGTTCAAATTGTTTTTGAGATGTAGTCTCGCTCTGTTGCCCAGACTGGAGTGCAGTGGCACGATCTTGCCCCACTGCAACCTCTGCCTCCCAGGTTCAAGCGATTCTCCTGCCTCAACCTCCCAGGTAGCTGGGATTACAGATGCTGACCACCACGCATGGGTAATTTTAGATCAAACTGTTTAAAAAGGGGCCACGGCAGGCCGGGCGCTGTGGCTCATGCCTCTAATACCAATACTTTGGGAGGCCGAGGCGGGCGGATCACCTGAGGTCAGGAGTTCAATACCAGTCTGGGCAACATGGTGAAACCCTGTCTCTACTAAAAATACAAAAATTAGCCAGGTGTGGTGGTGCATGCCTGTAATCCCAGCTACTCGGGAGGCTGAGGCACAAGAATCCCCTGAACTTGGGAGGCGGAGGTTGCAGTGAGCCGAGATCACGCCAATGCACTCCAGCCTGGGCGACAGAGCAAAACAAAACTCTGTCTCAAAAAACAAAAACAAAAACAAACAAAGGCGAGGGGACCATGGCAGCAGGCAAATCCATACCAACCCATCACACAGACGGGGAAAACTGAGGCCTGCTTTCTCACTCTTGGAATAGGAAAGCTGGGAGGCCGTGGCAGAACTCCTGATGCACATAGCTTGAGGCTCTCCAGCTGTCACGCTGATGGGGTGGAGGGTGCAGAAACTACCTAAAGTTTTGGGGCTCTGTAGAACGGCTCTCTGCAGCTTTGGGGGTCAATTGGGGATGGTGACGTGGCCACAGCTGTGGTAGAGGACACCCCTTCTTGAGATCAGGGATGGAGATAGGATGGAGAGAAGAGTGTGTGGTCTTCGTCATCTGCTGATCCTTGTGGGCCCTCTGTTCTTGAACTCCCAAGTTTCCAGGTCCTCGTATCTCCAATACCAGGCCTTGAGGCCTTGAGGCTTTCTGTCTGGAGACCCCTGAAATTTTCATCCTGCCTCTAAATTACCCAAAGTCTCAGAATTACCCAATCTTAGGATCCTCAGTCCCCTGATCCCTTCTGCCCACCTGATCTTGACCTCAAATAGGACCCTGATCACTTGTGGCCCCACATAACTGAGTACCCAGAAACCCGGGTCTCTGTTCTCCTGGGTCCTCAAGACCCCCTGGTATCTGGGTCCCTGGAGCTCTGGTTCATTTCCTTGGATCCTTGTGATCCCAGATATTGGGGTGCTCAGAACCCCATCTCTGTTTTCATAATGCCCATGTCTCCAGATATCTTGGTTCCTGAGATTGTGACATCCTGAGATCCTCAGTATCTGTCTCCTTAGAACCCCAGTCTCTGTTACCCTGACTCCCTTTGATTCTAATAATATCAGGATACAGGGAACCCCAGTTTCTCCAGCCCAGCTCAGCTTCCTCATAACGCTACACATCTGGCTTAAGAGCTTGTACTTTCTTGCCCCTAGGATACCAGGCTCTGTGCCCTGATTCCCTGACACCCCCATATTTGTACCACTGGGCATTGTCCCTGGCCCCCCCCCCCCCACGTCACTCAGCCCCTGGGCTTTGCCCCCCAGGGTCCCCAAATCCCCAGATCCCAAGGCACAGCTTACTGGCTCCCCGATGATCTCATATCTATATCCTTGGAACCTGGGCTTATATCCTCTTGTCCCCCAGGTCCCTGGAGAGACACCGGTTTGTGCCTCAAGCTCTGCCTCCTGGCTCTGGTGACCCTATGCTCTGTGTGGATCCCACCCGGCCCGGACCCTCGGGGGCCACTCACCGGGGTAGTAAAGCGCCTCCGGCCGGGCCAGGCCGTGGGGGGGCCCGGGGACCGCCGGCAGGTCGCAGCCGCCGCGCAGAGGGTCCAGGGGGACGACAAGGCCCGCAGCGCCGCGGGGAGCGGCGGGCTCCGGGGAGGGCGCGCGCAGCGGGCGCTTGCGGAGCGGCAGCGCGGCGCCCGGGAGTCCGGCGGCCTTGGGCCGGGTGCGCAGGTCCACGGGCCCCTCGTCCATGGCCCCCGCGGGGCATCGGGGCATGGGGCCGCCGGGGACGGCGGCCGGAGAGCGGCTGGGCTCGGCTGCACGGGAGGGTGGTTTCGCCGGGCGCCGGGACTTCCCCTGCAGCCGGCTGAACTGAAGGGACTTTTGTCGGCCGGGGCGGTGCCGGCCGCCCGCCTCCCCGCCCCCGGCCCCCCCGGGGCCACCCGTACGCCCCAGGGGTTTCCTGGACCCGCCGCTGCTCCCGCCGCTCTGAGGTGCAGCCTGCCCTGCGCCCCGCCCGCGCCGCGCCCCGCTTGCCCCCTCCCGGCCCGCGGCGCCTGGGGCAGCCAGGCCTCGGCGGGGGAGGGAGAGGAAAGGAGGGGTGGGGGGAGAGGAGGCGGGGTCGGGGGGTGGGGGGGTGTCCCCACCCCTGCTGCCAAGGGCCGCTCTCTCTGCCTCTGTTTTTGTCTTTCTGGCCCTATCTCTCAACATCTCTATCTCTGAGTCTGTAACTGTCTCTCTGGTTCTCCTGTCTGAGTAGGTGTTTCTCTCCGCAACCCCGCGTTTGTCTCTGTGTGCTCTGTTCCGTCTCTGTCTCTCTCTTTTGTCTCTTTGTGTCTGTCACCATCTCTCTGCCTCTCAGTTGCTGTCTGCTTCTCTGTCTCTCAGGAGGCCTTGGCATCTCTGGGACGGGGTTTGGAATCTCGGTTCCCACTTACTCGCTGGGTGACCTTGGCCAAACACTTCCCCTCTCTGAGCCGTTTCCTCCTTAGTGGGAGTGAAGAGACGCACCCGGGGCAGGGACTGGCACTCGGCAGGCGGCCAGGAACGATTCCTCTCCCTCCCCTCTTCCATCTCTGCCACTCCACGTGCCTCATCAGCTGTGGGTCTAAAGGGGCTGGGGGTGGGGTGAGGGTGGGGAGCGCTCCACTGATTGTGTCTCTGCACTCGTTGGGGGCCCTGCCCCCAGCCGGGGCCCGCGGGGCACCGGGGTGGGTGCTCGGAAAATCCTAGGTGCACAGAGAGAAAGAGACATGGAGACAGGCGCAGAGATCTTGAGAGAAAGAGAGATAGCAAGAGACACGGACACCAGGCCAGAGTCAGCGCGACCGAGGCCGGTGCTGCAGGAGCGGGGAGCAGTTTGGCTTCCCCCCGACTTCCCCTCCCACCTCGAGGAGGGGTTGATGGGTGGGGAACAGGCTAGGCGGGTTGGGGGCATGACTCAGGCTGGAGATGGGAGGGAGGGAGGAGGGAGGCGGGACTCTTCCCCGTCTCCTCCCCTCCTCTCCCTCTCCCCGCCCCGGGGTGGGGCCCCGAAGGTCCGGGGCTTTCCCGGATTTCCCTGGGGGCGGGGCAGCCGCTGGGGTTGAGTCCGGGTCACTGAGTCACAGGAGGCGGAGAGGGAGGCTTTGGGGACACAGGGGGCGGGGCATGGGGGCTGCACCCCGGACTTGCCCAGGGGGCACGCGGCGTCTCTCTGGTTCTCTCCCCCGGTCTCCTTCTGTCTTCGAAACTTGCCTGACCTCCCTCTGGTTGTCTCCTGCCCCGCCCTCTGTCTCTGTCTCCCCATCTCTGTTGCTGTCTCTGTGTCCCCTGGGACCTTGAAAGTGGGTATTGGGGCCCCGGGAAGGGACTTTGGCCGGACTCGGGCCCCACCCGAGTGGATCGTTAACCCAGGATGTGAGAAGTGGCTGTGTGGAGAGGCCTCACCCCTTCCCTTCCTTTCGACCTCTCTCTGGATCTCCCTTATCCCCCTTCATGGCGAAACATCCCGAGCACAGACCTGTGTTAATTCCACCTCCACCCCTTGCTCCCGGTGGGACCTCAGACAAGCCATCCCCTGCCTTGAGACTCAGTTTGTTCTTCTGGAAAATGGGACCAATGGCAACCCCTGCCTGCTGGTGTTGTGGGGGCCACAGCAAGGGAAGAGGGGAGGAATTCGGTTGGACAGGCTGGGGGCTGTGTTCCCTGCCCATCCAACCCCACCCCTGGGGACCCTCAGACACAGGAGAGGGGTGTGGAGCACTATCCCAATGCACAGAAAGGAAAGCTGAGGTTTGGAGGGGCGAGGCTTAGGGTGGGGACCCTCAGAGGTAGGGTGGGAAGGACACCCAAGCCTGTCCCACTCCTGGCATCCCAGGGCAGCTGGTGCAGTGGTTCCAACCTAGCAGGACTGTAGAGGGGAGAAGATGTGATGGGTCCGGTGGGAGCTTCGAAGGGCTGGGAGAGACGGTGCTGCTGGAAGAGAGGGTGCTGATGGTTCTCTGAGGTTGGAAGAGGGATAAAAGGGTCAGAAGGAGGAGGATCTGAAGAAGGAAGATAGGTCTGAGAGAGAAGTAGATGGTTTAGTGGGAGGAGGGGGAGAGGATCTGAAGGAGGAGGACAGGGTCTGTTGGAGGAGGTAAGGGTCTGATGGAGGAAATAAGGGTCTGAGGGTGGAGGCGAGGTTTGGAGGGAGGAGGTGAAGGTCTGAGGGAGGAGACAAGGGTCTGAAGGAGGAGATAAGAGTCTGAGGAAGGAGGCGAGGGTTTGAGAGAGGAGGTGAGGGTCTGAAGGAGGAGGTGAGGGTCTGAAGGTGGAGGTGAGGTTCGGGGGGAGGAGATGAGGGGCTAAGGGAGGAGGTGAGGGTCTGAGAGAGGAGACGAGGGTCTGAAGGAGGTGGGGGTCTGAGGGAGGAGGTGAGAGTCTGAAGGAGGAGATAAGCATGTGAGGAAGGAGGTGAGGGTTTGAGAGAGGAGGTGAGGGTCTAAAGGAGGAGGTAAGGGTCTGAAGGTGGAGGTGAGGTTTGGAGGGAGGAGGTGAGGGTCTGAGAGGAGGTGAGGCTCTGAAGGAGGAGGTGGGGGTCTGAGGGAGGAGGTGAGGGTCTGAAGGAGGAGATAAGCATCTGAGGAAGGAGGTGAGGGTTTGAGAGAATAGGTGAGGGTTTGAAGGAGGAGGTAAGGGTCTGAGGGAGGAGGTGAGGGTCTGAAGGAGGAAGTGAGGGTCTGAGTGAGGAGGTGAGGGTCTGAGGGGAGGGGAGAGTATCTGAGGGAGAGGGCACAGTCTGAGGAAGTCTGAGAAGCACTAAGTGAGGGGACGCAGCTCTGAGGGAGGAGGAGAGAGTTGGAGGGGAAAGAAGGGTCTGAGGAAAGAAGATTTGGAGAGAGTCTGAGGGTAGAGGCCAGATCTGAGGGAGAAGAAAGAGGCTCAGGGGAAAAGATCTGAGGGTCCGAGGGTGGAAGGCATGGACTAGGGGAGGAGGAGCTGGTGGGGTGGAGGGGTGGAGAGGCGTGCCTCCGGAGCCAGCAGGGACCAAGGGGAGGGAAGGGAAGGGAGGCTGGGAGGCAGCCCCGCCCTGCAGCTGTCTCTAATTTCCCAGAATCTTCTGCTCTCAGGAAAGTCCCAGCTCCCACAGCAGCCTCCCTCCAATGTCGGGAACGGAGGATGCGGAACCAGGATGGCCACCCCCACCCTCCCCCGGCTCCTTGCACCCCAGGCGGAAAGGACTAGGGTCTCCTTTCTCTGGGCCTTGGCCTCTGGAGGGCCCCCACCCGCAGGGGCAGCCCCTGGATGAGTCTTAGAAACTTCCCAGAGGAGGCCAGGAAGTTCTGCTTGGTGTCTAACCACTTTCCCCTCATGCAGGCCGCCCTTTGTACCTGTTCAGATCTCCTCCCCAGCTGCTGTTTCTTTTTCCCCAACCCATCCTGGGGGAGGAAAGGCCAGGAATTTACCTGCTCAAAGTCCTGAGAGGGAAACGAAATTCCATCTGGAAGTCTGTAGGCTTGAGGCAGCTTTCTTGCTCTCAGGGGCCTCAATTTCCCTTTCTAAGAGGAGAGAGTAGGGCTGGTCAGGGCCTAAGTTCCCATCTGGCTCAATTACTGGGTCTTGTCCTGCTTTTTTTTTGAGACAAGATCTGGCTCTGTCTCCCAGGCTGAAGTGCAGTGGTGAGATCATAGCTCACTGTAGCCTTGAACTCCTGGACTCAAATGATCCTCCTGCCTCAACCTCCCAAGTAGGTGGGACTACAGGCATGTGCCGCAATGACTGGCTAATAAAAAAAACAATTTGTAGACTCAGGGGGTCTCACTGTGTTGCCCAGGGTGTTCTCGAACTCCTGGGCTCAAGCGAACCTCCCTCCTCGGTCTCCCAAAGTGCTGGGATTACAGGCGTGAGCCACCGCATCTGGCTTCCTTGTCCTACTTTGTTTTGAATTGAGGCCTGGGTCCAAGTCCTGTCTCCTGATCGTTAGCTTTGTGACTTCCGGGCAGTTACTTAACCTCGTGGAGCCTCAGCTTCCTCATCTGTAGAGTGGATCACATCAAGAAAATATGACTCTGTCCCATGGGGTCTGATGTATAGAAGGCTCTTGATGCAATTTAGCTGCTATTAGTTTTATAATAATAATAATAATAATAATAATAATAATAATAATATAACATTATATATTATTATTGTCCTCATCAAATATCCTGTGTTTTCAATAGCAGGACCTGCTTCATTGGGGAAAATAGAATTCAACATGCTGGGCTTAGAGACATAGTTTTGAGCCCTGGCTCGTCCATGTGCTAGTTATGTGACCTTAGGCAGGTGGCTTTCCCTCTCTGTGCCTTCCTTGTGACTTTATTATTTTTTAATTTTTATTTTTTGAGATGGAGTCTCGCTCTGTCGCTCAGGCTGGAGTGCAGTGCCATGATCTCGGCTCACTGCAATCTCCAATCCCTGGTTCAAGCAATTCTCCTGCCTCAGCTTCCCAAGTAGCTGGGATTACAGGCGTCCGCCACCATGCCCGGCTAATTTTTGTATGTTTAGTGGAGACTGGGTTTCACCATGTTGGCCAAGCTGTTCTCAACCTCCTGACCTCAAGTGATCCACCTGCCTTGGCCTCCCAAAATGCTGAGATTACAGGTATAAACCACCATGCCCAGCCCCTTGTGACTTTAATAGTGGCGAATGGGGCCGGGCATGGAGTGTGCTCCTGTAGTCCCAGCACTTTGGGAGGCCAAGGTAGAAGGAAGAATCCCTTGAAACCAGGAGTTCAAGACCAGTCTGGGCAACAAGGGGACACCCTGTCTCTACAGATTTTTTTTTTTTTGAGACAGAGTTTCCGTCTTGTTGACCCAGCTGGAGTGCAATGGCGCAATCTCGGCTCACTGCAACCTCCACCTCCTGGGTTCAAGCGATTCTTCTGCCTTAGCTTCCTGAGTAGCTGGGACTACAGGCCCGTGCCACCATGCCCAGCTAATTTTTGTATTTTTAGTAGAGACGAGGTTTCACCATATTGGCTGGACTGGTCTCGAACTCCTGGCTTTGTGATCCGCCTGCCTCGGCCTCCCAAAGTGCTGGGATTACAGGTGTGAGCCACCACACCAGGCTTACACAAAATTTTTAAAAATTAGCTGGGCTCAGGAGGCACCTGTAGTCCTAGCTACTTGGGAGGGTAAGGTGGGAGGATTGCTTTAGGTGTAAGGCTGCAGTGAGCTATGATCATGCCACTGAACTCCAGCCTGGGTGACAGAGTGAGACTCTGTCTCAAAATAATGGTAATAATAATAATAACAGGATGATAACAGATCCTGTTTCACAGGCTTACTGAGCAGATTAAATAAGAAAAGTGTGTGGAATAAATGAATGAATAATGTTCATTTCTGTCTCCACGCTGCTGGCCTTAACCCTTACCCTATCCAGCAGACCAGGGCCTCCTTCTCACCCTTTTCTACTCACAGAGGAGACAAGACAGAAACATTCACTCCGGGCTGAGTTGCAACTAAGAATTGGCCCACTTAATCCTCTTAACACCTTGTAAGGAAAATTCAGCTAAAAACCCAATTTTATAGAGGAGGAAACAGGCACAGAGAAGTGAACTCACTGCCCGGGTCACACGGTGAGGAACTGGGGAGAGCTGAGATTTCAAGCCAGGTCCCTGTGACCCCAGCACGCTTCTGACCTGGGAGAAGTGGCCATGAGTCTCGGAGACTGCAGGTGTGCCCTTCCAGCTTGATTCTAGGCCCCTTCTCCCTGGGAAGAAATGGTTTAGATGGGGAAACTGAGGCATGGAGAGGGAAAGTCATATGTCCGAGGACACCCATGGAGATTCGCACCCTGGAACTCTTCTCTGCTGCCTCCTGGTATGGGGAGGGTCCGTGCGTGGAGAGAGGATGGCATTGCAGCAGGAGGGAATAGAGTTAGACTTAAGGGGCCGGGCATGGTGACTCACGCCTGTAATCCCAGCACTTTGAGAGGCTGAGACTGGAGGGTCATCTGAGGTCAGGAATTCAAGACCAGCCTGGCCAACAAGGCGAAACCCCGTCTCTACTAAAAATACAAAACTTAGCCGGGCGTGGTGGTGGGCGCCTGTAATGCCAGCTACACGGGAGGCTGAGGCAGGAGAATCGCTTGAACCCAGGAGGCCGAGGTTGCAGTGGGCTGAGATCGTGCCACTGCGCTCCAGCCTGGGTGGCAGAGCAAGACCCTGTCTCAAACAAAAAAGAAAAAAAAATAGAGTTAGACTTAAGAGTCCCTTGAGGAGGAACAACCACTAGAGCCTCCAGAGAGGTTCAGGGAGAGCAAGTGAATTCCGCAGACAGAAGGATACAGAGACTCTGGGCCTGGATGGGAAGGGACATGCCCAAGGTCAGGCTGCCTCCAGTCTGGGCCCTGGGCTGGAAGTCCACACGGCTCCGCTCCCTGAGGCTGCTCTGCCCCACCCCCACGGGTGAATGCGGGCCAGCTTCCTGGAGCATGGCCTGCACCTCCTGGTTCCTCCCCACCCTGGAGCCTTGGCAGCTCTGGGAGCTCCTGGCATTGAGCAGAATCAGCCCATCTGGGGCCTAAGCCAAGACTTAATCTTCCCCTTTCTGCCTCTTGCTGGGTCTGCACGCACGACGCTGAGTCAGAGGATTGCGACATCCTCTCTTGGCAGGCCAGGGAGACTGGACACCCTCGTCCCCCCACCCTCTCCGCCGCCCCTGCCAGCTGCCTTGATCAGAGAGGGGTGATTCGGTGGGGGGAGTGTGGAGATCAGCATCTGCCCTGGGTGGGTGGATGGGGGTCTGGGAAGGCGGGGCATAGGAAGGAAGGTCACAGTGGTCTCAGCGAGGTGACAGTAGACAATCAGGTACTAGTGGGCTAGTGTCCTCATCTGTGAATGGGGCCCTGTCTAATTGTTTGGGTTCCAATCCCAGTTCTGTCACTTACCAGCTGTGTGACCCTGGGCAGGTGATTTATTTACCCTCTCTGAGCCCCAGTTTCCTCATCTATAAAATGAGGGTAAAAACAGTGCATGTCTTCCGGCGGTGTTGTGAGAGTCAAATGAATTCACACACGTCAGCACAGGCCTGGCACAGAGGAAAGTCTCAGTAAATGGAAGATATTATTTTAAAATGATTGTTATTATTCATATAGGTATGGGAGTGGCAGCCACAGAGACAGGCAGCTCACATCCCCCTTCAAGAAAAAACCTGTTGGCTGGGTGTGGCGGCACATCCCTCTAATCCCAGTGCTTTGGGAGGCCAGGATGGGAGAATCACCTGGGCCCAGGAGTTCGAGACCAGCCTGGGCAACAGAACAAGACCCCGTCTCTACAAAAAAGTACATTTTTTTTTTTTTTGAGACAGAGTCTTGTTCTGTTGCCCAGGCTGGAGTGCAGTGGTGTGATCTCGGCTCACTGCAACCTCCGCCTCCCAGACTCAAGAGATTCTCCTGGCTCAGCCTCCCAAGTAGCTGGGACTACAGGCACATACTACCATGCCCAGCAAATTTTTTTTTTTTGAGACAAAGTTTCACTTTGTTACCCAGGCTGGAGTGCAGTGGTGCAGCAACCCCTGCCTCCTGGGTTCAAGTGGTTCTCCTGCCTCAGCCTCCCAAGTGGCTGGGACTACAGGCATATGCCACCAATCCTGGATAATTTTTGTATTTTTAGTAGAGATGGGGTTTCGCCATGTTGGCCAGGCTGGTCTCAAACTCCTGACCTTAAGTGATCCTCCTGCCTCAGCCCCCCAAAGTGCTGGTATTACAGGCATAAGCCACCATGCCTGGCCTCTACAAAAAAATATAAAAATTAGCCTGGCATGGTGGTGGTGAGCCTGTGGTCCCAGCTACTTGGGAGGCTGAGGCGGGAGGATTGCCTGAGCCTGGGGGGCTGAGGCTGCAGTGAGCTATGATCATGCCACTGCACTCCACCCTGGGTAACAGAGTGAGACCCTGTCTCAGAAATTTAAAAAAACAAAACAAAACAAACAAAAAAAACGGACTTTTGATCTTGCTGCCAGGCATGCAGAGAGAGCAGACAGCCTCTGACATTGGCAGTTGACTCCTTTGAGGTCTGCTTCAGCTTACCGGCTGGGGCATGGTCTCCTGGGCAGTCTCCAGCCAATGACAGGTGGGGTTCAGAGGTGCTAGCCATTTCTGACCAGGGTGGGACTTCTCTAATGCAAGAGCCTTCCTGTAGGGGGGGCATTACAACTTGACAGTCCCCCTTGCTCACTCCTCTTGCTTCCTCCTTTCCTTTCTGAGGTGCTGTGCCCTGCATATATATATATATAGATAGATACACACACACACAACACACACACACATATATATACACACACACATATATATACACACACATATACGTATATATGTGTATATATATGTATATGTGTGTGTATATATATACACACACACGTATGTATATATATACACACATATATATATTTAAGATATGTGTGTGTGTGTGTGTGTGTGTGTGTGTATTTAAGAGATATATATGTATGTAAGAGACAGGGTCTCACTCTGTTGCCCAGGCTGAGGCTGAGGTGCAGTGGTGCGATCATAGCTCATTGCAGTCTTAGCCTCCTGGGCTCAAGCGATTCTCCCACCTCAGCCTCCTGAGTAGCTAGGACCACAGGCGTGATCCTCCCACCTCGGCCTCCTGAGTAGCTGGGACTATAAGTGTGTGTCATCATGCCTGGCTAATTTCTTTTTCTTTTTGTTTTTTGAGACGGAGTTTCGCTCTTGTTGCCCAGGCTGGAGTGCAATGGCGGGATCTCAGCTCACCGCAACCTCTGCTTCCTGGGTTCAAGCGATTCTCCTGCCTCAGCCTCCCGAGTAGCTGGGATTACAGGCATGTGCCACCACGCCTGGCTAATTTTGTATTTTTAGTAGAGACGGGGTTTCTCGATGTTGGTCAGGCTGGTCTCAAACTCCTGACCTCAGGTGATCTGCCAGCCTCAGCCTCCCAAAGTGCTGGGATTACAGGCGTGAGCCACCGCACCAAGCCATGCCTGGCTAATTTCGAAAATTTCTGCAGAAATGGGATTTTGCTACGTTTCCCAGGCTGGTCCATAAATCTTTCGCATGCCCAATTCCGTATAATCATCTGTCTTCTGGGGGAGCTGAGCTGTGATGATGGCACTGGAGTCAGACAACCTGACTGAGTATTGGCTCTGCTACATACTCATCTATCTCTTTGGGCCTCAGTTTCCCTGTCTGAGTTACAGAATAATGACAATGAGAATAATAACACCATGGCCGAGAAGAGCTAGTGAGTCAGCAATATAGCCCTTGGCAGGATTGCCTGGCAGAAAATGAGGACTGTATACGTACATCATCCTCATCCTCATTCCTAAGGAGCTGGGGCTCTGGAGTCAGACCCACTTGGTCTGTTCCCCACTCTGCCAGTTTCTGGCTGTGTGGTCTCTGGCAAGAGTGCCATGCCCTCTAAGCTTTGTTTGTAAAGTGGGGACAGACTCCTCCCTCTCAGGGTAGGGCACTGGCGAGGTCAAGCATGGAAAGTCCCCGCGGAGCCTGGGATGCTGTGGACATGCAATAACCAGGTGATGTCATGGGGGCTGGGGTGATAGGTGAGCCATGATCAGCAGGGCAGGCATGTCTGGCCCCCCCAGTGAGGCCCTGGGTTTGGGCTGACGGAGAAAGGGAAGTCCCAGGGCTGGGGAACCGTGGTGTCCTCCTGCAGAAGTTCCCTGATTCTAGGATTCACCAGGGAGGTGGGGAGGGGAAGCCCCCTGCCCTGCTCATTCGGGCAGCCAGAGGGCAGGGAGAAGGTACGGGAAGGAAGGCACTGACATGGTGGGGGAGTGCCTCCCTCATTGGACTAGAGCTTCCCAAGGATGGGAGGAAGACCTCTGCCATCAGACTTGGAGGCCCCCAAGGTGGGGACATGTTTCCCATCAGTGTAAGAGTTCCTTGAGGGTTTGAATTGCATTCTTCCTCCTCCATCAGATCAGAATCTCCCTGAGAATGAAAGTGTGACTTCTTCACAGATTAGATATCTCTAAAAGTGGATTTTGCTTCTCCCATCGGTTCCGTGAAGATGCATGGGGCATCTGGGTTCAGGACTAGATCTAAAAGGAAAAAAAAATGGGGTGGGGCAGCATGACTCCCTCCTCTGTCTAGATTCTCAATTGAGGGGAGCAATTTTGCCCCTCCTCCCCAGAAGACATTTGGATGAATGTCAGACTAGACTAGAGCTTCCTGAAGATAACAGGCATGCCTCCACCCTCATAGGAAACCTCCCTGTGGGTGGGTTTGGGTCCTGCCTCCTCCATCAGACTAGAGCTCACTACGCTGTAAATCTTGAATCCTTCTTGGGACTAGGAGTGCTGTCCGAGTAAAATTAAGTTTTGTCCATCAAATTAGACTAGGAAATATAAATTTCCCCAGGAGGGAGCTGGTATGTGCCTCCTCCATCAGATTAGTGGTTCCTTCTTGACTTGAGTTGGGGGAAATCATGCCACCCCTATCAGCCTAGCCACTCCCTAAGTAGGAGCCCTCCCATTGAATTAGAAGCCCCTCTTCTCAAGCCCACCCTGGCAGGGTGGAGCATGGTGCCTATCCAGGAGGGACAGTCCCTTTCCTGAAACTCCAGCCTTTTCCCTGGAAGTCGGTGCCTCCCCTACTCAAGGCCACAACCTGCCCTGTGGCCACCAGCATTTAAAAATACAGATGCAAAAGTCCCTCAGGCTCCTGGGAAAGCCGAGGTCACACTGGGCCCTTCCTCATTTGAGCCGGGACATGGCACACTCACCTCCCTTGTTTCCAACCGTCATCCCAGTGTCCCAGTCGGGGCCACCCATACCCTCCAACACATTCCCAGGATACTGAGGATGGGGCAGGGCTGTCTCTACTGCCTCATCCCTGTGGAGTCAGGTGGTTGCAAGTCAGGAGCAAATCCCAACACGGCAGCCTCTCAGCCAAGCAATCCTGGGCAGGCTCAATTTCCACATCCAAAAAGAATGGGACTGGCCCAGGATTGTTGAGGTTGCATCTCCTCCCAGGGAGAGCCAGGCTCTGGGGTGGCTGGTGGGAAGAGAAATAGATGACCACTCTTACTGGCGTCACGCTCTGCAGGAGGTGGGGTGGGGGCGGGGAGGCGCTGGCTTGTGGCCTCTACTCTGAACATCACCTACCCTTGAACTTGTCACTTCAGCCCACTGTGGTCACACAGAGTCACAGCACATTTGCTCACTTCTGGGAAAATCAAATTGTATTTGCTGTTTCAGATCCCAAATTCTCCTGTGGGTTCCTGGTGCACCGTGCACCAGGTCTCTGTGCCAGGGCTCCATGCCAGGGCTCAGAACTTTTGCCCACCGCCCCCTGGAGAGCCACGTCATTTGAGGAACAGAGATTTGGAATCGTGGGATTAAAAAAAAATCCCTGAAAATTATGAAATATAACATGGGGAGAATTGCGTACAATTAAAATATATTGTTCTGTTTCAGAGACTTTTGTAAAGGAAACAGTTAGGTTAAGAAAGTGTTGCTGGGCCAGGCGCGGTGGCTCATGCCTGTAATCCTAGCACTGGAAGGCCGAGGGGGCGGATCACCTGAGGTTAGGAGTTCGAGAGCAGCCTGGGCAACATGGCAAAACCCCATCTCTACTAAAAATACAAAAATTAGTGGGGCATGGTGGTGCACGCCTTGTGGTCCCAGACACTCTGGAGGCTGGGAGAATAGCTGAACCGAGGAGGCGGAGGTTGCAGTGAGCAATATTGCTATTGCGCCAATGCACGCGAGCCTGGGTGACAGAGTAAGACTCTGTCTCAAAAAAAAAAAAAGAGAAAAAAAGAGAAATAGTGTTGCTAGTTCCTCAGAAGCTCCTTCATGCCTCTTCATGCCTCACAGCTCCCTCCCTCCTGGAAAGGTGACCTGTATTTTGTCTTTTATGGTATAATTTTCTTGCTTTTCTTTATATTTTTGCTACCTACGACTACTACGATTTTGAATTTTTAATAAAGGAAATCTTTTTTTTTTTTTAGATGGGGTCTCGCTTTGTCATCCAGGCTGGAGTGCAGTGGGTGTGACCATAGCTCTCTGGAGCCTTGAACTCCTGGCCTCAGCCAATCTTCTGGCCTCAGCCTCCCGACTAGCTGGGACCCCAGGTGCATTGCTACCATGCTTAGCTAATTTTTTTTTTTTTGAGACAGAGTTTTCCTATTGTCGCCCAGGCTGGGGTGCAATGGTGCGATCTCGGCTCACTGCAACCTCCGCCTCCTGGGTTCAAGCGATTTTCCTGCCTCAACCTCCTGAGTAGCTGGGACTACAGGCATGCGCCACCACGCCCGGCTAATTTTGTATTTTTAGCAGAGACGGGGTTTCACCATGTTGGTCAGGCTGGTCTCGAACTCCTGACCTCAGGTGATCCGCCTGGCTCAGCCTCTCAAAGTGTTGGGATTACGGGCGTGAGCCACCATGCCTGTCCTAAAGGGAATCTTATTGTACAACCTCTTGGATCTGGCTTCTTTGACTCAATTTTATGTCTGTGAATTTCATTCATATTCTTTTCTGTTTTTTCTTTTTTTTTTTTTTTTTGAGCTAAAGTTTAAAGTTTCGATCTTTTTGCCCGGGCTGGAATGCAACGGCGCAATCTTGGCTCACTGCAACCTCTGCCTTCTGAGTTCAAGTGATTTTCCTGCCTCAGCCTCCTGAGTACGGTTACAAGTGTGCACCACCACACCTGGCTAATTTTGTATTTTTAGTAGAGATGGGGTTTCACCATGTTGGCCAGGCTGGTCTCAAACTCCTGTCCTCAGGTGATCCATACCCCTTAGCCTCCCAAAGTGCTGGGATTACAGGTGTGAGCCACCTTGCCTGGCTTTTCATTCATATCCTTGAATCTATTGGAGTGTGTTTATTTTTTCATTGCTGTATACTATTCTCTTGCATGGATATAGCACAATTTATTTTATTTTATTTTTTTTGAGACTGAGTCTTGCTCTGTCACCTAGGCTAGAGTGCAGTGGCATGATCCTGGCTCACTGCAATCTCTGCCTTCTGGGTTCAAGCGAGTCTCTTGCCTCAGCCTCCAGAGTAGCTGGGATTACAGGCATGTGCCACCACGCCCAGCTAATTTTTGTATTTTTAGTAGAGATGGGGTTTCACCATGTTGGCCAGGCTGGTCCTGAACTCCTGACCTCAAGTGATCCACCTGCCTCAACCTCCCAAAGTTTTGGGATTACAGGCTTGAGCCACTGCGCTCGGCTGTATAGCACAATTTTTGAATCTATTATTTGTTGGTGGGCAGAAGGTTGGTTTCCACTTTCTGACTGTTTTGGCCAATACTGCTCATGCTCATGAGCGTGCATTTTTCTGCATTCTCCAGGACTAGAATTGTTAGGCTGCAGGGTGTCCCCTGTAGAAGACATGGCCAGACACTTTTCCCACGTGGTTATGCCAATTCTCACTCCCATCTTCAATGTCCGCTGTGAGTTCTCCTTGCCCCACATCTTTATCAGTACTGGATCTACCAGATTTAAAAATATGAGTCATCCTGCTGTGTGTATGTGTGGATTGGAATCTCAGGGTGGTTCTAATTTGCATTTCCTGGATCAATAATGAGATTCAGCACCTTTTCCTATATACATTGTTCACTTGAATCCAAGCATAAGAGAATCTTAAGGACAAAGAATTATAGACCCTTACAATCTTAGGTGCAAAGAATTCTAGGCTGGGCACGGTGGCTCATGCCTGTAATCCTAGCACTTTGGGAGGCTGAAACAGGAGGATCACTTGAGCCCAGGAATTTGGGACCAGCCTGGACAACAAAGTGAGACCCTGCCTGTGGTCCCAGCTACTTAAGAGACCGAGGTGGGAGAATTTCTTGAGCTTGGGAGATTGAGGCTGTAGTGAGCTATGATCATGCCGCTGCACTCCAGCCTGGGCAACACAGTGAGACCCTGTCTCAAAAAGAAGAAGGAGAAGGAGAAGGGGAAGGGGAAGGGGAAGGGGAAGGGGAAGGGGAAGGAGAAGGAGAAGAGGAGGAGGAGGAGGGAGGAAGAGGAAGAGGAAGGAGAAGGAGAGGAATTCTAGAATCCTAGATTTTTAGGAACAAGGGATTCCAGAACCCTATGCCTCAGTTTCCCCATTTGGATAATGGGGATAATAGAAGTCTGTAACTCATCATGTAGGTAATGTTATATGTGTACACCTGGCATGAAACTTGGCACACAGTGAGTGCTCAGTAAATGTGATTTCTGTCATGGCAAAAATTTTATACATTTTGTTCTCCCTTGTATCATTAGGACCTAGGGCAGAATAGAGGCCCAGTAAGTATTTACTGAATGAATGAATCTTAGTATCAAAGGATCAAGTAAACCTGCAGTTACAGAACTTTAGGAGCAAAAATGGGTAGAATTTAAGAAATTAGGCCAGGCACGGTGGCTCACACCTATAATCCCAGCACTTTGGGAGGCCAAGGTGGGCGGATCACCTGAGGTCAGGAGTTCAAGACCAGCCTGACCAACATGGAGAAATTCCATCTCTACTAAAAATACAAAATTAGCTCGGCATGGTGGTGCATGGCTGTCATCCCAGCTACTCGGGAGGCTGAGGCAGGAGAATCACTTGAACCCAGGAGGAGGAAGTTGCATTGGGCTGAGATTGCACCATTGCACTCCAGCCTTGGCAACAAGAGCAAAACTCTGTCTCAAAAATAAATAAATAAATAAATAAAATAAAAATAAAAATTAAGAATGATCGAAGTCTTGGATAAAGAAAAATGTGGTATGTATACACCGTGGAATACTATGCAGCCATGAAAAGGAATAAGATCATGTGCTTTGCAGGGATACAGATGGAGCTGGAAGCCATTTATCCTCAGCAAACTAACGCAGGAACAGAAAACCAAACACCACGTGTTCTCACTTATAAGTGGGAGCTGAATGATGAGAACACATGGACACAGGAAGGGGAACAACACAAACTGAGGCCTGTTGGGATGGGGAGGGGTGCAGAGGGAGGGAGAGCATTAGGAAGAATAGCTAATGCATGACGGGCTTCATACCTAGGCGATGGGTTGATGGGTGCAGCAAACCACCGTGGCACATTTTTACTATGTAACAAACCTGCACATCCTGCACATATACCCTGGAACTTGAAAAAAAAAGAAGAATGATCAGAGTCTTAAGAACTAAAGAGAGATAAAAATGCATCCTTGGCAAACTTAAGATTCACTATTTATTTATTTATTTATTTATTTATTTATTTATTTTTATTGAGATGGAGTCTCACTCTGTCACCCAGGCTGGAGTGTAGTGGTGCGGTCTTGGCTTATGCCAACCTCTGTCCCCCAGGTGCAAGCGATTCTCATGCCTCAGCCTCCCGAGTAGCTGGGACTACAGGTGCACGCTAGCTAATTTTTTTGTGTTTTTTAATAGAGACAGGGTTTCGTCCTGTTGGCCAGGCTGTTCTTGAACTCCTGACCTCAGGTGATCCGTCCACCTTAGCCTCCCAAAGTGCTGGGATTACAGGCATGAGTCACTACGCACGGCCAGATTCACTATCTTAAATTTATATTTATTATTAATTATTATTATTATTTTTAGATATGGGGTCTTGCTCTGTCACCCAGGCTGGAGTGCAGTGATGTGATCATAGCTCACTACAGCTCCAAACAGGAGGCTCAAGTGATCCACCTGCCTGGGCCTCCCAAAGCACTGGGACTACAGGCAGGCACCACCTTGCCTGCCCTTTATCTTAAACTTTTAGAAACAAGGAAGCTGCCCGGCCAATGCCGTCTAGCTCAGAGTGAGAACAGAGAAGAGAAAGGAGCGGGCGCCCAGGTCTTCTCACCCTCCCTGTGTCCCCTCCCCTGGGTGGCTCTTATAGCCACTTCTCATTTCCATGGCCTTTCCTCAGCCTCCCCACCTCCTCCTGCCTGGTCCTCCCTTTGCACAGGATGGAACCTGAGGAAGCTGCTCCTTCCTGAGCCCCATCATCGGGAGAAAGTCCAGGATCCTGCCGCAGAGGACCCACACCAGCTACCGTCTTCCTTCAGCCTTATCCCCCGGCTCTGTCCCACCCACACCCCTTTCTGCCTCTTAGCCAAGGCCTCTCTCGCACCATCCTCCTTCCATACATACCCCTTTCACTTCAACGTCAAAACTATACCTCTTTCTTGGAGATCCAAACCAGGTCACACAGTAAGTGCTCAATAAACACATCAGGCCCCAGCTCTGACAGCCTTTCCTCCAGGAAGCCCTCCCTGATTTCTCTTTCTAGTCTGAGTCAGGAGCCCCCTCTGGGCCCCCCTGACCATGCCAGCCCCAACATTCTGGGATGCGACTGTCTGGGGACAGGCTAGTCTTCCCCATGTGTGAGCCTGTGAGGGCAGGCCTGGGGCTGTCACTGCTGTGTGTATCCAGCACTGCCCCAAACAGCAGAGACCTCTGGGCACGGGGCTGTCAAGCCCATCTGACTGTTCACAAGGCTTGCTTACAATGCTCTTAATTGTGTGCCCTCGATGCCATTTCTCTGGGATCCCAGGGATGGCTCCACTCACTTTTCCAGGTCAGCAAAGGAGTGCCCGATGGTTCAAAGGGATGCAGGTGAGGCCCTGACAGTGCTCAGCCCACCACCTGCCCTCCGGAGACATAGGAGCCATTGTCAGCTGCTCAGGTCTCTGTCTCCAGTTCCCCTCTAAAAGCTCATAAAGCCCCTCTGTTTCACTTGTAAACGTTTCTTGCATGAATCCACAGTGAGACCTGAGACCTCAGCACCTGCCCTCAGTGATCATTCCCTCCTTCCCAACTCCCTCATCATTTACCCAGGCACAGAGAAGTTAGGAGCTTTGTCTAAGGTCACACAGCCAATAAGGGGGAAGAGGAGCTAAATGTGTGTGTGTGTGTGTGTGTGTGTGTGTGTTTTGAGACGGGGTCTCACTCTGTCACCCAGGCTGGAGTGCAGTGGTGCATTCACGACTCACTGCAGCCTCCACCTCCCGGGGCTCAGGTGATCCTTCCCCCTCAGCCTCCTGAGTAGCTGGGACTACAAGCATGTGCCACCATGCCCTGCTAGTTTTTGCATTTTTTTTTTTTTTTTTTTGTAGAGACAGGGTCTTGCCAGGAAGCCCAGACTGGTCTTGAACTCCCGGGCTCCAGTGATCCTCCTGCCTCAGCCTCCCAAAGTGCTGGGATTACAGTCCTGAACCACTGCACCTGGCCAGGAGTTTAGATTTTAAAAATCAACTGTACTGAGGTATAATTTACATGCAATAAAATACACCTGTTTCAAATGTGTGTGTTTGGCGGGGCATGGTGGCGCATGCCTATAATCCCAGCTACTTGGGAGGCTGAGGCACTTGAATCCAGGAGGTGGAGATTGCAGTGAGCTGTGATCTTGCCACCGAACTCCTGCCTGGGTGACAGAGCGAGACTCTCTCAAAAATAAATCAATTAAATTAATTAAAATTAAATTAAAGAAGGAGTATGCTAGATGAGTTCTGATAAACATGTACAATCATTTAATCATATCCTGATCAAGATATAGAACATTTCTAGTGCCCGGAAAAGGTCCACTGTGCCCTCCTTGCAGTCATCTCCTCCCCTTGTCCCCAGACACTGGCAGCCACTAATCTGCTTTTTCTTTTCTTTTTTTTTTTTTGAGATGGAGTCTCACTCTATTGCCAGGCTGGAGTGCAGTGGCACGGTCTCGGCTCACTGCAACCTCTGCCTCCCTGGTTCAAGTGATTCTCCTGCCTCAGCCTCCCTAGTAGCTGGGACTACAGGCGCCCGCCACCATGCCTGGCTAATTTTTGAATTTTTAGTAGAGACGGGGTTTCACCATGTTGGCCAGGATGGTCTCGATCTATTGACCTTGTGATCTGCCCGCCTCGGCCTCCCAAAGTGCTGGGATTACAGGCGTGAGCCACCGCGCCCGGCCTCTTTTCTTTTCTTTTTCTTTTTCTTTTTTCTTTTTTTTTTTTTTGAGACATTTTGCTCTGTCACCCAGGCTGGAGTGCAGGGGCGCGATCTCTGCTTGCTGCAGCCTCTGCCTCCCGGGTTCAAGTGATTCTTCTGCCTCAGCCTCCCCAGTAGCTGGGATTACAGGCAGGCACCACCATGTCCGGCTAATTTTTGTATTTTTAGTAGAGACGAGGTTTCACCATGTTGGCCAGGCTGGTCTTGAATTCCTGACCTCAAGTGATCCACCCACCTCAGCCTCCCAAAGTTCTGGGATTACAGGCATGAGCCACCACACTCAGCTATATCTGCCTTTTTTTTTTTTTTTTGAGATGGGGTCTTGCTCTGTCACCCAGGCTGGAGTGCAGTGGCACGATCTCGGCTTACTGCAACCTCCACCTCCCGGGTTCCAGCGATTCTCCTGCCTTGGCCTCCTGAGTAGCTGGTATTACAGGTGCCTGCCACCACGCCCGGCTAATTTTTGTATTTTTAGTAGAGGTGGGGTTTCACCATGTTGCCCAGGCTGGTCTCAAACTCCTGACCTCAAGTGATCCACCTGCCTCAGCCTCCCAAAGTACTGGGATTACAGGTGTGAGCCGCCACACCCAGCTGCTTTTTATCCCTATAAATTTGCTTTTCCAGGATGACATGTAAATGGGATTACAGAGTATGTAGTCCTTAAAAAAAAATCATTGACAAATTTACCTACAGTAAAATTCACTCTTTTCATCATACATTTCTTTTCTTTCTTTCTTTCTTTCTTTTTTTTTTTGAGGAATGTTCTCACTCTGTCACCCAGGCTGGAGTGCAGCGGTGCGATCACCACTCACTGCAGCCTCAACCTTTCAGGCTCTAGCGATCGTCCCGCCTCAGCTTCCTCATTAGCTGGAACTACAAGTGCACGCCACCAAGCCCAGCTAATTTTTGTATTTATGGTAGAGATGGGGTCTCACTATGTTGCCCAGGCTGGTCTTCAACTCCTGGCCTCTTGCTTTGGCCTCTCGAAGTGCCTGTGGGGCATGCAGTTCTTAAAGCTTTGACAGGCTCATGTGGCTGTGTAGTCACCACCAGAATCAAAATATGGATATGTCCCACCACCCCTAAAACCCTTCATCTGCCCTTTTGGGGTCACGCCCATCCCCCACCCCACCCCTGGCAACCACAGGTCTGTTTTCTGTCCCTCTAGTTTTGCCTTTTTCAGAGTGTCTTGTAAATGGAGTAATGTAGTTATTATCATTATCATCATCATCATCATCACCATCATCATCAATATTTTTATAGAGATGGGGTCTCACCATGTTGCCCAGGCTGGTCTCAAACTCCTGGGCTCAAGCAATTCTCTCACCTTGGCCTCCCAAAGTGCTGGGATTACAGGCGTGAGCCACTGCACTCGGCTGAACACTGTAATTTTTGAGCATAGCTTCTTTCACTCAATATAACACAGTTGAGGTCCATCCACGTTGTGTGTATCAATAGCAGTTAGTCTTCACTGCTGAGTGATATTCCATTGTGTGGATGGACCACAGCTCGCTTATCCACATACAAGCTGAAGGACATTTGGGTTGTTTACAGTTGTTGGCAATTATGAACAGAGCTGCTGTGAGTGTGTGTGCATACAGTTTTTTTGTGTGAAAATAGGTTTTCATTTCTCTCGGGTCAATACCGAGGAATAAAATTGTTGGATCCTATGGGAAGTGTGTATTTAACCTTGCGGGAAGTTGGCAAACCATTTTCCAAAGTGGCTGCTCGGGGCTTGCACGCCCACCAGCAGCCTGTGGGAGTTCTGGCTGTAGAGCTACGAGGTGAATCCGGGTCTGAGAGATGACACTGAGGTCTTAGGCACCACGCCACACCACTCCTGAAATATAATAACAATTGCGGCAAGAGCTCTCGTCTGTCCACAAGTCGACACTGTGCATGCAATTATTAAAAAAAAAAAAAAAAAAAAGAAGGTGCTGATGCGGTGTGATTTTCCAGATGTATTGCTGTATTGCTAGGGGAAAATGCAGGCCACAGCAAGACTGTGCACCATTTGCAAAGCGGCCCCCGCCTGTAATCCCAGCACTTTGCAAGGGCAAGGTGGATGGATCACTTGAGCCCAGGAGTTCGAGATCAGCCTGGGCAACGTGGTAAAACCCCGTCTCTACCAAAAATACAAAAATTAGCTGGGCATGGTGGTGCGTGCTTATGGCCCCAGCTACTAGGGCGGCTGAGGTGGGAGGATCATTTGAGTCCAGGATGTGGAAGCAGCAGTGAGCTATGCTGGCACCACTGTACTCCAGCCTGGGTGACAGAGTGAGACCCTGTCTCAAAACAAAACAAAACAAAAAAACGGAAACTGGGAGGTGAGAACAGGACTGGGGAGGGAGGGGCAGAGTCGTGGTGGGGAAGTGACAGCTCACTGCCATTTGGTCCTTTTTGAATTTTGGAACTTGTGAACACCTTACCTTTTCAAAACACACACACAATTCATTCACTCTGCTAACAGGTTTTCCAGGCCCTGCCCTGGTGTTGAACAACTAAGATTCCTGCCCTTGGGGAGCCACAGACTCGTCCATCCATCCAGGAGACAGTCAACAAGACAAGGAAAATACAGCCAATGGTATGTATTTGCTATGGAGAAAAATAAAACTGGTGAGGGAATGAGGGAGATGGAGCATAGGAAGTGGAAGCTGTTGTTTAAATCTGGTGGCCAAGGGAGGCCCTCCAAGGAATGACGTTTGGGGCTAAGACTTGAGTGAGGGGAGGGAATGAACCATGTGGACATCTGGGGGAAGAGTATTCTAGGCAGAGGGAACAGCAAGTGCCAAGGCCCAGAGGTGGGTCGGAACAGCTGTTGGAGGCCAGTGTAGCTGGAGCAGGATGAGCTGGGGGAGAGTGGGAGGATGGGGAGAGGGGAAGGGTGGCAAGGAGATGGCTCAGGATCTTATGAGCCACTGTAGGGACATAGGCTTTTACTCAGAGGGAGATGGGAGCCATGGAGGGTTCTGGGCAGGGGAGGGATAATCTGACTTCATTTTTTATTTTTTTTCGAGATGGAGTCTCGCTCTGTCGCCCAGGCTGGAGTGTAGTGATGCCATCTGGGCTCACTGCAACCTCCGCCTCCCAGGTTCAAGCGATTCTCCTGCCTCAGCCTCCTGAGTAGCTGGAATTACAGGCATGTGCCACCAGGCCCAGCTAATTTTTATATTTTTAAAATAGAGACAGGGTTTCACCACGTTGGTCAGGTACCATGTTGGCCAACTCCTGACCTCAGGTACTCTATCTGCCTCGGCCTCCCAAAGTGCTGGAATTACAGGCATGAGCCACCATGCCCAGGCCAGGTTTTAATTTAATTTAATTTGTTATTATTATTACTGTTTAGAGACAGGGTCTCACTGTGTTGCCCAGGCTGGAGTACAGTGGTGCCATCTTGGCTTACTATAGCCTCGACCTCCTGGGCTCAAGCGATCCTCCCGCCTCAGCCTTCTGATGACTTAGGTGTTAACAGGATCCCTGTGGCTGCATGTGGGGGAAAGACAGGTCCTTGTGGAGGTGCAGCAAGGACCCAGGCAGGGAGTCCCATGAGGAGGTGACTGCATGGTCCGGGCCTTCAGTGATGGTGGCTGGACCAGAGTGGGAACTTTTTTTTTTTTTTGAGACAGAGTCTTGCACTGTCACCCAGGCTGGAGTGCAGTCGCATGATCTTGGCTCACTGCAGCCTCCACCTCCCGGATTCAAGCGATTCTCATGCCTCAGCCTCCTGAGTAGCTGGGATTACAGGCGCATGCCACCACACCCAGCTAAGTTTTGTATTTTTTGTAGAGACGGGTTTTCACCATGTTGCCCAGGCTGGTCTCGAACTCCTGGGCTCAAGTGATCTGCCTGCCTTGGCCTCTCAGAGTGCTGGGATTACAGGCATAAGCCACCTTGCCCAGCCACCATTTTTTTTTTTTTTTTTTGAGGTTGAGTCTCTCTGTGTCGCCCAGGCTGGAGTACAGTGGCGCAATCTCGGCTCACTGCAACCTCTGCCTCTGGGGTTCAATCGGTTCTCGTGACCTCAGGTGATCCACTTACCTCAGCCTCCCAGAGTGCTGGGAAATACAGGTGTAGGCCACCGCGCCCGGCCCTACATCTTTACTTCTTTTGGTCGTGGGGGCTTTTGGAGAGGTACAGGGAACCAGGAGACGGAGGACAGAGAGGACCCAGGGGACCGGGCCTGGCCTGTTTGAGCTGAGACCTGAAGAGCATGGGGAAGTGTTTGAAGGAGGTGAACAAAAGGCTTTATTAGAAAACCAGAAAGGAGGCTGGGCGCGGTGGTGCATACCTGTAGTCCAAGCATTTTGGGAGGCTGAGGCGGGAGGATCGCTTGAGCCCAGGAGTTTAAGACCAGCCTGGGCAATGAGTGAGACCCTATCGCTAAAAAAAAAATTTAAAAATTTACCCAGGTGTGGTGGCATGTGCCTGTAGTCTCAGCTACTCAGGAGACTGAGGTGGGAGGATTGCTTGAGCCCAGGAGGTTGAGGCTGCAGTGAGCTATGATGGCACCACTGCATTCCAGCCTGGGGCCAGAGCAAGACCCTGTCTTAAAAAAAAAAAAAAAAAAAGAAAAAGAAAAGAAAAGAAAGAAAAAGAAAAAAAAATACAAGCAGTGAGTGGTCAGGCTGTGGCTGTGGCACAGCACTTGGCTTTCTCCTGGGGGCACTGGGGAGCCATGGCAGATTCTGACCAGGGGTCAGGGTTGGGTTTCCAAGGACGCCTCTGGGTGTGGTGCGGGCAGGGAGACCAGCTGTGCAGCAAGACACCAGGTGGCCTGGGTTAGGAGGTGGGTCAAAGAGGGAGGGGTGAAGGTTACCAATCATAGATTTAGGAGGCAATTTTCTTGGAAGGAAAGGGTGGGGTGCATGCTGGCTTGCTGGCGCCACTATCAGCCACTGTCCCAAGGTTTTCTTGTGCGTAAACTCATGGAGCGTTCACCACCACCCACTAGGTATCCTCATTGCACAGCTGGGGAAACTGAGGCTGAGAGAGACACACTCGCTGGCCCCAGATCTCACACAGCAGGTTATAGGAGCCAGCATTCAAACTCCTGGAGTCTGACTCCAGAGCTTGGACATTTTCACGCCCCTGACTCCTTAAAGCTGGAGAAGCTGAGGCTCCCAGTTGGGGTGAAGTTCCAGGTTCAAGACCACACAGCCGGGAACTAGAAAGGAAGGATTGAACCCACACCTTACCATGGGACACGGCCCTGCCCATCCCCTCTCCTCCCAGCAGCGTGAGGGCTCGACCTCCGGGGAGTCCCCGTTCTGGGTTGGGCGCCACTCCTCCCTCCCTATCCGCTTCGCGCCCGGAGCTCTCTCCGGACTTTAACCCTGGGCCGCCACTGGTGGCGACGCTGCCGATAAGGGGAGGTGGTTGGTGCAGAGGCCAGCAGGGCAAAATTCCCCTACTCCCGGTGCCAGGGGAGTTACCCAGGTCAGGGGCGGGGGCGGGGGAGGGCAGGGGCAGAGGAGCGGGCGGAGGGGGAGGTGGAGGCATCTGCAGCTGGACAGAGAAGTGGTGCTTTGTTTCTCTGTGCCTCAGTTTCCCTCTTGGTAAAATAGGCATGGTTCCTCCTATGGATGTAAGAAGGACCTAGGAACCTTTGCAAGGGCAGAGGAGTCCGCCCCTCTGGTCTGACTGGGAGACAAGGTGTTCCCCAATCTGATGGTGGGGACAAGGTGGCCCAACACAGTGGGAAAAATAAGGAAACTAAGGAGCTCTCACCAAATCCCATGAGGGAGACAGGACTGTCCAAATCCAATGAAGAAGATAAGAAGCTCCAGTCCTGTGCAGCAAGAACGAGTGTCCAGTCTATATTTCCAGTCTGCCAGGGGAGGTAAGGAGCAACATTCTGATGTGTAAGACAATGTATTTATTTTTGTGAGTCAGAGTCTCGCTCTGTCGCCCAGGCTGGAGTGCAGTGGTGTGATCTTGGCTCACTGCAACCTGTGCCTCCTGGGTTCAAGCGATTCTCCTGCCTCAGCCTCCTGAGTAGCTGGGATTACAGACGCACACCACCACGCCTGGCTAATTTGTTATTTTTAGTAGAGACCGGGTTTCACCGTGTTGGCCAGGTTTGTCTTGAATTTCTGACCTCAGGTGATCCTCCTGCCTCGGCCTCCCAAAGTGCTTGGATTACAGGCGGGAGCCACTGCACCTGGCCAGGAGTGATACTTTGATGTGTGAGACAATGCAGTTCTAATTTGATGGGGGAGATGGGTAGTCCTAGTCTGATGGGGGTGTTGAAGGGCTCCCATGCCTTCTGGGAGAGCTGATGAGCTTCCAAATGAATGATAGAAATGGGGAGCCCCTCAAACTGGTGGGGAGACAAAGAGCCTGCTAGTCTGATGAGGGAGGTAAGAATCTTCCTGTCTGAAGTGGGAGCCAGGGTGCTCCCGTCTGAGATTCCAAGGTGAGGAAAGAGACGAAGAACATACTCACTGCAGCTCAGCCAGCTCCTTCCTGAGCCTGGGAGTCAAATGGCCCCAGGATGCCTGGCCAGGGAGCCAGGACCAAAAGACAGAGACGATTTGCTCTCCTGACCCAGGGGCAGTTCTGCCCAGCTCTGGGCCTGATCTACTTTTGGCAAAAAAAGACCTGGCTGGTGGTGTACGGGCACCACCTAGCGGTTGCCATGGGCACGCCTTCCATCCGGAGCTTGGGGAGAGCAGCTCCTTGGAAGACCAGAGAAGGGCTCCTTGGACTCTCTCCCTGGGACCTGGGTCCAAGTACCAAACTACCCCTGAAACTGGATTCTGTGCATCATTCCATTCACCCTGCATGTGGCAGCTGGGGGAGTCTCTTGGAAGTACAAGCCTACCTCTGTCTGTCCCTTGCTCACAACTCTGCAGTGGCTCCCTGGTGCCCTGGGAGGAAGTCCACACCCGGCCACAAGGCTGGCTTCTTCTGAACAACCCTATGCTTCAGTTGAACAATAAGTAGTTTCTCAAAGGTGTCATATGCAAAACTTACCTTCAGGCCTTCGCACAGGCTGTTCCCTCTGCCAGGAACACCCTTCCCTGCCTCTTCCCCAGCATCTCTCCTACTCCTCCTTCAGGTCTTGGAGTAGATGTCTCCGCCCTCGTGAGCCCCCTGGTCAGGGTCATGGTCTGGTGGGGCTGTCGTGGTCACTGCTGTGTTCCCCTGGGGCCTGACACTGACAATGCACTCCAGGGAATGTTTATGGAATGAATGAGTGAATGAATGAATGAATGAATGAATGCCAAGCTAAAGAGTTTGCCAGGGCAGCTGTAGGAGAGTTTAATCAGGGCCAGGACACGATCGGATTTAGAAGCCCCTAGGCTCCCCCCAGCTTTTTTTTTTTTTGAGAGAGAGGGATGGAATCTGACTTCGTCGCCAGTGCAGTGGCGTGATCTTGGCTCACTGCAATCTCTACCTCCCAAGTTCAGGCAATTCTCGTGCCTCAGCCTGCCAGGTAGCTAGGATTATGGGTGCACGCCACCACGCCTGGCTAATTTTTGTATTTTAATAGAGACAGGGTTTCACCATGTTGGCCAGGCTGGTCTTGAACTCCTGACCTCAGATGATCCGCCCGCCTCGGCCTCCCAGAGTGCTGGGAATACAGGCATGAGCCACTGCGCCTTGCTGGAGCCCCTAGGTTTCCTCTCAACCCTAGGCTTTTGCACATACTCTTCCCTCTCCCTGCACTATTTACACCTAGTAACTCCCACTCATCCTCTAGGTATCAGATGAGCTGTCCCTTCCTCCAGGAAGCCCTCCTTGACCCCAGGCTGGGTCAGGCATGCGCTCTGAGCTCCTGCAGCCTCCTGGGCTCCTCCATCCCAGGCTGTGAACACTGCTGGGCTATTATTACCTGGGGACAAGTCTGCCTTCCCACTGGATCTGGGAGGGCAGGCTGGGTTCTGTTCACCCTCTCTGCCTTCTCCTCTGAGCTAACAACATCTGCTAGGACCTGGGTTCAAATCCAGATGCCCCTATCTTTGGAGCTCCTTAGGTGAGTGTGGGCCTCTCTTGGAGCCCCTGTTTTCTCGTGTGAAATGTGGGGAGAATGAGAAGCGTGCATGGAAAACCTCCCAGGGCTGTGGTGGGTGCAGTGAAGAGACGAGATCCTGAAGTCCCGAGCTGACCATGAGCCGGGTGACTACGGGTGACCCACTTCCCCTTTTGGGGTTCATCTGGCTGGATGAACGGTAGCAGCAGCCCCTTCCTGCCGGGACATTCTGGGAGGCCCGCTCGGGGCTTCCCGAGGTGGGAGGGTCAGGGACAGGCTGAGGGAAGAGGTGTCTGTTGGGTTAGGGGAAAACCAGTCTTCCCCATCATGAAACGGATGATGGGGGGGAAACAAACAAAGCTGGCTCCACCACGGCGTGAGGGGAAGTTGGGGGAGAGGATGAGGGGGCCCCATGAGGTGGGTGAAAACCACAGTCCACAACTTGTCGCCAACTTCCCGCCTGGAGCCTGTGTGCCTCGGGTGAGGCTCCCTCCTCATTGGCCTCAAACAAGACCTATCTTCATTCCAATCTCCAACCCAGCCCTGCCTGCAGCCTTCTGGCCTCAGAAATGGCAGCTTCATCCTTGCAGTGGCTCAGGCTCAAAGCTTGGAGACCCCTGACTCTTCTTGTCCCTCGCTTTACAATTCTGCCCCCAACAGTCTCTTTCCACCTCATGGCCAGAGGGATCCTGTTAGAACCTGAATCAGGGCCGGGCATGATGGCTCACACCTGCAATCCTAGCACTTTGGGAGGCTGAGGCAGGTGGATCACCTGAGGTCAGGAGTTCAAGACCAGCCTGGCCAACATGGCAAAACCCCGTCTCTACTAAAAATACAAAAATTAGCTTGGCGTGGTAGTGCATGCCTGTAATCCCAGCTACTCAGGAGGCTGAGGTAGGAGAATCACTTGAACCCCGGAGGCAGAGGTTACAGTGAGCTGAGTGGGCACCATTGCACTTCAGCCTGGGAGACAAGAGTGAAACTCTGTCTCAAAAAACAAAACAAAACAAAACAACAACAAAATTAGCTGGGTGAGTTGGCACATGCCTATAATCCCAGCTACTGGGAAGGCTGAGGCAGGAGAATCACTTGAACCCAGGAGGCGGGGGTTGTAGTGAGCCGAGATTGCGCCACTGCACTGCAGCCTGGGCGACAGAGCAAGTCTCCATCTAAAAAAAAAAAAGAAACTGAATCAGAACCCATCCAGCCTCTGTGGCTCCTACTTCACTTGGGGTGATGGCCAAAATCCTCGCCATGGCCCTCAAAAGCTGAATCCCTGCTCCTTTTTTTTTTTCTTTCTTTTTTTTTTTTTTTGAGAGGGAACCTCTCTCTGTTGCTCAGGCTGGAGCGCAATGGCGCCATCTCAGCTCACCACAACCTCTGCCTCCTGGGTTCAAGTGATTCTCCTGCCTCAGGCTCCTGAGTAGCTGGGATTACAGGCTTGCACCACAATGCCTGGCTAATTTTTGTATTTTTACAAAAATAGAGTTGAAGTTTCACCATGTTGGCCAGGCTGGTTTCGAATTCCTGACCTCAAGTGATCCGCCCACATCGGCCTCCCGAAGTGCTAAGATTACAGGCGTGAGCCATCACAACTGGCCATTTTTTGTCTTTTTGATGACAGCCATCCTAACTCAGGTGAAATAATACCTCATTGTTGTTTTGATTTGCATTTCCCCAATGAGTATGATGTTGAGTATTTTTTCATATACTTGTTGGCCATTGTATGTCTTCTTTTGAGAAATGTCTGTTAAGATAATTTGCCTGTTTAAAAAATTATATTGTTGGCCAGCCATGGTGGCTTACACCTATAATCCTGGCACTTTAGGAAGCAGAGGTAGGAGGGTTGCTTGAAGCCAGGAGTTCGAGACCAGCCTGAGCAATACAGCGAGACCCTGTCTGCACAAAAAGTTAAAAACAGCCAGGTGTGGTGGTGCACAGTGGTGGTCCCAGCTACTCACTTGGGAGGCTGATGTGGGAGGATTGCTTGAACCCAGGAATTGGAGGCTGCAGTGAGCTATAGTTGCGCCACTGCACTCAGCCTGGATGACAGAGCAAGATGTCATCAAAAAGACAAAAAATGGCCAGTCGTGATGGCTCACACCTATAATCCCAGCACTTCGGGAGGCCGATGCGGGTCGATCACTTGAGGTCAGGAATTTGAAACCAGCCTGGCCAACACGGTGAAACCCCGACTCTACTAAAAATACAAAAATTAGCTGGGCGTGGTGGTACAAGCCTGTAGTTCCAACTACTCAGGAGGCTGAGGCAGGAGAATCACTTGAACCTGGGAGGCAGAGGTTGGAGTGAGCTGAGATCATGCCACTGCACTCTAGCCTGGGTGACAGATTGAGATTACATCTCCAAAAAAAAAAAGTCAGATTTTTTTTTTTGTGTTGAAATGTTTGATATATTGTATATTCTAGATAGAGTTCAAGACCAGCCTGGCCAACATGGTGAAACCCCATCTCTACACAAATACAAACATTAGTTGGGCCTGGTGGCAGGTACTGTAATCCCAGCTACTCGGGATGCTGAGGCTGGAGAATCACTTGGACATGGGAGGTGGAGGTTGCAGTGAGCCAAGATTGCACTACTGCACTCTAGTAGCCTGGACGAGAGGGCAAGACTCCATCTCAGGGAAAAAAAAAAAAAAAAAAAAAAATATATATATATATATATATATATATATACACATATATATATATGTATGTATATATATGTATGTTTGTGTGTATATATATATGTATGTGTATATATATGTGTGTGTGTGTGTGTGTGTATATATATATATATATATATATATATATATATATATATATATATATAAAATTAGCAGGTCATGGTGGTGAGCACTTGTAGTCCCAGCTACTTAGGAGAGTGAGGCAGGAGGATTGCTTGAGCCCAGGAGTTCGAGGCCACAGTGAGCTGTGATTGTGCGGTTGCACTCCAGCCTGGGCAACAGAGCAAGACTGTCTCAAAAAAGAAAACAAAAAAGAAATATAAAATGTAAAGTTGGGTTAGTTGTGTAAGTGATAAATGCTGTGAAGAATAAAGCCAGACAACTTTGGGTGTACAGGGGACCCCTCTGAGGAGGTGACATCTGAGCAGAGACCTGACTGGAGTGATGCAGGTGTCTGAGGGAAGGAAATTCCTGGCAGCGGGAACAGCCAGTGCAAAGGCCCCGAGGAAGGAGTTGCTTGATTTGTTCAAACAATAGCCAGGAGGCCAGGTGGCTGCAGTGAGTGAAGGAGAGGAGATGATGAAGGGAATGACGGGCGGGCAGGCCTGCAGACCATTGTAAGGACCCTGGAGTCCGATCCGAAGGGGAGATGCTCCAGGAAATGTGGCTTTACCTCTGGGCGCCTCAGTATCCTCTTCTGAGAAACATGCAACATGACACCTGCGTCTGAAGGTCTCTGTGAGGACTCAGGGAGCTCCTGCCTCCACAGGCAGGAGGCAGCCGCACAGGTGAGGCCCTTTGGCTGCACTGGTCCTGTGCAACCTTGCAGATTTGGGGTGCCCTCTCTGGACTCTGCATTCTCCACACTGTGTGTCAGGATGGGCTGAAGCTGATGGGGCTCATTCCTTGGTTCCCAAAGTCTGGCCTTGGCACCCCCTCCTCCATGCTCCTCTTCTGTCTCCTTCCTCTTTCTTCTCCTCTTCCTCCCCATCCCTCCTCCTCCTCCACCTCCTCCACCTCCTTCTTCTCCCTTTTTGCCCTGTTCCCCTTTTCTCCCTCCTCCACCCTCCTCCTACTCCCTTCTCTTTCCTCCTTTTTTTTTTTTCTCTCTCTCCCACCTCCCCCTTCCCTCCTCCCTGCTCTCCATCCTGAATCAACATTCCAGTCCATGGAAAAAAACAGGGCAGGCTTCCTTCCTCTCCCTGGCAGGGCTCCAGAGAGGGACTGGGCCATTGTGTATTCTGGCCTCAAGGTCACCCCGACTCCCTGCCCTCCCCAGTGTGGTTATTTGAGAAAAGGCAGCTTGGGTGAGGGGGAAGGGATTGGGGCTGAGAGGGGTATAGTCTGCCTCCCCACCCACGGCTGGTGGAACCTGAGGGCCCCCGGCGCCACCAGAGCTTCGTGGCTTAATGGGGGAGGCGAGGAGCCACTGCGGACCTGCTCGGGACAGTGAAGGGCGCCAGTCTCAGCCCTCATCTGAAACCTGCTCCGTGACCCTGGACTAGTTCCTGCTCCTCTCTGGACCAAATCCTGGCCCTGCTCCTTTCTGGCTGAGTAACTTTGGGCAAGTCACCTCCTCTTCTTTGTGGTGTCTCACTTTCCTTTTTTTTTTTTTTTTGTCAAACAGTCTCTGCATCTGAGTCCCCCAATTTCCCAGCTAACAAAAATTCCCTAGACCCTTTGTTAAAAATTCTGCTTTCCGGGCGTGGTGGCAGGCGCCTATAATCTCAGCTACTCGGGAGGCTGAGGCACAAGAATAGCTTGAACCCGGGAGGCAGAAGTTGAAGTGAGCTGAGATCATGCCACTGCACTCCAGCCTGGATGACAGAGCAAGACTCTGTCTCAAAAAAAAAAAAAAAAGAAAAAAAAAAGAAAGAAAATTCTTTCAAGTCCCCACCCTGGAGAGACAGGTTTTCTGGGCCCAGGCAGAAGCCTGGGATATATAACTTATTTTATTTTATTTTAATTTTTGAGACAGGGTCTTGTTCTGTCTCATAGGCTGGAGTGCAATGGCACCATCACAGCTCACTACAGCCTCAAAATCCTAGGCGCAAGCAATGCTCCCATCTCAGCCTCCCAGGTAGCTGGGATGACAGACAAGTACTGCCATGCCCAAATAATTCTGTTTTTTTTTTTTGTTTTTTGTTTTTTTTTGTAGAGATAGGGTCTTGCAATGTTGCCCAGGCTGTTCTTGAACTCCTGGCCTCAAGTAATCCTCCTGCCTCAGCTTCCCAAAGTGATGGGATAACAGGCGTTAGCCAGTGCTCTTCGCAGGGATGTTTACGTTAATAAACAGGAGATTTGGGAAATGTATTAATAGTTCCATTTCAAAGGGAAGCTTTGAGGAGCAAGTCAGAGAACCTGTGCTGAGAGCACCTACCCTGGAACCTGCGATGATGAGCATCGTGTTTCTAAAAGCTCATACACATTTATTATTATTGCTTTTATTACTTTTTTTTTTTTTTGAGACAGAGTCTCACTCTGTCTCCAGGCTGGAGTGCAGTGGCACGATCTAGGCTCACTGCAAACTCCGCCTCCTGGGTTCGAGCGAATTCTTCTGCCTCAGCCTCCCAAGTAGCTGGGACTACAGGTATGTGCCACCACGGCCAACTAATTTTTGTATTTTTTAGTAGAGACAGGGTTTCACCATGTTGGCCAGGATTGTTTTAATCTCTTGATCTTGTGATCTGCCTATTACTTTTTTTTTTTTTTGAGATGGAGTCCACTTTGTTGCCCAGGCCGGAGTGCAGTGGTGCAATCTCCGCTCACAGAAACCTCTGCCTCCTGGGTTCAAGTGATTCTCATGCCTCAGCCTCCCAAGTAGCTGGGATTACAGGCGCACATGATGACATCTGGCAATTATTTGTATTTTTAGTAGAGACGGGGTTTCACCATGTTGGCTAGGCTGGTCTCGAACTCCTGACCTTAGGTGATCTGCCTGCCTCAGCCTCCCAAAGTGCTGGGATTACAGGCATGAGGCACCGCGCCCGGCCTATTATTACTTTTTGTCAGCAAATCTCAGTGATTACAATGTAAAGAACATCATATATTACATAAAGCGAAGCAAACCTGCTTAGTAGGATTAAGTTCGCCAGGACAAATGTTATCTTTGAAGCAGGGTGTGGTGGCTCACACCTGTAATCCCAGCACTTTAGGAGGCTGAAGTGAAAGGATTGCTTGAGCCCAGGAGTTTGAGACCAGCCTGGACAACAGAACAAGACCCTGACTCCACAAAAAATGCAACAATTGGCCGGCGTGGTGGCTCATGCCTGTAGTCCCAGCTGCTTGGGAGACTGCAGTGAGCCATGATTGCATCACTGTATTCCAGTCTGGATAATGCTGAGACCCGGTCTGGAAAAAAAAAAAAAAAAAAAAAAAAATGGCCGGGCGCGGTGGCTCATGCCTGTAATCCCAGCACTTTGGGAGGCTGAGGCGGGCGGATCACCTGAGGTCAGGATCACCTGAGACCAACCTGACCAAAATGGAGAAACCCCGTCTCTACTAAAAATGCTAAAAAAAAAAAAAAATTAACCGGGTGTGGTGGCTCATGTCTGTAATCCCAGCTACTGGGGAGGCTGAGGCAGGAGAATCGCTTGAACCCAGGAAGCAGAGGTTGTGGTGAGCCGAGATCATGCATTGCACTCCAGCCTGGGCAACAGGAGCAAAACTCCGTCTCAAAAAAAAAAAAAAAAGAAAAAGAAAAATGTTATCTTTGCTTTTTCTATCTGCCTGTTGTTAAAATCTAACACCTTAGTCTGGGTCATAGGCATTTATTGAGCATCCATGTTTCAGGCTCATTACTTGTATTAACTAATGTGATCTTTTCAACAATCCTAGGAGGCAGGGGCAGTATTATCATCTCCATTTTACGAGGAGGAAAAGCAAGCAATGTACCCAAGTTCCCACAGCTAAAAAGAATTCTGTCTGTCCTCAGAGCTGTGCCCTGAAACCCTCTGCCCTGCTGAAGAATGGAGAGGACTCCCCCACCAGCACCTCCACCTAGGACACATGGGAACTGTGGGACTTGGAGCAAAGTTTTCAAGTCTCTGTGCCTTAGTTTCCTCACCTGTAAGTTGGGGGAATGATAGTAACTGCTCTTAAGAGCTGCTGTAGGAATTGAGATCTTGCATGAAAAAGGATAAAACCAATTGATATGGTTTAGTTCTTAGTCCCCACCCAAATCTCATGTCCAGTTATGATCCTCAGTGTAGGAGGAGGGACCTCGTGGGAGGTGATTGGATCGTGGGGGCAGTTTCTAATGTTTTAGCACCATCCTCCTAGTGCTGCTTGTTTAAAAGTGTGTAGCACCCCACCTTCCTCTCCTGCCGGCCATGTGAAGACGTGCTTGCTTCCCTTTCACCATCTGCCATGATTGTAAGTTTCCTGAGGTCTCCCCAGAAGCAGAAGCCTGTATAGCCCACAGAATCATGAGCTGATTAAACCTCTTTTCTTTATAAATTACCCAGTCTCAGGTATGTCTTTATAGCAATGTGAGAATGGACTAATACACTGATGCTCGAGATATAGGAGTGATTATTATTTTGTGGTTATTGTTATTATTCTTTCCTACACTCTTAATGAAGGGGATTGCACTACTTGAGATAATTCAGTAAAAGAGCACAGAGATGCCCAGAGGGACGGAGGACCTGGTCTTGGGGACATTTGAGCCTCCACCACACCCTGAGGCTATGGGATTTTGCTTGACCTAGAAACCTGAGCTGCTTCTCCTTCCCTCCTTCTGCCCCTCCTGCTGGCCTCATTCTGCATCAACTGCACACAATCACAGCTCAGAGCAGCAGCTCCCATCTTTCTCAAACCCCTGCTATGGGGGCTGTGACTCTTACTCCTTGGGCTCAGGTGAGGAAGGCCATTTTGCCTAGCTGAGGAGGTAGAAGTTCCAAAGCTTGGAGTGGCCAAGCCTGCCAGCTGCCCACCCGGGACCCATTCTCTCTGCCTTTCTTAATACAAGAACCTTGATGTTAATTGGGGCAGCAGCATACCCAAGGCAATGACTGCAATTCCCTGCCTCCCTTGCAGCTAGGGTGGCCATGGTACTATGAGCTGGCCAATCAGATCTAAGCAGGGGTTGTTGGATGGGCCTTAGGTAAAGTTCCCTTAAAAGGGGCACAGTCCATAAACTGGCTAGGGGGAGTTTTTTTTTGTTTGTTTCCCTTTGTTCCCTTCTTTCTGCTTCTTGCCTGGAACATGGATGAGGCAGCTGTGACTCCAGCAGCCATCTTGGGCCATGAGGTGATGGAGAGGATGGAAACCCCAAGGTAAGGATAATGGAACAGAAGAATAGAAGGAGCTGTGTCCCTGATGACACTACAGGGCCTCCATTCTAGCTCTGAACAATCTGCTTCTGGAGATTTTTTACGTTTGAGAAATGAGAAAAATAATCTTCTAGCCATATAAGCTACTCCCTGTGTATCTATTCTGCCTAATTGTTTATGCTAGTTCCAATATTTCTTACTAGCCACTGAAGATAATTTCTTTTGTTTTGTTTTTTGAGACTGAGTTTCACTCTTGTTACCCAGGCTGGAGTGCAATGGTATGATCTCAGCTTACTGCAACCCCTGCCCCATGGGTTCAAGCAATTCTCCTGCCTCAGCCTCCCAAGTAGCAGGGATTACAGGTGCCCTTTTATCTTATATATTAATCTCCTTGGCTTTTTATTATTTGTGTTCCTTATTTATACTTCTGTTTTTTTTTTCTTGATCACACCATGCCCGGCTAATTTTTGTGTATTTTTAGTAGAGATGGGGCTTCACCATATTGGCCAGGCTGGTCTCGAACTCCTGACCTCAGATGATCAGCCCACCTCGGCCTCCCAAAGTGCTGGGATTACAGGTGTGAGCCACAGTGCCCAGCCTAGCCACTGAAGAGAATTTCTTTCTTTCTTTTTTTTTTTTTTTTTTTCGAGACAGAGTCTCGCTGTGTCACCCAGGCTGGAGTGCAGTGGCGTGATCTCGGCTCACTGCAAGCTCTGCCTCCCAGGTTCACGCCATTCTCCTGCCTCAGCCTCCCGAGTAGCTGGGACTACAGGCACCTGCCACCACGCCCAGCTAATTTTTTTTTCTTTTTTTGAGACAGGGTCTTGCTGTGTCGCCCAGGCTGGAGTGCAGTGGCATGATCTCGGCTCACTGCAAACTCCGCCTCCCAGGTTTGCACCATACTCCTGCCTCAGCCTCCCCAGTAGCTGGGACTACAGGTGCCTGCCACTGCACCTGGCTAATTTTTTCTATTTTTAGTAGAGACGGGGTTTCACCATGTTAGCCAGGATGGTCTTGAACTTCTGACCTCGTGATCCACCCGCCTCGGCCTCCCAAAGTGCTGGGATTACAGGCATAAGCAACCTCGCCCGGCCAAGAATTTCTAACTGTTATATCTAGACTCTAGCCACATCTATGTCAAGTTTTTATGTGAACTTGGGTGGATGGGGGTGGGGTGAAGGTGGTAATATGGATGCTATTTCTTCTTTCTGGGCTGGATAGTGTTGGGGTTAGTAGTATGGGCTCAAGTCCATCCTCACGTCCCAGCTAGAAGCCCCACAATGGAGACCACTAATTTAGATAATAGCTTTCAAACTCCATAGAGCTCCCTCAGTGTCCCCTCCGGTGAGGTGGAGTCAGTGGGTGGAACTTTAGGCTCTCTCCTTCCTCATGGGCTTGAATTGGTCACATGGCTGCTTGCAGCTGCAAGGCAGTTTGGGAAAGTGAGTACCTGACATTTTCAGCTTCTAGAGAGGGAGGCAGTGCGTGTGTCATGGAAGCAGGGAGGGCAGTGGGCTGGGGAGCAACCAACAGATCCCTCTTCAGTCAATGTATATTTATTGAGCAACCTTTGCTTCAACCAGACCAGTTTCTCTTTTCTCTCTCTCTCTCTTTTTTTAGAGACAAGGTCTTGCTCTGTCGCCCAGGATGGAGTGCAGTAGGGTGATTATAGCTCACTGCAACCTTGGCCTCCTGGGCTCAAGCAATCCTCCTGCCTTAGCCTCCCATGTAGCTGAGACTACAGGCATGCACCACTATTCCTGGATAATTTTTGAAAAACTTTTGTAGAGATGAGGTCTTGCTACATTGCTCAGGCTGGTCTGGGACTCCTGGGCTCAAGTGATCCTCCTGGCTCAGCCTCCCAGAGTGCTGGGATTACAGGTGTGAGCGCAGCGCCCACCCCAGGGCCTTTTATTTTATATATTAATCTCCTTGGCTCTTTATTATTTGTGTTTCTTATTTATACTTCTCTGTTTTTTTTTTTTTTCTTGATCATACCTGCAGAAAGTCTGTCTATTTCATTGCATTTTCAAAGAATCAGCTTTAGGTTTTATTGGCCATGTTTTGTTTTACATTTCATCTATTTCTGCTTTTACCTTTCTTCATTCCTTAGCTTTTTTCTTTGGTTCGTTTTGTGGACTTTTTCTAGTTTCTTGAGTAGAAAGCTTGTTTTATTCATTTTCAAGTCTTTTTCCTTTAGTACTCTCAATGCTTATAAGCTATCATTTTTCTCTTCAAGGATGGCTGTGGCCATGTCCCACAGGTTTGATGTATATGATGCTTTTACTGTCATTTGATTCTGGTTGATATCTTGTATTTTAGTTGCTTCTGTAGTCCAAGTGTTACTTTTTTTTTTTTTTTTTTTTGACGGAGTCTTCTTGCTCTGTTGCCCAGGCTGGAGTGCAGTGGTGCGATCTTGGCTCATTACAACCTCTGCCTCCCAGATTCAAGCAATTCTCCTGCCTCAGCCTCTTGAGTAGCTGGGATTACAGGAGCATGCCACCACGGCTGGATAATTTTTGTATTTTTAGTAGAGACGGGGTTTCACCATGTTGGTCAGGCTGGTCTTGTACTCCTGACCTTGTGATCTACCTGCCTCAGCCTCCCAAAGTGCTGGAATTACAGGGGTGAGCCACCGCGCCCGGCCCCAAGTGTTACCTTTTATTTGTAAAATTTAACATTTTTTATGAGACGTAGTCTCACTCTGTTGCTCAGGCTGGAGTGCAGTGGTGCAATCATGGCTCACTGCAGCCTCAAATTCCTGGGCTCAAGTGATCTATAGGCATGCGCCACCATGTCTGGCTAATCCCAGTGGTATTTAAATTTAAGTAATTTTTTTTCCAATTCTATAGAAATTTTGGGGGAGACGAGTATAGCTATTGAATTGGTATCTATAGTTGGTTTTATTTATTTATTTATTTTCAAAAATAGAGACGGGATTTTGCCATGTTGCCCAGGCTGGTCTCAAATTTCTGGGCTCAAGCGTTTCTCTCACCTTAGCCTCCTAAAGCGTTAGGATTACAGGCATGGGCACTGTGCTGGGGCTATATTTGTTGCATTGCTATTTTAAATATTAATAATAAATTGACCTGCCATGTAAACTTGTATTTGAAGAAAGGGCTCTGAGGCTTTTAAAAATGGTTTGGAAAAGTCTGGTCCACCTCAAGTCCACACCTTTTTACTGATGGGCAAACTGAGGCTCTAGTGAATCCGTGGCAAATGCAGGATTTTGATCCAGGTTTTATAACCCTCATTCTGGAGGTCTTTCACCACCCATCACCCCAACTCAACACAATCATCCCCAAAAGGGCCTTTCTCGTCTCTGCCCAAACCTGTCTTTCTATTCTAAGCCTCGACTCGGCCATCACCACTCCTGACCAATGCCAAGAACCTGTTTCCAGTGGGGCATTGCGGCTGGGTGGGGCCTGTGGCTCCCACTAATGAGACGAGTTAGAAAACACACTCATTCTGGCCCCCACTTCCCAGCTCTCCACTCCTGGCCTCTACCTCTGCCCCGCTTGCATTCATCCATCCACAGGGCCTTTCCTGTGGCTGCAGAAGGAAGGAGATATTGTCAGGGTTGGGCAGATAATGTTGGAGAGACATGCGGGGAATCCCAGGACAAAGTTGTGTCTTTGATTAAATGGGTGAGGACTACCAGAAGGTGATGGAAGACTTCTTGCAAAATATGGTCATTTCCTGAGCACAAGCAGCCCTGTTTCGGGGTCCAGGTGACAAAATGAGGTGCAGTGTAGGGGAGAGCCATGTCCCACAGAATGCTGGTGCTCCAAGAGGGGCAGTCCTTGGCCAGCTGGGGAGCAGGACTCTCACATATAACCTGGAGCACTGCGGGAGGGGCACAAGGCCCTGGCATCCAGCAGTGGGGTGTGGAGCACGGTGATCTGGGCCCATCCTCCTGCACGTGCACACCCAGACTGAGAAAAGTCTTGGGGGGGAAAGGAAATGAGTGCGGCCACCAGGAAATGGCGGGGCTAGCGGTGGTGGAAGGAGAGGCTGACACACGTGTGCATTAACCAGGACGTTTATGGCCTCGGTGGCTCCCCAACAGCTCAGCGAGGGAGTGGGGCCCTGTGGCTCTAGCTCTAGGGTGGAGGCAGGAGAACAGCAGGACCACAGCCTGGCATCCTCGCTGTGGGGGAGTGGTTCCCACTCAGAGGGCGAGGACCAGAGGATGGTGCGAAGAGCTCTTCTCTCTGGACGTCTCCAGGGTCACGCTGTTACCCCAGGGCTGTGGGGCATATGGGGCGAGGGGGCGAAGGAGGATGTCAGAGAGATGGAGGACCAGGTCCCCAGTGCCCCCACCCCTTCTGCTCCCCTGCCCACCCCGGGCCACCCAGTGGCCCAATCCACCCCACGCTCAGCCTGTGCCAGGTTCAGGTTCAGGAAGGTAGCGTTGGTCCTTGTGCGAGGGAGGGAGGTTGACTGTGAGAAGAGAGAATGGGTGAAAAGGAATCCCAAGGCTTTGCCGGGGTGGCCTGCTGCCACTGAACAGCATTCTCCCCTAACACTGACCCAGAAAACCAGGGTTTGATCAGTGACTGGATGAAAGTGGGTGACTGGCAGTGGTTGAGTCCTTGATCCTGGAAATTTCCAGTGATAGGGGAGGCACCATCCCGGACTCAGGGACATGGCTTCTGAGAATGCTCTGTCTGCTGGGGGAGGCAAGATTCCAGACTTGGGGAATGATCTCATCCCCAGTGTCTGAGAGCTAATGGGGGAAACCTGGCCCTGCTGTAGGGACATGGACTCAGACCTCTGGGGATGCTCAGTCAGATGGAGGATACATGGACCCTGACTCTGGGAGCTCCCAGTCTGATGGAGGAGACATAGACCCTGACTCTGGGATCTCCCAGTCTGATGGAGGAGACATGGTCCCTGACTCTGGGAGCTCCCAGTCTGATGGAGGAGACATGCTCCCTGACTCTGGGAGCTCCCAGTCTGATGGAGGAGACATGGTCCCTGACTCTGGGAGCTCCCAGTCTGATGGAGGAGACATGGTCCCTGACTCTGGGAGCTCCCAGTCTGATGGAGGAGACATGGTCCCTGACTCTGGGAGCTCCCAGTCTGATGGAGGAGACATAGACCCTGACTCTGGGAGCTCCCAGTCTGATGGAGGAGACATGGACCATGCCTCTGGGAGCTCCCGGTCTGATGGAGGAGACATAGACCCTGACTCTGGGAGCTCCCGGTCTGATGGAGGAGACATGGTCCCTGACTCTGGGAGCTCCCAGTCTGATGAAGGAGACATGGTCCCTGACTCTGGGAGCTCCCAGTCTGATGAAGGAGACATGGTCCCTGACTCTGGGAGCTCCCGGTCTGATGGAGGAGACATAGACCCTGACTCTGGGAGCTCCCAGTCTGATGGAGGAGACATGGTCCCTGACTCTGGGAGCTCCCAGTCTGATGGAGGAAACATGGTCCCTGACTCTGGGAGCTCCCAGTCTGATGGAGGAGACATGGACCCTCACTCCTGGAGTTCCCAGTCTGACGAGGGAGACATAGTCCCTGACTCCGGGAGCTCCCAGTCTGATGGAGGAGACATGGACCATGCCTCTGGGAGCTCCCAGTCTGATGAAGGAGACGTGGTCTCTGCCTCTGGGAGCTCCCAGTCTGACGGAGGAAACATGGTCTATAACTCTGGGAGCTCTCAGTCTGATGGAGGAGACCTGGATCTTGACTCTGGGAGCTCCTAGTCTGATGGAGGAGGCATAGTTTCTGACTCTAGAAGCTCCCAGTTGATGGGGAGACACGGTTCCCAACATCTGAGAGCTCCCAGTCTGAGGGAGGTGACATGGTCTCCAACACTTGGGAATTCCCAATCCAATGGGGGAGACATTGTTCCTGACTTCTAAGAGCTCCCAGTCTGATGGGGAGACATGGTCCCCAACATCTGGGAACTTCCATTCTGTGAGGAGACACAACTTCCACACCTACAGGCCTCCATCCTAATGGAGCAATCATCCTTATTTCAGTTTGAAAGAGAAACTCCACCATCTGATGATAGAAACTTTGCCCTCACAATAATAGAAAGGAGGAGACATGATCCCCACTGCACAGGATCTCCCAGTCTGAATAGGGAGGCCTGATTCATCCTTATTCTCTGCCTGCAGTCTGATAGGAGAGGTAAACTCCTATAATTAACCCATTACCCCAATATGGACCCTATGTTTTAGGGTCCACCTGTCTGCAGGAAAAAGGATGCTCCACCATCAGACTATGCCTTCTCTTTTAAAACCTTCAGTGTGCTGTACCTCTTATTTGAGAGAGAAGGCATGGGGGTCCCCTTTAGCAACCCTCAGTCTGATGGAGGAGGCCTGTCTACCCACAGTGTAGGTCATTAGTTTGATAGAAGAGGCAGAACCCTATTTGGGGACCCCCAAGTTAGGCGGAGGAGACAAGGCTGCTTCCTTCAGCCTGATGGGGGATGGGTATCCATCTTTGGTCTATGTCCCCCCAGCCTGATGGAGGAAGCAAAGGCTCCTTTTGGGAGCCCTTGTCTAAAAAGGGGCACGCCTTGCCCCTTCCCACACACTCACGGGCCACCTGCAGCTCCACTTCCAGTGTCTCAGTCTTGCCCTGCACTGTGACAGTCTTGAGTGTGTAGCGGCCAGTGTCTGTGAGGTTCAGCTTCTGCACCAACAGCGAGCAGTTGGGGAAGCCCACCTCCCGGCCTGTGTGCGCGGGGCCTGCAATCCAGGTTCCTGACGGCAGCTGGCTGAGCAGCCGGTTGGGCTCGGAGGCAGGCCCGCGGTACCAGGCGTAGACCAGCAGGTCCTTGGGGTAGCCCTGCACGGTCAGTGTTACGTCCTGGCCCTCCGTTGGCTTGGTGGGCACGGGCACGATCATCGTGGCAACTGCTGCAGCTGGGGAGAGAGCGAGCGGGCTGGGTCAGTTTGGTCTGCATCTGGCATGGTGTCCCCTTCCCAACCCTTGCTGGCCTCCCCCCAGCTGGCTGGCACTCCCCATGTAGGGTGCTGGGAAGGAGACTGAGGAAGGAGGTGACTTGTGCGGTGGTGGAGGTGGATTCTGGGTCCCAGTAGTGTCTGCTGGGGTCTGTGTTTCCCCTATCAGACTACAAATTCCCAGACTTTGAGAGGTGTCTCTCCCATCAAACTGGAAGACCCTAGAGGCTTGGGTCATGTCTCCTCCATCAGATTGGAAATTCCCAAAATATAGGGGCCATGTCTCCCCTATCAGAGTGGAAATCCCAGAAAATGGGGACCATGTCTTCCCCATGAGATGGTTGGGACTTGTGTCTGTCAGACCGAGAGACCCCAGAATGTGTAAGCCATAGCTCCTCCATCAGATTGAAAGATTCTTGAGGGTGAGAGCATGTCTCCTCCATCAGATTGAAAATTCCTACAAGGCGGCAGCCCTGTTTCCTCCATCAGATTGAGAAATTCTAAATTGTTGCTGAGTTTTTCCAATCAAGTTGGGGACCCTGGAAGTTAGAGGGAAATGTCTATTCCATCAGACTGGAAATTCCTAGAAAGTGGGGTCCTGTACTCCTCCATCAGATTAGGAGTACCCCAAAGGTGGATACCCCATCAGACTAGGAATGCTCAAAAAACAGGGCCATGTCTCCTGGAGACCAAGTCTCCCCATCAGAAGGAAATTTCTCCCCAAGTGCAGACTGTGTCTCCTCCATCTGACTAGGAGCTCACTGAGGGTGGGTTGTCATATCTCCCTCATTACTGACATGAAGGATGAGGCATTGCCTCTTCTCTTTGAGCAGCTATTCCTTGAATAAAGGAGCCATGTTTCCCTGTCCCAGGATCATCTCTCCAAGGACAGAGGCCTTGTCTCCTCCATCAGATTAGTCTCCCAAGGTGGAGGGAGGGTGGCGTCTCCTTTTCTTCTGTGTCTCTCCCAGCACCTGCCACAGAGTTGCTGACAGTGCTAGAAGCCCTTGGGGGCACTGTATCCACTCCCTGCACATACCTGCATACCTTGGACACCCCCCTTCTTGGACTGCACAGACAGGGCTTGGGGTGGCGCCTGAGGTCATCTGGTCCATCCCCCTGTCTCCTGTCAAGACCAGCTGCCAAAGCCCCAGATGAGTGGAGCGGGAGTCACACTTACCTCTGGGGATGCCATTTCTGCTTTGGGTGAAAATCCACCCCTTGGATGAGACCCAGCCTGTTAGTGGGAGGGAGGGAACGACCATTCCCCACTGTCCCCCGGGGGCTGATGGCCACTTGGGAAGGAACCGAGGTAGAATTAATGAGGCCTTAATGTTCAAAGCCACCATCTCCGGAAGATGAGAAAATGTCGCCTGAGGATCCCAATGGCTCTGAAATGCCAGCTGCCTGCACTGCCCCAGCCCTCAGGTCATTTTAGGACAGAAGCAAGATGACAATGCCTCCCCAGCTGTTTCTCCATTTGCCAGCAATTGGCTGTGATTCTTCAGTTGTGTGTGTGTGTGTGTGTGTGTGTGTGTGTGTGTGTGTGTGTATACCCATCATCTGGGTCAGATAACTGGGTAGTCTAGTTGGCTGCACAGAATTTCAGCTGTCTGTGTGGTGGGGTGGGGGCGGGTAGAGGGTCAAGGCCCTAAACAGCTGGTGACTGAATTTAGAGCAGTGGCACCCACCTGAAGTGATATCTGAGTGATTTTCCACTCTGTCAACCCACAATGGTTTGCCATTTGTTCTCTAGGTGAACAGGACACGGGCTGTCTCTCTTTAGACCCAGATGCAAACAGATCTGCCTGATATGCCACTTTGTCACAGCTCATGAATGAACTGTGAATCTACCATGTTCCAATTCTCTGTTGGGCAAATGGTGGCTTAACCTTCGCAGCCTGATGAGGCCTCCATGGGGACTGGGGGGTGGTCAGGCTGGGGGTGACTCACCAGAGAGCTTGACCACGACTGAGGCAGATCCAGATAGCAGGGTCTTGGTGTTCTTCGCAATACATGTGTACGTCCCCTCCTGGGCGGCTGTCATGCTGCTGATGTTGAGGTGGTCTTGGCCGTTCTTTAGGGCCTGCCCGTTGAAGGTCCACACATACTCGGGCTCTGGGCAGGACCTGGACACGCACCACAGGGTGAGGGACGTGTTGAAGTCAACTTTGATGGTGCAGCCTGTGCGGGTGGTGGAATCCTGGAGGATGGCCACACGCTCTGGGCCAACTGTGGGGGCAGGAGGGAGATAGATGGGGCAGTAGAGGGAAGGAGGAGTGGAGGTTGGTACCCCTGGTTTTCTCTCCACCAAGCTAGGTCCCTGGGAATATCTTGGCCTAGTGGAGGGGAAAAAAAGCTCTGGCCTTAACTCTAACTTGTTCTAGGATCTTGAGAATCACTCCCTCTAAGAGGATCTCACCTTTCTCTCCTGTAAAAAGAATGTGTTGGGCAAGATAATATTTCAAGGTATTTTTGAAATCTATGGCTCCATTGACAAATAAAAAAAGCCTAAATGATTTTTTTTTTCTGACAAAGCCATTCTAAGAGTGTAGAATTCTAGGGCTTCAAGAATTGGTGCTTCTAGGTTCTAAGGTTCTAAGCTTCTAGAAATCTATGTTTCTAAGATTCTAGACTAAGATTTCAGGGTTAGATTCTAAGATTCTAAGAATCTCTGCGTCTAGAGGTTCTAAGATTCTCAGAGTCTGGAATTCAGTGCTTCTGAAGTCTGGAATTCTCTGGTTGTAAGATTCTAGGATTGTAGGCACTAAGTTTTTCTACATCATGGGTCCTCATGTACCTTGGTGATTTATTTTCCCAGGATTCCACACTGCACATCTGCTGCTCCTGGGAACGACTGCATGCTTTGGTTATGTTGTTAAATTTTGTGTCCCCTCCCATTACACTATTCCCTCCCCTGCTCCCTTTTCAAACCAACTGGCCCTGTTTCCTTTCTCTGTAGATATTGCTCCTAACTGAAGGATTATTCAATAGTAAAGGTGGTCTGTAGAAGTCCTTTAGGATATGGGGCAAGTGTATTTTTTTTGTTTGTTGTTGTTGTTTTTTTTTGTTTGTTTGTTTTTTGAGACAGCATCTTGCTCTGTCGCCCAGGCTGGAGTGCAGTGGTGCAATCATAGCTTACTGCACCTGCAACCTCGGCCTCCGGGGCTCAAGGAATCCTCCCATCTCAGCCTCCTGAGTGGCTGGGACTACAGGCATGTGCCACCATGCCTGGCTAATTTTTATGTTTTTTGGTAGAGATGAGGTCTTGCCATGTTGCCCAGGCTGGTCTCAAACTTCTGGGTTCAGGTGATCCTCCCGCCTAGGCCCCCCAGAGTGCTGGGATTACAGGCGTGAGCCACTGCACCTGGCGAGGGCAAGTGCACTTTAAGAGGGGTCCCTGGTCCCCAATCCCAGCTTGCCTGCTGACTCGCTGTGTGCCCTTAGGCCCCCTCTCCTGGCCTCAGTTTCCCCATCCATGAGGTTTGGACACTGGGTATCTCCAGTGGGGCCAGGAGGACTCACAGTACACGGTCAGGTTGATGGGCTCGCTGCGGCTGACACTGACCGGGTTCCACACCTCACACTGATAGGCGCCGGCCTCCTCCCGGCGGATGCCATGCCTGGCCAGCACCCGGCCGTCAGGGGACAGGCCCAGGCGGAGAGCGACGGGCAGGGCCCCACCGTTGAAGAACCAGCGGACCTCGGCGGTGGGGCTGGGGCTGCTGCACATAAGGCGCAGGGTGTCTCGACGTTCCACCAGCGCTGTGCTGTTGGCCAAGACTGTGGGCTGGGCCAGGATCTCTGTGGGGGCAAGAGACAGAGGGGGAGGGGGCCGGACACCACCTGCTCTGAGGGCCTTCCCTTCCCCCAACAAGGGGCATGGCCGGATTGTGGCTGGGCCCCCACACCCTCAGCCGGAGGGACAAAGAATGGTTTTAGGAGGCAGGTCTAATCCTGGAGGCCATCTTGAAGGAGGTGAGCATTTTGAGGTTATTTTAGAAACTTATTCCCTGATGGTTTCCCTGATGATTTGTTGGATTTTTTTTTTTTTTAAAAAAAAGAAGGATTGAGAAGGAGATGGGAAGGCCCAGCTGGGGCAGAGGCGGGTGTTGGGGGGTGTCTCACCATGGACCTGCACGTGTCCGTAGCCCACCTCGGTCTGCAACTGCCTGTTGAAGGTCTGCAGGATGTAGGTGCCTGAGTGCCGGGGCAGGATGCCCTGGATGTCCAGGCTGCCATCGGGGCGCACAGCCTCCCGCCCCGTGTGGGCCGGGCCAGGAGTCTCATCGCCTGTGCTCACGATGTAGCTGGCCACCAGGTATGACACGCTGAGTGTGGGCCCCGCATACCAGCTGTAGGCGAGCAGTTCCCCCGAAAGCCCATGGACGACCAGCGTGACGTTGTCCCCTTCGCTCGGCTGGGCAGGCTCCAGGGTGATAGAGATCTCGGCCCCCACATTCAGGAATGTGGCTGAGGAAGAGGAGTCAGAGGGGTTGGATGAGGCAGGTTTGATCAATCGCCCCATTTGACAGAAGAAGAGACTCAGGCTCGGGGCATGTCCCCAGCCCAGTGTCCTCTGTGTAAATGAGGACAGGCAAAACCAGGATTTGAACCTGCAACTCTGACTCTCAACATCTCAGCCACCTAATCTTTCTGGGAGTTTATCTGCATGGCTTCGAGTACACTGTCTTTCTCTGTGTTTCTGTTCTTCCAACTCTCACATGGGGATGACAGGTCTACCTGCCTGGTAAGGTTGTAAGGATTCTGTATACATACCATGCTTACAATGCCTGGTATACAGTAAGTGCCCAATACATGTTAGTCAGATGCAGGAGCTCAGTCCCAGGGAGGGACTCAGTCCGAGGGAGGGAGGCGTGTGTTGTGAGGATTGGGTCTGATGGACTGTGCCAAGGATCTAGCATCACATCTTGCATACAGCAAGTGCAAAGCAAGTGCTCGGCCCACAGGACCTGCGGCTTTAAGCCGGACCCAAAGGGTTTTCCCATCGTGACAGTCACCAAACTAAGTCTCGCGAGATCCGGCTGCGTATCCAGCCCAGCTAATTGTATGGCCCCACGTAGGATGTCAGGGCCTGCCCCCTGGGTCCTGACTCCCAGTCTGGGGCTCTGCCTCTGCCTCTCCAAGCTCGCCTACAGCGGAAAGCAGGGGTAAGATGAACACACTCCACCCCTTTCCTTCTCAACCAAGCAGATCAGCCCCAAGCCCGATGAGCTGGTCGGGGCTGCTTGGGTTTGAATGACGTGTGGTTTGAATGCCCGGAACGGGCGGCTGTGACAGTGCTCACGTCAAAAGGACTGACATGGCTGGCCAGCTTTCTGGTACTTTCCAGGCTGTTAGAGTGTGGCTAGGAGTGAGGGTCTCTGGGTCTAGCCCTCAGTCCTGCCACTCTCTGGCCGTGTGACAGCGGCCAATGGTTTCACCTTTCTGAGCCTCGTTTTCTCCCTATGAAGTGCGGTTCATGTGTGGGCCTCCCTCATAGGTGGTTTGGGGTTGTTTTTTTTTTTTGAGATGGAGTCTTGCTTTGTTGCCCAGGCTGGAGTGCAGTGGTGCAGTCTCGGCACACTGTGACCTCCACCTCCTGGATTCAAGTGATTCTCCTGCCTCAGCCTCCCGAGCAGCTGGGACTACAGGCATGTGCCACCACACCTAGCTAATTTTTTGTATTTTAGTAGAGATGGGGTTTTACTATGTTAACCAGGCTGGTCTTGAACTCCTGACCTCAGGTGATCCGCCCGCCTCGGCCTCCCAAAGTGCTGGGATTAGTGGTGTGAGCCACCTTGCCCGGCCCCTCATAGGTGGTTTTAAACCATGAGAAGCTCTCAGAACAGCTCCGGGCACACGGCATATGTGGTGCTGCTTATAATGACCTTTACATGACCCTGTCAGTGAGGCCCCATTCACAGGTGGGTACACAGAGGCTGAGAAGGGAAAGGCAACTGCCCTAAGCTACATCTTCCGGGAGAAACAGCTGCTGGGAAGAGTTTAGCCTCATCAAGGCTTCCATAGCTGATAAAACAGAAACCTGCAGGAATGAAGGAGCAACAGCGGCTCCCTTGTCCTGGCTTGTGCCCTGGGCTTAGAAATCTCCAAAGCCCACCCTGAAAACCTCTCTGGGTGGCTGTCCCCAGCCTGCCCAATGCAGATGCCTCTTGGAGGGGTAAACTGCCGGTGTGAAGCAGGGCTGCCCTCCCTCCCTAGCACGCTGGACTTCTGCTCACACCTTCCCTCTCTCAGACTGGGGGTCCCCTCCCCTCCCTGGGGTCCTCGGGGGGCTGAGGTGCTGGGGGGTGCCATTCTCGCTCACCACTGAGGAGCAGCCAGCTGTACCCAGTCAGCGCCATCTTTCACCCCAAACCGAGTCTTGGAGATGGTGGCGTTGAAGTCCCAGTGCTCGGACTCCCTTCCTGGTTGGGGCTCGGCTCCGTCTGCCGCAGGACCTGGGAGGGTTTGGTGATTTGGAGCCAGGGGAGATCACCTGAATTTGGAGGGATCGAGTCACCAAGGATCTGGGGCCCGGTTTGGGTACCAGGGTGGGTGTGGCGGGCACCGGCCAGAGGCCGTGACCTGGGCAGGCCTCCTGGGGCAGCCGCCTAACCCTCTTTGTGCCGAGGGCCTGGATTTGGTACTGGGAGAGGAACCAGGTCACCGAGGAGAAGAGAGGAAAAGTAGGGGAAGGTTTTCGGGTAGTTCTTACCAACCACCCAGGCCCGTGGCCTCCTCAGAGAGCCTGGGAGTCACCAAGGAAGAAAATCAGTAAAAGGTGACTGCACCTTTCCCAGCCCCACCCAGTGCAGGGGACCTACAGGTGTTGTCTCAGCGGATGGCAAAACAACCCTGTAAAGTGGGCACCTTTAGGACCCCCCTTTGCAGATGGAGATGAGCTAGGTGGGGACTCCCACTTGTCCGGGTTCCTGCAGGGAGAGGGGATTTGAGCCCTGCTCTGTGTGCAAACCCAGACAGAAGGGCAGGAAACTGTATGGCCACATGCTTTCTTTGGGGCTCTCCTTCTTGTTGGCTTCCTGCAAAGTGCTCAGAAGTTCACATTCTCTTTCTCCCACTTCGGAGGCCTTGTTTTCCCCTCTCTGTCAAATGGGCGTATTCGGAGGCTTTGGGGCCAAGGAGAGCTGAGTTTTGACACCAGCTCTGCACTTACCCAAAGTGGGGCTGGGGACAGTCCCTTGTTGAGTCTCCATTTATTATTCTGATAAATAGAGATGATGGCCGGGTGCACTGGCTCATGCCTGTCATCCCAGCACTTCGGGAGGCCAAGGCAGGCGGATCATTTGAGGTCAGGAGTTCGAGATCAGCCTGGCCAACATGGCGAAACCCCATCTCTACTAAAAATAATAATAATAAAAATAGCCAGGCGTGGTGGCAGGTGCCTGTAGTCCCAGCACTTTGGGAGGCTGAGATGGGCAGATCACCTGAGGTGAGGAGTTTGCAACCAGCCTGACCAACATGGCGAAACCCCGTCTCTATTAAAAATATAAGTTAGCTGGGTGTGGTGGCTAACGCCTGTAATCCCAACACTTTGGGAGGCCAAGGCAGGTGGCTCACGAGGTCAGGAGTTCGAGACCAGCCTGGCCAATATGGTGAAACCTCGTATGTACTAAAAATATAAAAAATTAGCTGGGTGTGGTGGTGTGCACCTGTAGTCCCAGCTACTCGAGAGGCTGAGGCAGGAGAATCTCTTGAACCCAGGAGGTGGAGGTTGCAGCGAGCTGAGATCACACCACTGCACTCCAGCCTGGGTGACAGAGTGAGACTCTATCTCAAAAAACAAAAGCAAAAACAAAAAATAAAAGTTAGCCGGTCATGGTGGCACATGCCTGTAATCCCAGCTACTAGGGAGGCTGAGGTAGGAGAATCGCTTGAATCCAGGAGGTAGAGGTTGCAGTGAGCCGAGATCCTGCCACTGCACTCCAGCCTGGGTGACAGAGCAAGACTCCATTTCAAAAACAAACAAAAAAATAGAGATGATATGGACCCTACTTCAGGTTTGTTGACAGCAGTTAGTGAGAGGCTACAAGTCAGGGATTTAAGCCAGAGCCTGGTGGACGTGGGTCTGATTGGTATGCCTGTTATTAAAAGTATAGGCTCTGGCCGGGCGTGGTGGCTCATGGCCGGACGCAGTGGCTCATGCCTGTAGTCCTAGCACTTTGGGAGGCCGAGGTGGGTGGATCAACTGAGGTCAGGAGTTCAAGACCAGCCTGGCCAGCATGGTGAAACCCTGTCTCTACTAAAAATACAAAAATTAGCTGGGTGTGGTCGCGGGCACCTGTAATCCCAGCTACTTGGGAGGCTGAAGCAGGAGAATTGCTTGAACCCTGGGCAAAAGAGTGAAACTCCATCTCAAAAAAAAAAAAGTATAGGCTCTGGACATAGTTCCACTGTTTCCTACCTCCAGGACCCTGGGCAATTTATGGACTCTGCCAAGCCTCAGTTTCCTTATTTGTAAAATAGGGAAAACAATAGTACTCACATCACAGGGCTGTTGAAAGGATTAAGTAGATACACATGTGAAGTACAGTACTTACCACGACTGGCGCAGAGTAAATGCTCAGTAAATCACTCATTCACTTATTGGACAAATACTGAATGAGCACCTATTGTTTGCCAGGTGCTGTTCTAGGCGCTGAGGATGCAGCCGTGCACAAGACGGATGAAATCCCTGCCCTCAGGGGGCCGACATTTGCGGAGTAAATAAAGGAAAGGTAAATATCTTCCACGTCAGATTGAAAAATAAAGTCAGAAAGGGGATTTGCCATTTTATTTTTTGTAGAGATGGGATCTCGCTATGTTGCTCTGCCTGGTCTCAAACTCTTGGCCTCAAGTGATCTTCCCACCTTGGCCTCCCAAAGTGCTGGGATTACAGCCATGAGCCACTGCCCCTGGCCTGGTTTGCTACTTTAAATTGGGGTGGAGGGAGGGTAACAGGGAAGGTGTCTCTGAGATGATGCTGGGCAGGAGCCGAGGGGGTTGTGGTGCCAGAGCTGCTGATAGCTGTGTTCTTATGACCTGCATCCTGATGGCTTCTGAGTCCTGGTTCCTCTGAGGCCTCTGCAGCCTGCTTCCGGGCAGGGGGCCACACCTGTGCTCACCTGTCCTGGTTTGCCTCCAGCACTGTGTCCTGGGCTGCCCTCGTGGGGCAGGGCTCTAACAAGGGGGAGAAGGCCCTGAGGAGGTGCGGGTGAGGCCAGGTGAGAGGCACAGAGGATGTCCTGGCGCCTCCTGCTCCCCTCTCCCCACCTGTGACCTCACCTCACTCTTCTGCGTCCTGGCCCAGAGCACTGGGACCTCATCCCAGTATCAATCAGGATGCCTCCCTGATGTCCCTGGGCACCTCTCACTCACCTTGTCCCAAACTGACCTTGGCATCTTCCCCCAGAAGTGTATCTTCCCCTGGTGCCCTTATCAGGGAAGGCGCCACTACCCACCTCATCGCTGGGAAAAGAGACCTGGGGCCTCATCCCTGATGCCTCCCCCTACTCCCCGAACACGCCACCCCTTCTGGCAACTGACTCTACGTATATCTTCTCTCCCTCCCTGAAGCCCCTGCCCTGGTCTAGGTGACCACTCCACCACCCCACCTTGCCTGGGTCCTCCTGTCTCCCCACCAGCCTCCTCCCTAGTCTCTGGCCCTGGTCTCCCCGACTCCCATTGCCCCTCCACATGGCAGACAGAGGCTCTTTCCAAAACAAAAACCTGCCTCTGCCCCTCCGTGCTCAGAACCTGCTGTGGCTCCCCAGTGCCCTTGGGAGGAAGCCCAGGTTCCTCACTGTAGCCCAGGAGGCCCTGCCCGGCCTGACTCCTGCCCACCTGACCAGCTACATAGAATACCACTTGCTTCCGGGAACCCTCTGCTTCAGTTCTTCTGTTTCACTTGCACTCTACCCAGAATATCCCTGCTTCCCTCTGCTCTATTCCACTGCCTTCCCCAAACCCTCTCCTCCAGGAAGCCCTCCTGGACTTCAGGGCCTGGAATTCCCTGTCTCAGCCCTGACTGCCTTGGGTTCTCGCTGTCTGGGGCTGGGTCTTTTTCCCCCACTGGCCTGGGAGCCTCAGCTGGGCACGGCTGGGCTGTCACCACTGTGTCCCCAGCACTGCCCAGCAAATCACCTGGCACAGAGCAGAGGCTCACAGCATGTTTGTGGAACTGGACACCAGGTGTGGATGACACAGAGAGAGGAGTCTTCAGAGAGGCTCAGGTTCCTGGTGATCTGCTGTCTGCCTGCGGAGTGTGACCAGGCCGGGCTCTAGAGGCCCTCTATCGTCACATCCACCCTTCCTAGTCTGCCCCCATCCTCCACCTCCCTGGCCCCTCCTCTGGTGCTCCCGGCTGTGAGCCCAGATCCTTGGTTCAGTCAAGAGCTGCAGGCTCTTTAGCACCTGCTGTGCGCCGCCGGGCTGCGCAGAAAGCAGACGGGGTTCTTGTGGGCAGGGGCTTTTTCCTGTTTGTGCAGTGGGTGGGGGGTGTTCATGACATTGACTTCCCTGGGACTCTTCTGAGGATCAAAATAGGCACATGGAGTGTTCCGTGCCGGGCCTGCCTCAGAGCACGTACTGGGGGCACAGTGGTCGTTGTTCCTCCACCATTTGACAAATGTTTATGGAGCACCAACTATGTGCCGGGCACTGCGCTAGGCGCTGTGGGGTTACAGCCGTGAATACGGTAGACACAGAGCTGACCTATTGATTGGGGAGACAGTTAATAGACGAATACAAACATGAGCAGTGTTAGAACAGGTGGGGACAATGCTGTGGAGAAAAATAAAGCAGGGGAAGGGATGGAGGTGGTCGGGGCACTGGTTTATGCAGGGCAGCAAGGCGACATTGTCAGAGCGACATTGGAGTAGAGGTTCAATAAGGGGGGCCGGGCGCGGTGGCTCACACCTGTAATCCCAGCATTTTGGGAGGCTGAGGCGGGAGGATGGCTTGAGCCCAGGAGTTCGAGACCAGCCTGGGCAGCGTAGAGCACGTCTCTACAAAAAAATTTAAAAATGAGCCAGGAGTGGTGTTGCACGCCTGTAGTCCCAGCTATTTGGCAGGCTGAGGTAGGAGGATCGCCTGAGCCCAGGAGGTTGAGTCTGCAGTGAGCTGTGATCTCACCACTGCACTCCAGCCTGGGCGACAGAGCAAGACCTTGTTGTCTCATTAAGAAAAAAAAAAAAAAAAAAGAGCGCATGCATACACAATAATGTAAAACAGATAATCAGTTTTTTATATTGATTCTGTGCTGAAATGACATTTTGCATATGTTGTGTTAAATACATTCGTTTCACCTTTCTTCATGAGATGAGGCTGGAAAAGGTTGAATTGTGTTTGCGGCTCCACTCTTGCTCCTGTTGGGTAGTGCTGGACCAGGCAGGAGGTAGTGGCGGCTGAACCAGGGATGGGAGAAGTGGTCAGCTTGTAGATGTATTCTGCTGATATCATTCTTCTTCTTCTTCTTCTTCTTCTTCTTTTTTAAATGGAGTCTTGATCTGTCATCCAGGCTGGAGTGCAGTGGTGCGATCTTGGCTCACTGCAACCTCCACCTCCCAAGTTCAAGCGATTCTCTCACCTCAGCCTCCCGAGTAGCTGGGATTACAAGCATGCGCCACCATGCCTGGCTAATTTTAATATTTTTAGTACAGACAGGGTTTTGACATGTTGGCCAGGCTGGTCTCAAACTCCTAACCTCAAGTGATCCACCTGCCTTGGCCTCTCAAAGTGCTGGGATTACAGGTGTGAGCCACCGTGCCTGGCCCATTATTCTTTTTGACAGCTTCAGCTTTTCCTGTTATCCATCTCCCCGCTGCCCACCCCCAAGAAAACCCATTTTGCAGACAAGTAAACTGAGGCCCCGGGCCATTGCCTCATAAGATTGGAGCAGATGAGTCTTATCTTCTCTGCACAGCCATCTGGGGACACGGGTCTATGACCTTGTTTGGTCAGGGTCACCCCTTGCCCGCCCAGCCCTCTTGTCTCACCAGTCACTTAGTTTCCTTGGGAGCGGGAGGGAGGCTGGGAACTCCTTTATCTGCTCTTCAAGACCCTGCCCACCACTGACATCATCAATATATATTAGATGTAAACGTCAGACTTGGGCCTCCGTGGCAGAATCCTTGTCCTGTCCTCTCTGGGCAGGGGTGGGGAGGCCTTGAGACTGAGGGTTTGGCTGGAGCTAATGTCTTAGGCTGAAGCAGGTTTCCAAACCCCTTTCAACCTCCCCTTATCTTGGGCGAGGCAGAGGGGGCCGTCATATTTGCTCAGGGTGTGGCTTCCTGTGCCGGCCTGTCAAGGCCTGGAGTTGGCTCTGGCTGGGCCTGGAGAGGTTGTTCTTGGGGAGAAAGGACCAAATGTCCCCTTAATTCCTGACCCTAGAAAGAACACCCAGGTGGCCAGGCGTGGTGGCTCACGCCTATAATCCCAGCACTTTGGGAGGCCGAGGCGGGTGGATCACCTGAGGTCGGGAGTTCGAGACCAGCCTGACCGACATGGAGAAACCCCACCTCTACTAAAAAAAATACAAAATTAGCCCGGTGTGGTGGTGGGCACCTGTAATCCCAGACACTTAGGAGGCTGAGGCAGGAGAATCACTTAAGCCCGGAAGTCAGAGGTTGCTGTGAGCCGAGATCACACCACTGCACTCCAGCCTGGGTGACAGAGTGAGACTCTGTCTCAGAAAAAAAAAGCACCTAGGCTTCCATGCAGGAGAGGAGGCAGGTGGATCGGAGAAGCTCCAGACCTTTCCATAGGCTGTTCCCTGTGCTTGGATACCCGTCCCCACCCTCCTCACCTCATTCATCTGGGTTTTTCCAAGCCATTCAATCATTTAACAAATATTTGTCAAGCATGGACTATGTACCAGGCTGTTTGCACAGAGACATCCTTTCCTTTGTTGGGCTAAATCCTATTGGAGGGAGATGGGCAATAATAATAATAAAAAAAACCTGATATGGCATTTAATGTCAGGCAGAGATAAAAGCTATAAAAAGTAAAATAGGTCAGGTGCAGGGGCTCACGCCTGTAATCCCAGCACTTTGGGAGGCCAAGGTGGGTGGATCGCTTAGGCCAGGCGTTTGAGACCAGCCTGGGCACCACAGTGAGATCCTATCTCTACAAAAAAGTACAATAATTAGCCAGGCGTGGTGGTGGTGTGCACCAGTAATTCCAGCTACTTGGGAGGCTAAGGTGGGAGAATTGCTTGAGCCTAAGAGGTGGAGATTGCAGTGAACTGAGATTGCACCACTGCATTCCAGCCTGGGCAACAGTGTGAGATTGTGTCTCAAAATAAATAAAATTAAATAAAATAGGGCAAGTGGATAGAGAGGAGCAGGGGTTGCTGTTTTAGTTTGGGAGGTGGTGGTGGTGGCGCTTTTTCTGGCCTGAAGGAGGCGACAGAGGAGGGAGCCTGTGGGTGTGTGGGAGGAGAGTGTTTTTGGTAGAAGGTACAACAAGTGAATTCAAGGCCCTGGGGCAGGAGGGGCTTTGATGAGCATAAGGACAGCAGGGAGCCTGGTGTGACTGGAGCTGAGTGAGGGGCAGGGGAAAGTGGGAGAAGGTGGTCAGAGGGGGACTAGCCACCTAGAGCTTTTCTGGAAGGTGCTGGAGGGGAGGAAGTGAAGGGCAGAGTTAGGGGGATGGAGGCCAGCAGAGAGTGCCAGGGTTCTCTTGGGACCCTAAAGGGACCTGGTTAGGGGTTCCTTCCTCTCTCTGCACCTCATTTTTCCCTTCAGGAAAGTGGGAAGGGGTTGGACTTGGATTTAGAATTATGGTTAGGCCTGGGTTGGGCATGGTGCCTCACTCCTGTAACCCCAGCATTTTGGGAGGCTGAGGTGTGAGGATTGCTTGAGCCCAGGAGTTTCAGACCAGCCAGGGCAACATAGTGAGTCCCATCTCTACTAAAAATAAAATAAAAAGAAAGGCTGGGCACAGTGGCTCACACCTATAATCCCAGCACTTTGGGAGGCTGAGGCGGGCAGATCATCTGAGGTCGGGAGTTCGAGACCAGCCTGACCAACATGGAGAAACCCCGTCTCTACTAAAAATACAAAATTAGCTGGGCATGGTGGCGCATGCCTGTAATCCCAGCGACTGGGGAGGCTGAGGCAGGAGAATCGCTTGAACCCAGGAGGCAGAGGTTGCAGTGAGCCAAGATCCCGCCATTGCACTCCAGCCTGGGCAACAAGAGTGAAACTTCATCTCAAAAAAAAAAAAAAAAAAATTAGCCAGGTATGGTGGCACATGCCTGTAATTCCAGCTACTCTGGAGGCTGAGGCAGGAGGATCACTTGAGCCCAGGAGATGGAAGCTGCAGTAAGTTGTGATCACGCTACTGCACTCCAGCCTGGGGGACAGAGTGAGACTCTGTCTCAAAAAAAAAAACAAAAAAACAAAAGTTGTAGAATTCTTTTCTCATTCCTTTAGAATGGTTAAAACAATTTTTTTTTTCTTTTTTGAGATGGAGTCTCGCTCTGTTGCCCAGGCTGGAGTGCAGTGGCACGACCTCAGCTCACTGCAACCTCTGCCTCCCGGGTTCAAGCGATTCTCCTGCCTCAGCTTCTCGAGTGGCTGGGATTACAGGCGCATGCCACTATACTCGGGTAATTTTTATGTGTTTTCAATAGAGATGGGGTTTCACCAGGTTGCCCAGGCTGGTCTCGAACTCCTGCCCTCAAGTGATCTGCCTGCCTCTGCCTCCCAAAGTGCTGGGATTATAGGCGTGAGCCACCGCGCGAGGCCAATGGTCAAAACAATTTAAAAACCACTTTTTATTATGGGAAATTCTACGCACCCATCGAAAGCAGAGAGAAGAATGGTGTCTGCCCTCGCAACCACATACCCATCACTCAGCTCATAGGCAATCTGGTTCCCTCTCCTCACCCACGGCCCTCTCCTGTATTATTTGAAAGCAAATCCCAGCCATCAGATCATTTTATAGCTATTTCTGCCTGTATCTTTAAAAGATAAGGACTCATTTAAAAATAACACACTCACAATGCTATCATTTCACCTAAACAGTGAACATAAAAATCAACAATTCCTTAATATCTTCAAATGCTCAGTGTTCGAGTTTTCTGTTGTTCAGCAAAGCCATGATTTCTTGAATAATATCATAATTCCTTTTGGGCAGCCATCACTCAAATCTAATTTTAGAACACTTTTATCACCCTGGGAAAATTCCCTTCTGCCAGGATCGAAAAGTGGTTCAATATTTTGAAATTTCTGCCTCAGCAGTGAAGTGCTTTCTTCTGACGGAAACTTACCTGGAACCCCAGTGTGTTCAACATGTAAACAACACCTCAACCCACACCTGTCCAACCCCCCAACCGCCCCCCCGGTACAGGATCCCCATCCAGGGCTGTAGGCAGACCCGGGGGGTGGGAGAGTTGGTGGACAGTGGCTGTGTATACCTCTAGTGGTCTATCTACATCCATTGACCCTGAGACCCTAGGAACCCGCACAAAACCTTTTTGCACACAGAGTTGAATCGGGAGGGCAGGGTTTTCCCCGTGAATCATAGTGACTCTTGGTCATGGCCCAGCCCACTTCCTTCCCTGCCACCAACTTACTCATTTGTAAAGCAAGGAGCCACAGCCCTGAGAATCTAGGGTGTACCAGGGCTCGTGGGAAGAGGAGGTGGCAGAGGGAAGCAGTGTGCCCTGGTGGGCAGAACTTGGGTGGAGAGAGCCTGGGAGCCGGGGATGGGCGTGGGGGGCGTCTTAGTTCCCGTCAAGGACACTGGTCTCAAGCTAATTAGGCCAAACATAAACACGGTGCCTGAAATTCCACCATCAGCGAGACCTCCTTTGGGTTAAGCATCACTCTCTCCCCTGTGCCCTTTGTAGAGGGCAGACACCTCTGCCTGGACACACAGACCCCACTTGAATGGGCATGGATTGCATCTTGGTTCACCTTCCTTTCAGGCTGGGATGAGCAGAAGACAAATTTTCGGTGTTAGAAACTTTGGTTTTGTTCTCAGCTTGTCCACTGATACCCTGGGTGACCTCACCTTTTTTTTTTTTTTTTTGAGACAGAGTCTCGCTCTGTCGCCCAGGCTGGAGTGTGGTGGCACAATCACAGCTCACCGCAGCCTTGACCTCTTGGGGTTAAGCAGTCCTTCCACCCCAGTCTCCCAGGTAGCTGGGACCACAGGCACACACCACCACGCCTGGCTAATTTTTAAATATTTTTGGCCCAGTGCGGTAATTCACGCCAGTAATCCCAGCACTTTGAGAGGCCGAGGTGGGTGGATCACTTGAGGTCAGGAGTTCAAGACCAGCGTGGCCAACGTGGTAAAACCCCCGTCTCTACTAAAAATACAAAAATAAGCCAGAAATCGCTTGAACCCAGGAGGCAAAGGTTGCAGTGAGCCGAGATCGTGCCACCGCACTCCAGCCTGGGTGACAGGGAGAGGCTCCATCTCAAAATAAATAAATAAATAAATAAATGAAAGTAAATAAATAAATTTTTTTGTGTGTGCAGACTGGGTCTCGCTGTTACCCAGGCTCATCTTGGACTTCTGAGCTCAAGCGGTCCTTCTGCCTTTGCCTCCTAAAGTCCTGGGATTAAAAGCATAAGCCACTTTGCCTGGTCAGCTTCACTTACTTAACCTCAGTTTCCTCATCTGTAAAATGGGGATAATCACAGTACTAGGTTGGTGCAAAAGTAATTGTGGCTTTTGCCATTACTTTTTTTTTTTTTTTTGAGACGGAGTCTTGCTCTGTCCCACAGGCTGGAGGGCAGTGGCACAATATCGGCTCACTGCAACCTCTGCCTCCCTGGTTCAAGCGATTCTTCTGCCTCAGGCTCCTGAGTAGCTAGGATTACAGGCGCCTGCCACCACACCCAGCTAATTTTTTGTATTTTTAGTAGAGATGGGTTTCACCATGTTGGCCAGGCTGATCTCAAACTCCTGACCTTGTGATTTGCCCGCCTCGGTCTCCCAAAGTGCTGAGATTACAGGAGTGAGCCATTGCGCCCAGCCAATTTGCCATTACTTTTTTTTTTGAGACAGAGTTTCACTCTTGTTGCCCAGGCTGGAGTGCAATGGCGCGATCTTAGCTCACCGCAACCTCCGCCTCCTGGGTTCAAGCGATTTTCTTGCGTCAGCCTCCCAAGTAGCTGGGATTACAGGCATGCACCACCATGCCCAGCTAATTTTTAGTAGAGACAGGGTTTCTCCATCTTGGTTAGGCTGGTCTCGAACTCCTGACCTCAGGTGATCTGCCCGCCTCGGCCTCCCAAAGTGCTGGGATTACAGGAGTGAGCCACTGCGCCTGGCTTTGCCATTACTTTCAATGGTATAACTTCACTCACAGAACCGTTGTGAGGATATCAGTGAATAAATGTAAAGCCCTTAGCATAGTGCATGGCGTATAATAAGTGCTCGGTAATGTTTATTATTAATTATTATTATTACATTGAGTTCCAGGTCATCTCCCCTACTAGACCTCAAGCTCCCTGAGAGTAGGAGCTGGGCTGGTTTATCTTCACCTCTCTCATGCCAGTCAAGTTCATGTAACAGAGTTTGGTGATAGTAGTTGCTCAACAGACGTTTGTCAATGAATGAATGGGGACTGCTAGGTTGGGAAAGGGAAGGATGTGTATAATGAGCATCCACACTCCTTGGGCCTCTGCCTTGTGCTGGTCAGTGCTGGGAGCCCCTCAGTGATGGAGATAGCAATTGTGCTTATAGGGCTCATAGTTCAGCGGGACAGACCCATCCCCAGGCAGTGATGGCCCAGACTGGGCGGGGCTGGGGTAGGTGAGCTCACAGGAGAGATCTGACCCAGCTTGGAGGTCAAGGAGGGCTTCCTGGAGGAGGAGGTGTATGAGTTGAGACTTGGAGGGTGAATGGGGTGGGCAGGAAGAGTGGAGCTGTGTGCCTGGGGGTGTGCAAGGGCCTGGAAGTGAGATGGAACACAGTGTGTGGGGAAACAGAAAGAAGTTAAATCTGGGGGACTGTAGACCAGGGGTGAAGGTGAGAGGGCGGTGGGTGCTGAGAGATGAGACTGAGCGTCCCCTGGACTTTGCAGGCGTTGGAGGCAGTGGTGAGGAGCTTGGACTCTAAGGCACTGGGGAGCCATGGATGGTTTTGAGCAGGAAGGGGCTAGGTTGAGTTTGGGCTTTAGAAAGATCCCTTGGGCTGCTCTGTGGTAGGAGAATGGGAGTGGGGAGGAGTCCAGGCGGGAGGCTGGGGCAGGGAGGGGAGAGAAGCTGCCTGGCCCAGGGCTGGGCTGCAGGTACTGGGGAAGGCCAAGTTCAAGAGGCCTGGAGGGCAGGGCCTGGTGCCTGCCGTGAGAGTGGGGAGGGAGGTGTCCAGGTTTGGGGTTGGAGAGCTGGATAGACTCTCTGGGTTCCCAGAGGGGTAAAGAAAGGGGCAGAGACGGGGTGGGCGCATGGGGGGGCTCAAGGTAGCTGCAGCGCTTGTGCATGATCTGTGTGGTGCTCTGCTGCCCCCTGCTGGCTCAGGGCTGACCCTCTCTTGCAGCAAGTCTGGCAATAGTGACGACCCAATAAGCACAAACCCCAAACAGTGAAAGAAGGTGACATTTCTGGAGTGACAATGAATCAGGTGCTACAAGATGCACTTATGTTCACTGTCCCCACTCACACACCCCGACCCCGGTCTCCAGCTATCCCCTCCTGCCGACTCAGTACTGACCTCTCAAACCCGCCTGCTTTCTCTCCCCACTCCCTCGCTCCCTCTTTTCCTCCCCGCTTGCTTTCTCTCTTTCTTTTTTTTCTCTTTCTTTTCTTTCTCCACCTCTTCCCCCCCACACTCCTCCTCCCTCCCCCACCCCATTTCTCTCTTTCTTTTAAAAAATATTTTGCGAATCTGGCAGCCTCTGAACCAGAATAGGTTCAGAAAGGCTCCACCCTTTCTTCTTTTTTAAACGGTTTTGCGGTGTAATTCACATACCACACAATTCATCCATGTAAAGTATACAATGCGGGCTGAGTGCCATGGCTCACACCTGTAATCCCAGCACTTTGGGAGGCCAAGGCAGGCAGATCACTTGAGGTCAGGAGTTCGAGACCAGCCTGGACAATACAGTGAAACCCCGTCTCTGCCAAATACAAAAATTAGCCGGGCGTGGTGGTGCACGCCTGTAATCCTAGCTACTCAGGAGTCTGAGGAAGGAGGATCACTTGAGCCCAGGAGGTTGAGGCTGCAATGAGCCCAGATCGTAACCACTGCACTCCAGCCTGGGCGAGAGAGCAAGACCCCGTCTCTTAAAATGAAAACAAAACCAAAATAAAGTGTACAATTCAATAGCTTTTAGTAAATTCACAGAGTTGTGCAGCCATCGTTACAATCAATTTGAGAACATGGCTAGATGCCGTGGCTCATGCCTGTAATCCCAGCATTTTGGGAGGCTGAGGTGGGCGGATTGCCTGAGCTCAGGAGTTCGAGACCAGCCTGGCCAACATGGTGAAACCCTGTCTCTACTAAAAATACAAAAATTAGCCAGGTGTGGTGGCATACACCTGTGATGTCAGCTACTCGGGAGGCTGAGGCAGGAGAATCGCTTGAACCCGGGAGGCGGAGGTTGCAGTGAGCCGAGATCATGCCAGCCTGGGTGAAAGAGCAAGACTCCATCTCAAAAAACAAAACAAAACAAAAGAAAACAAACAAACAAAACATTGAGAACATCCTATCACCCCTAAGAGAAAGCTTGTATCCATGAGCAGTCACTTCCCCATTCCGCCCTTCCTCCCAACCCAACAACTACTACATCCACTTTCTGTCTTGATGAATTGCCTGGGCATTTCATAGCAATGGGACCCTACCATATGGAGTCCTTTGCGTCTGGCTTCTTTCACTTAGCACAGCGTTTTCAGGGTCATCCTTGCTGCAGTATGTGTCAGGGCTTCATTTCTTTTCATGGCTGAATAATGTTCCACTGGATAATACAGCCATGCGTCACTTCATGATGAGGATATGTTCTGAGAAATGAGTCTTTAGGCGATTTCATTGTTGTGTGAACATCACAGAATGTGTTTACACAAACCTAGATGGTAGAGCCCGCTACACATCTAGGGTATAGGTACAGGCTATTGCTCCTAGGTGACAAACTTGCATAGCCTGTGGCTACATTGAAAACTGTAGGCAATTGTAGCACAATGATAAATATTCGTGTACCTAAACATAGAAAAGATACAGTAAAAATACCGTGCCGGGCGCGGTGGCTCACGCTTGTAATCCCAGCACTTTGGGAGGCCGAGTTGGGCGGATCACGAGGTCAGGCGATCGAGACCATCCTGGCTAATACAGTGAAACCCCATCTCTACTAAAAATACAAAAACTTAGCCAAGCGTGGTGGTGGGCGCCTGTAGTCCCAGCTACTCCGGAGGCTGAGGAAGGAGAATGGCTTGAACCCAGGAGGTGGAGGTTGCAGTGAGCCAAGATTGCGCCATTGCACTCCAGTCTGGGCAGCAGAGTAAGACTGTCTCAAAAACAAAAACAAAACAAAACAAATAAACAAAAGAACTCATTCGTCTGTTCATGGGCATTTGGGTTATTTCTACCTTTTGGCTATTGTGAATAATGCTGCTGTGAACAGTCACACAGAAGTGTTTGTGTGGCCATGTCTTGATTTCTTTTGCAAACCTGGCCCTGTCGCAGTGTGTACAACACCCCTGCTCCCCACCCTCCCATTGCTCGAAGCAGTCACCCAAGAGTTGACCCTCTCCAGCACCTCTTAAGCATGCCCGTTCCAGTAGGTTCTTAGCACCTGCTCCATTCCTTCACAGCATCGTCATCCCTGACATTATGTTCCATGTGCTTTGTTTTTCTGTGGCCTGTCTCCCACTAGAAGGTCAGCTCTCCAAAAGCAGCCATCACTGTCTCATTCATGGCTGTCTCCCCAGAACCTAGAATAGGGCTGTCCACAACAGATGCTCAATAAATCTTCATTGAATTGATGAACAAACCAATTATTGGCACACTCTTCTCTCCAATCCCCTGTATCCAAACCAGAAACAAATTCTGTCAATGTTTTGTTCTAGAGTGTTGCTCTGTTGCCCAGGCTGGAGTGCAGTGGCATGACCTCGGCTGAATGCAACCTCTGCCTCCCGGATTCAAGCGATTCTCCTGTCTCAACCTACCACCACTCCCGGCTAATTTTTGTATTTTTAGTAGAGACTGTATTTCAGCATGTTGGCCAGGCTGGCCTTGAACTCCTACCTCAAGTAATCCGTCTGCCTTGGTCTCCCAAAGTTCTGGGATTATAGGCGTCTGCCACCATGGATTTCAGTCCTCCTGTCTGCAGAGCCAGGAGTTTGAGACCAGCCTGGCCAGCATGGTGAAACTTGTCTCTACTGAAAATACAAAAAAAAAAAAAAAAGTAGCCGGGTGAGGTGGTGTGCACCTGTAGTTCAGCTACTTGGTAGGCTGAGGCAGGAGAATTGCTTGAGCCTGGGAGGCGTAGGTTGTAGTGAGCTGAGATCGCACCACTGCACTCCAGCCTCGGCGACAGAGCAAGACTCAAAAAAGAAAAGTCTCAAAAAAGAAAAAAAAAAAAAGAGAGAGAAAAGATGGAATCCCCTCACACTCCTAGCCCTGAGCCCTGGCTACCTGGCTGGCTTGGTTGACCCTCTTAGCAAGGCGGTCAAAGGCCCAGGCATTTGGTGTCTGGAGCGGTCTGAGGATGGAGAAGTCTCCCAGAGAGTATTTGCATACTGAGTCAGCATGAGACGCAACTTCTCCTTCTGTGATTTCTTCCTCATCCTCTAGATTAGTTTCCCATTTCCTGTAAAAAATTGCCACAAATTTAGTGGCTTAAAACAACACAAGTTTGTTATCTTATAGTTCTGGAGGTCAAGAATCCAAAATGGGTCTCACTGCACTAAAGCCAAGGTTTCAGCGGGACTGTGTTGCTTTCTGGAGGTTGTAGGAAGAAAATCCATTTTCTTGCCTTTCCTCAATTCTGATTTTTTTTTTTTTTTTAAGACAGAGTCTCGCTCTGTCACCCAGGCTGGAGTGCAATGGTGCAACCTTGGCTCACTGCAACCTCCGCCTCCTGGGTTCAAGCGATTCTCCTGCCTCTGCCTCTCCAGTAGCTGGCATTACAGGCACCCGCCACCACGCCTGGCTAATTTTTCTATGTTTGGTAGAGACGGGGTTTCCCCATCTTGGCCAGGCTGATTCTTGAACTCCTGACCTCAGGTGATCCCCCTGTCTCGGCCTCCCAAAGTGCTGGGATTCCAGGCATGAGCCACCACCCTCGGTTCTGTTTTTTTTTTTTTTTTTTTTTGTAGAGACGGGGTCTTGCTATGTTGCCCAGGCTGGTCTCCAACTCCTGGCCTCAAGCGATCCTCCCACCTTGGCCTCCCAAAGTGCTGGGACTGCAGGCGTGAGCCACTGAGCTTGGCCCTCCTCCAGCTTCTAGAAGTTTCTTGCATTCCTTAGCTCAAGGCCCCCTTCCGTCTTCAACACTCACGATGGCCCATGGACTCTCTCACACTCAATCATTCTGACTCTGAAGTGCTGCTTGACTTTCAGCTCCTTCTCCCGTCTTCAAAGGGCTTTGCTTCCTTTGTTGTCACAGCCCCTCTGACTCACGCTTCCTGTGTCCTTCTCGATTATAAGGATCTGTGTGATTACATAAAGAGCCTGCCAGGGCAATCCAGGATAATCTCCCCAAAGCACGATCCTGAACTTAATCATGGCTGCATTCTTTTGTCATATAACGTAACATTCACAGGGGATTAGGATGTAGACGTCACTGGGGGGCCGTTATTCGCCTTTCACAGCACCCTGCCCCTCAAAGCCACAGTCTCGGCAGTGCCTTACCTGGCCCTGCGCCATGTGCCCCTCCGTCCATCTCCTGACGTCAACTTCCACCCACCTTTTCCTCCTTCCCCACCCTCTCCACCACACTGGCCTCCTTGCTGCTCCTTTTTTTTTTTTTTTTTTGAGGTGGAGTCTTGCTCTGTCACCCAGGCTGGAGTGCAGGGGCACGATCTTGGCCCACTGCAAACTCCGCCTCCCGGGTTCAAGTGATTTTCCTGCCTCAGCCTCCCCAGTTGCTGGGATTACAGGTGCCCACCACCATGCCCGGCTAATTTTTGTATTTTTAATAGAGAAGGGGTTTCACCATGTTGGCCAGGCTGGTCTTGAACCCCTGACCTCAAATGATCTGCTTGCCTTGGCTTCCCAAAGTGCTGGGATTATAGGTGTGAGCCACCATGCCCAGCCCCCTTGCTGCTCCTTGAATATGCCAGGCATGCTTCTGCCCCAGGGCCTTTGCACTGGCTATTCCCTCTGTCTGGAATGCTCTTCCTCCAGAGCCCCACATGGCTCCTTTCTTCCCCTCCTACAAGTCTTTGCTCATTTGTCACCTTCTCAGCGAGGACCTCTGTGCCCTAATTAAAAATCTCAGTCCCCCAATACTCTCGACCCCCCTCCATTTCCCCAATACACTTATCCCCATCTGACAGACAACGCATGTTCATTATTTATTTTATTTCCTGATTCTTTCCCCTGCCAAGTGACCCTCTGGGAAAGCGGGAGTTTTTGTTTTGCTTTCTACCAGGGCTGCAAGAGCCTAGAACTGGGTCTGGCATACAGCAAAGGCTCATTTATTGCTGAATGAATGCATAGTTTGGGGAAGGGGAGGACAAGCTGAGGCCACATTTGGGACGGGTGCTGGGGTGGGGTGGAGAAGGGAGCTGCTGCCCAGAGGGACTCAGTAAGATTCAGGGTGGGGGCCAAGACCAGCAGCTGGCAGCAGGTTCTGAGAGGGGCTGGGCCTGCCTGAACAGGGAAGGGGTCCAGCAGCCGTGGTCACCTTGCTGGGACTGGTGTGTGGGGCCACAGGCCTGTGAGGCTGGGCCTCTCTGCCACCTGAGGCCCGCATGGTGGGGTGTCTGCCTTGTCCTAAGGGGAGAAGACTCTGAGGGTCACTAGTGGAGTTGGGGTAGGGCATTGAGGACAGACAGTTGGGAGCCCAGCCAACTGCCTGGGAGGCAGGCCTGAGGCCACCATCTTGTCCCCAGATATCCAGATCTTGGGGGACTTTGGCATGGAAAGGGGCCAGAGCCTGCCTTTCACAGGCACATGGCCCAGGCCAGCTTGCTTGAAGGAACAGACCGAAGGCGGGCGTGCATTCACGGGCTGCACAAGGACCTGGGCCTGTTACAGTCTCCTGTCCCCCTGCCAGGACACCTGCCCCATGTGCTGCTGAGTCTTTGGCTGAGTCCACCTCATCGGCCCCACAGCCCCCAATGGCCTTGTCCTGCTGGTCTCAGGTGTGAGGCTCCCAGAGGAGGGCTGGGGCCTTGTCTTCTCCCTGGCTGGCCTGGCCCAGGACCCATCAGGAAGTTGGCACCAGCTGGCAGTAGGGGGCAGGGTCGGGGTTTAGCAGGTCCTGCTTGGGGGGAAGAGAGAACAGAATTATGACTGGGTGGAGGGGGAGAGTCTTGGGGAGACAGAGAGGGACAGAGGATGAGAGACAGCGTGAGATGGAGAGAAACCCGCAGAGAGAATGGAAGAGCAAGGTGGAAAGAGAGTGAGATGCAGAGACAAGAGGTCCTGGAAGAGCCAAGAAATGAGGTGGACACAGTGACAGAGACAAAGAGGCAGGAGAGACAGAGAATGGAGAGAGAGAGAGACAGAGATGCAGAGAAACGAAGACATGTAAAGAGATGCATCTTAGACAAGGCAGCATGAACAAACTGGAAACAGAAAGACAGATTAAAAAGGACACAGCAAGAGAAACTGAGAGAGAGAGAGAGAGAGAGAGAGAGAGTCCAAGAAAGGGGAAGACAGACATACAGACATATGTAGGCCACTGAGAGAGAGAGACAGAACTACAGGGACAGACAGCTGACAGGAGGGGATGGAGAGGGACTGAGCTCTGCGGTGGGGTTTCACTGGGGACCTGACTGGCTGTGTGGCCCCAGGCAATCCCCTGTCCCTCTCTGGGCCTTGTTCCTCCTGTGCAAGTTCAAGGTTTTGGATCCCTTTTGCAAAGAAGGAAATTGCAGCCTTGGGAGGAAAAGGGACTTGCCAGGGTCTCTCAGGGAGGCGGTTTGGGCTTCTTCGAGAGCAGAGACCGTGAGGCTTGGGGGGACGAGGGGAGGAAAGCCCCCAGTTTCAGTTGTCTTGACCCCTCCCCACCCCGGCTTCGGGGCTCCTGGATCCGTGGGATCCCCACCACCCCTCCCAGCTCCCAGCTCCATACCTGGTACTGGTGGTTCTCTGGCTCCGCCTGCAGGTGTGGGGGTGTGGGCAGGGGCTGCAAGGGAAGGACACGGGTGAGTGGGCGCTCGGCACCCCCCACCCTCTAAACTTTGACCTTTGGTGCTAGGACAGTCTCAGATTCCAAGTCCCCATCACCCCTCCCAGACTGTGAGGCCCCTGGGCAGAGGGGATTAGCTTCCTTACACCTCAGTGTTCTCCTCTGACAAATGGGCACTGGGCCCCAGCTTCGTGTGGTATCCAGTGGCCCGTCAACCACTCCATTAACTCTCAGTCTACCCCTGTCAACACCTCTGGTTCTAAGCTCTTAGCCTTAGTGTTTTATGTTTCTCTTATTTTTCACTTTTTTAGAAAAAGACAGGATCTTGCTCTGTCACCCAGGCCAGAGTGCAGTTGTGCAATCACCACTCGCTGCAGCCTCAAACTCCTGGGCTCAAGTGATCCTCCCTCCTCAGCCTCCCTGGTAGCTGTGACTATAGGTGCACACCACCATGCCTAGCTAAATTTTTGTAGAGATGGGGTCTAGCTATGTTCCCCAGGCTGGTCTCAAACTCCCGGCCTCAAGCAATCCTCCCACCTTGGCCTCCCAAAGTGTTGGGATTTACAGGTGTAGAGCCATCATGCCCAGCTAAGTTTCTCTTTTTATTTAATCTAAATAACTTTTTTTTTTTTTGGGATGGAGTCTCGCTCCTGTCGTGCAGGCTGGAGTGCAGTGGCATGACCTCGGCTTACTGCAACCTCCACCTCCTGGGTTCAAGCGATTCTCCTTCCTCAGCCTCCCGAGTAACTGGGATTACAGGCATGTGCCATCACACCTGGCTAATTTTTGTATTTTTAGTAGAGACGGGGTTTCACCATGTTGGCCAGGCTGGTCTCAAACTCCTGACCTCAGGTGATCCACCCACCTTGGCTTCCCAAAGTGCTAGAATTATAGGCGTGAGCCACCACGCCCAGCCTAAATGACTCATTTTTATAAACCTTTCGTTATATATATATAAAACCTCCCCATTATAAAGGTAGTGGCTGCTCAGTGCAGAAAACACAGACAAGTATAAAAGAAAAGAAGATAAAACCCACCCACCAGCCTCCACACCCCGGAGACAAATGCTGCTTCTGTTGTGCTGTTTCCTTCCAGTCTCTTTTCCTTAGGATTTTTAAAAACAGGGAACAATATATAGAGAGTTGAGATTCCCAAACCTGGTGTCAAGATGGCCCAGAGGACCACAGCCAGCTCAGAGAGGAGGCGCCTGTTAGCATTGGCTTCAGGGGAGAGGCTGGGGACGGGACTCACCCGGGCTGGGTTTATGGACCTTGTGTCACTGATGGGGGACACCAGGAGGACTGGAGAGGGCATCACTTCATAGATGTTGTTGTCACCTGAAACAGAGGCCAGGGGAGGTACCAGCTGACACATGGGCCCCACAGGCCACTCTGACTGCCTGTTGACATTCATTTATTTATTTATTCAACTAACATTTGTGCAAACGCTTCTTCTAGCCAAACCCAGTGCTGGGGACACAGTGCTGACCACGACAGTCCCAGGCCTGCCCTTCCAGGACTTACAGTCCAGTGGGGGACGCAGACCAGTCTCCAGAGTGACAACCTGGAGTGTTTAGGGCTGGAGTCGGGGGACTGGGGGCGGGTGGGAGCCCAAGACGGGGTGCCTAAGTAGCCTAGGACTCAGTGAGGGCTTCCTGGAGGAGGGGGCATCTGAGATAGTAGAGAGAAGTGAGTGAAGCTAAGGCAGGAGAGGGTGAGTGCAGAGGTCTGGTGAGAGAGCCAGCTGTGTTTCAGAAACTGTGTTTGATCTGTCTTGTGAAGGGCCTTGAGAACCATGTTAAGGAGACTAAACTTTGTCCCAAGGGCACAGGGGAGCCATGGAGGGCCTTTGAGCAGAGGAGTAACATGATCAGAATTTTAGAAAGACCTTGTCCTGGGATGGGTTGGAGGGGTCTGGAGGCTGGGAGACCAGTGAGGAGCTGGGTGTGGGGGGTCTAGGAGGCTGGTAGTGGCCTGTGGAGGTGGATGGGATCCACTTGCATGATGGGATGGGGATGCTAGCCACTGAGAAGAAGAGAAAAAGCAGGTTTGGGGTGGGTGCCGATGCGCTCAGATTATGTGGGTGAGTTCAGGGGGCCCCAGAGAGGTCTCGGGGCAGGTGCATTGGGAGGTCTCTGAGTGAGGGAGAATAAGCGGGCTTGTGGCTATAGGGGAGAAAGGAGGAGCTGAGAGGAGGGCTAGGTAGTGAGATCTGGGGCTCCCGCCTTACCAGCATCATGAGCAGGGCCCAATTCTGGCTTCTCTGTGGTCGCCATCCTGGGGACACATAGAGGGAATTGATATTAGGATAGAGAGACACTCAGGCGGGGGGAGAGAGACTTAAGAGAAGCTGGAAATCCCACCAGGTCCCTGAAAGCCACATGGTCTCTCCTTCAGAGTGAGCTAGGATGAGGCCTGAACTATCCCAGACTTTTCTTCCATAATCCTCATCCGCAATCCCTCAGTTTCCCTAGCCACCACCTTATGCCAATGAATAGTGTTCCCCAGACATCACCATTTACAGAGATCACCTAAATGATCCTGCTTCATCCACCTGTCTTATGATTTCCTTAATATTTCTCTTTACATAGATTCATTTGAATACCCTTATTTATTTTTTATTTTTTAATTTTTTGAGACAGAGTCTCGCTCTGTTGCCCAGGCTGGAGTGCAATGGCGTGATCTCAGCTCACTGCAACCTCCGCCTCCTGGGTTCAAGCGATTCTCCTGCCTCAGCCTCCCAAGTAGCTGGGATTACAGGTGTGTGCCACCATGCTCGGCTTATTTTATTTTATTTTATTTTAATTTTTTTTTTTGAGACAGAGTCTCGCTCTGTCGCCCAGGCTGGAGTGCAGTGGTGCAATCTCGGCTCACTAAAAGCTCCGCCTCCCGGGTTCATGCCATTCTCCTGCCTCAGCCTCCCGAGTAGCTGGGACTACAGGCACCTGCCACCATGCCCGGCTAATTTTTTGTATTTTTAGTAGAGACGGGGTTTCACCGTGTTAGCCAGGATGGTCTCGATTTCCTGACCTCGTGATCCGCCAGCCTCGGCCTCCCAAAGTGCTGGGATTACAGGCGTGAGGCACCATGCCTGGCCCATGCTCTGCTAATTTTGTATTATTAGTAGAGACAGGGTTTCACCATGTTCATCAGGTTGGTCTCGAACTCCTGACCTCAAGTGATCCACCTGCCTTGGCCTCCCAAAGTGCTGGGATTACAGGCATGAGCCACTGCACCCGTCCTGAATACCCTTAATTTTAAAAGTACACTGGAACCAAGTGAAATGGCTCATGACTATACTCCCAGCACATTGGGAGACCAAGGTAGGAGACTTTTTTGAGGCCAGGAGTTTGAGACCTGCCTGACTCACAAAGTGAGATCCCGTCTCTACAAAAATTACAAAAATTAGCCAGGTGTGGTGGTGCACACCTGGGGTCCCAGCTACTTGGGAGACTCGGGTGGGAGGATAGTTTGAACCAGGGAGGTCGAGGCTACGGTGAGCTACGATCGCACCACTGCACCCCAACCTTGGCAACAGAGTGAGACTTTGACTCTGAAAACAAAAGTACTCTTGACACCGCTATAGCAAGTTTGTTAGTTCACTAAATAAGTATTTACAAGCACCAACCATGTGCTGGGCGTCACTGAAGGCACTGGGGATACAGCCGAGCACAAGATGGACAGAGATCCCTGGCCCCTCGGAGCAGGCAGTCTAGGGTGGAAAGAGAGGGGAAGAAAATTGGAATAAAGCATTGACAGTAGAATATCAGAGAGCAACATCCTTCCCTATGAAGGAAAATGGAGAGGGGGGAGGGGGTGGAAGGTGTGTGTGCGGTTTTGAGTAAAAAAATAGTAATTGGGCTCAGTGGCTCATGCCTGTAATCCCAACACTTTGGGAGGCCAAGGTGGGCAGATCACCTGAGTTCAGGAGTTTGAGACCATCCTGGCCAACATGGTGAAACCCCGTCTCTACTAAAAATACAAAAATTAGCCAGGCGAGGTGGTGGGTGCCTGTAATTCCAGCTACTCAGGAAGCTGAGGCAGGAAAATCGCTTGAACCCCTGAGGCGGAAGTTGCAGTGAGCCGAGATCGCGCCACTGGATTCCAGCCTGGGCGACAAGAGCAAAACAAGAAGAAGAAGAAAAAAAAGCTTGGAAATGGTGCACTCCTGTAGTCCCAGCTACTTGGGGGGCTGAGATGGGAGGATGGCTTGAGCCCAGCAATTCAAGACAGCCAGGGCAACACAGGGAGATCTTATTTTTACAAAAAGTAAAAAATAAGCTAGGCATGGTGATGCATGCCTGTAATTCGAGCACTTTGGGAGGCTGAGGCAGAAGGACCGCTTAAGGCCAGGAGTTTGAGGTCAGCTTGGGCAACATAGCAAGACCCCATCTCTACAAAAAATAATAATACAGATAATTAGCCAGGTGTGGTAGCACAGGCCTGTGGTCCCAGTTACCCAGGAGGCTGAGGTGGGAGGATCACTTGAGCCCAGGAGTCTGAGGCTGCAGTAAACTATGATCATGCCACTGCACTCCAGCCTGGGTGATAAAGCAAGACCCTGTCTCTTTAAAAAAGAAAAAGAAATAGGCCAGGCGCAGTGGCTCATGCCTGTAATTCCAGCACTTTGGGAGGCCGAGGCTGGCGGATTGCCTGAGATCAGGAGTTTGAGACCATCCAGGGCAACATGGTGAAACCCCATCTCTACTAAAATACAAAAAATTAGCCGGGCGTTGTGGTGCACGCCTGTAGTCTCAGCTACTTGGGAGGCTGAGGCACGAGAATTGCTTGAGTCCCGGAGGTGGAGGTTGCAGTGAGCCAAGATTGCGCCACTACACTGCAGCAAGACTCTGTCTCAAAAAAAAAAAAGAAGAAGAAGAAAACAGAATCCATGGCACATAAGGAAGAGTTGAGAAAGGAGACAAAATTGCTGCTTTCATATTCTGGGAACTGGTGAGTGGCAGAAAAATTAGACATCTTATCTACAATCAGTTCAGAATCAATTTCAAGAGACAAAGTTCTGAAGACGCTGATGTCATAAGAAAGGAATTTTTCACGAATAGACTCTCCCTGGGGGAAACAGGACTGTCTCTCTCTCCTCTCTCTCCTCTCTCTCTCTCTCTCTCTCTCTCCATACAAGTAGGTAGCATCTGATAGCTGTGCCTGCTGCTGCCCACTCCCCTTCTTTGACAATAGCAACCAGTTTTGTTTTCCTTTGGAGAGCCGGTCTACACTCTCAATCCACTTGATTAAACGGAGTTGGATCTAGCCCAGTCTCTGGGGCTGCACAAATAGCCCAACTTTGGCCAATCAGAGCTTTCCCTGGCCACCAACCCCTGGCCACAGTGATTGGTTCATGAAAAGTCATGTGATCTGAGTTAAGCCAATGAGAGGTAGACTTGGGGCTCTTGTTGGAACTACCAGGAACAAGGTGGTCTCCTTGCTAGGAATGGCTAAACCAGTGGAGTATGAGCCTGGGCCCCCTGGGAGTGATCTTGTGGCAACAGGGGAGAGCCTGCCTGAGAATGAAGCCACCGAAGAAAAATACAGAGTTGACGAGTATATAAAGGAGTCATTTGAGAACATTGAGCCCCTGGATGCAGCCTACCTGAATAAGTTATGTAGTATTAAACAATTCCTTGTTTTTTGGGCAGGGAACAGTGGCTCATGCCTGTATTCTCAGCACTTTGGGAGGCCAAAGCTGGAGGATCACTTGAGCCCAGGAGTTCGAGACCAGCCTGGGCAAAACCCCATCTCTACAAAAATAAAAAAAATTAGCCAGGCTTGGTGGTGCACACCTGTAGTCTCAGCTACCTGGGAGGCTGAGGTGAAAGACTCACCTGAGTCCGGGGAAGTTGAGGCTGCAGTGAGTCGTGATTGTGCCACTGCACTCCAGCCTGGGTGACAGAGCGAGACCCTGACTAAAATTCCTTCTTTTTGGTAAGTCAGTTTAAGAATAGGTTTTCTGTCCCTTGCAATGCAGAATTCTGTTTAATACAGGATAGAAAGATTCTTTTCACCCCAGGAGTTCCAAGATTTGATGAGATTGTGTATGAGCCGGATGATGTGACTTGTGGAAGAATCCATGGGGCTTGAGAAGACAGTGGGAGCAGACAGGAGAGGGACACTTGGGGACCCTGTACCTGTGGCTCTGGCCCCTCCAGTTCCTTGTCACCAGGAGATAGGCAATGCAGCTGATGAGAAGGGCCCCGGCAGCAAGAGATCCAATGATGGTGGCCGCCAGGATCCCAGCGTTGGTGGGCAGGTGTGTACTGGGCAGCTCCTTATTCTTTTCTGAGGGGTGAGAGAAAGAAAGAGAGAGGGGGGACTGTGCGATGTCTCCTGAGGGCTCCCCCAGTCCCTCACCGACTATATCAGTGACTGCATGGAGAACTGAGGTGCAGTTTCCTATTTCCAGCCCAGAGCTTTCTCCTGCTTTTCAGATCTGAGTATCCAACCATCTGGGTGGCACATAAAATCCAACATGTCCCAGCGGGCTGGGCGTGGTGCTCACACCTGTAATCCCAGCAATTTGGGAGGCCGATGGGGGAGGATCACTTGAGCCCAGGAGTTCAAGACCAGCCTGGGCAACATAGTGAGACCCTATCTCTATTAAAAAAAAAATTTCAACATGTCCCAGATGGAACTCCTTAGCTGTCCTATATCTCGATGTTGCTGCTTCCCTAGGATTTCATACGATCCTCAGCACATCCAAAATCTGCTTGCTGACATGCTCCCCAACCCTACCCCATCAAACTGATTTTTTTTTTTCTTTTTTTGAAACAGCGTCTCACTCTGTTGCCCAGGCTGGAATGCAGTGGCATGATCACGGTTCACTGCAGCCTCCAACTCCTCGGCTTAAGCCATCCTCCCACCTCAGTCCCCCAAGTAGCTGGGACTACAGGCACACACTACCACTCCTGGCTAATTTTTAAATTTTTTGTAAAGAAGGGGTGTCACTAAATTACTTAGGCTGGTCTCAAATTCCTGGACTCAAGTAGTTCTACTGCCTTGGTCTCCCAAAGTGTTGGGATTACAGACGTGGCCACCGAGCCCAGACCCAATCTGCTTTGCTTTTTCTCACTTCGGTTGATGATACCTGAATCCCTTCAGCAGAAGGATGAGGTTCTGGGCTGTGTTTTGCAGGAGATGTAGGGGACTTGGAGGATTCTTAAACTGGACTTGCTAGAATTAAGACCACGCCTACCTGGCTCTTACCCTCTGACCTCCCAGCTTTACTCTCAAGCTGGACATCTGTTCTATCCCAACCCGTCTTGGCAGCTAAGCTCATAGACTATGGGATCCTAATGCTGCCCACTGGCGGTGTGGCCTTGGGCAAATTACTCAATCTCTCTGTGACTTGGTTCGTCTGTGAAATGAGGATAATATGAATACCTAGTTCTTAGGGTTGTTATGAAGTTTGAAATACACACACACACACACACACACACACACACACACACACACGCTGTTCTCTGAATGATCCAACAAAGAAGTAAGCTCTATGCCATTTTACAGATAAGGAAACTGAGGCATGGAACAGTAAATTGACTTGCTTGATGGCTCACAATAAGTGCAGTGCTGGGATCATACCCAGGCCACCTGAACTCCTTAATGACCATGCTGTGCAGCTTCCAAAGGGGGCACCTGTGACCTGGGAACCCCGGAAATGTGGGGAGAAGTCACTTCAGGCTCCACAAGTGAAGTAAGGACTGTTATCTCCAACCGGACTAGAGTGTCATTTTATGCAGATTTGTGTAATCAAATTAATGCATATGTTGAGTTGACTTTTGCCTATTTCATCCATTTCTGTAAAATTTTTTCTATTCACTGTCCAAAACTCATTTTAAAATTTAACTAGGGGCCAGGGGTGGTGGCTCACGCCTGTAATCCCAGCACTTTGGGAGGCCGAGGTGGGTGGATTGCCTGAGCTCAGGAGTTGGAGACCAGCCTGGGCAACATGGTGAAACCCAGTCTCTACCAATAAATAAAAAAAATTAGCTGGGTGTGATGGCATGCGCCTACAGTCCCAGCTACATGGGAAGCTGAGGTGGGAGGATCGCTTGAGCCCAGGAGGTGGAGGTTACAGTGAGCTGAGACTGGGCATGGTGGCTTATTCTTGTAATCCCAGCACTGGGAGGCCAAGGTGGAAGGATTGCTTGAGGCCAGGAGTTTGAGACCAGCCTGAGCAATATCAGTAAGACCCTGTCTCCACAATCTTGCTTTTAAATTGAAAAAAAAAAAAATAAGGGCATACAATCTATTTACAAGTGCTGTACCCTCATGATCTAATCACCTCCCACAAGCCCCACTTTTTTTTTTTTTGAGATGGAGTCTTGCTCTGTTGCCCAGGCTGGAGTGCAGTGGCATGATCTCGGTTCACTGCAACCTCTGCCTCCTGGGTTCAAGTGATTCTCCTGCCTCCCAAGTGGCTGGCATTACAGGCATCTACCACCATGCCCAGCTAATTTTTGTATTTTTAGCAGAGACGGGGTTTTACCATGTTGGCCAGGGTGATCTCGAACTCCTGACCTCAGGTGATCCACCCACTTCAGCCTTCCAAAGTGCTGGGATTACAGGTGTAAGCCACCGTGCCAGGCCCAAGCCCCACCTTTTAATACCATCATCTTGGAGGTTAGGATTTCAACATATAAATTCTAAGGGGATCTGTGTCCTGTGGAAATGGCAAGGGGCCACAGCACCTCCCTCCCTCAATCACCTTCTTCTGGTCTCTCCTCTAAGGTCACTTCTTGAGTGAGGTCTCCCTGATGACCTCCTTTCCCATGTCACATCATTCTGGTTCGTATTCTTTACTCAGCAAGTCATAACCACTGCGTGCCTCCATTTTTCAATCTGTAAAATGGAGACAATAATGGCGCTGGCCTCATGGAGTTGTTTTAAGGTAAAAATGAGTAAATATAGAGTAATGGTTCTCAACCAGGGGTGATTCTTATCCCAGGGTGGAGACATTTGGTAATATCTGAAGACATTTTTGGTTGGCATGACTAGGAAGCTGCTACTGGTACCTAGTGAGTAGAGGCCGGGGTGCTGCTGAAATCTCTGCAATGCACAAACCCTCTACTAGTAAGAACTGGCCAATACAAAACATCAGTAGTGCTGAAGCTGAGAAACTATGCTTTAGGGAAAATGTTTAAGATGGTGCCTGGCTCTTAACGATCACCCAAGAAATGCCAGCTGTCATTATTGCCCACCACCCTTTCCCTCACACTTTGCCCCGAGTGGATTCATCAGTAAATACTCGCTTTATAAACATAAAGATTGAGGGATGCATTCCTCACAACCAGGCATACAGTAAGTGCTCGATAAAAATTTGGTTAATGTTAGTGCATGTGAAAGGTAAATGAGATGGTGCATTCTCCAGTGTCAGGCACAAGGCGGGCATTTCATAGATATTTTATTAGTTAATGCATGTGAGGGTTAAAGACTATCTCTGGGGATTGGTACACAGTAGATGCTCAATATGTGTCAAGTGAATAAATGAGAGGACCAAATGAAATGGTGTTTGCACAGCACCTGGTGCATGGTAGCTGCTCAGGGCTCATTAGCTTCCTCACCTCATCCCCAGACCCTAACACTTACCAGCTACCTGGACCTCAGTCTTGGCCTTCATAGTCCATTCAGAGTTGATGGTAATGGCTACTTGGTAGGTGCCACTGTCTGTAGGCTGGGCGCGGCGCAGCAGCATGGAACCATTGGGGAAGCCCACGATGTCTCGCTGTCCCATGGCACTGCCATCCCTCTGAGGCCGTTGTATCCCAGGGATGTAGGTAAATAGCCTCGTGCCTCCGTACGTCTCCTCCCCCAGGTACCAGTTGAAGTCCTGGAAGGTGTCTGGGACACCCTGGACTGACAGGAGAAGGTCCTGGTTCTTTTGAGGCTGCTCTGGAATCTTCTGGATGTAGAGAGCTGCCTGGGAGCCTTGGAGCATCCAGAGGACCAGGATTGAGGCTGTGGGAAGTTACAGGGAAGGGCTGAGATCAGGGGTGTTGCCAGGGACCATGGCATGCTCCTCTCTAGATACAGATCTTCAGCGGGGAGCAAGGACTCTGAGTGCTGCTCATTGGAAACAATGCTGGGATTGATTAGTGATGTCTGCCCTGGGTGCAGGAGTGGGAACACAGGCATGGTTACCACAGATTTGCCATCCTGTTGATCCAGAGGTTTTTCTACCTTGAGATGCTGTGTGGCCTGCTTCTAAACACATGGACTCTCTGAATTCATTCATTCATTCATTTATTCAACCAATACTTATAGGCATATGTAATATATAAGCTATAATACCAACTATATGTAATACATCTAAACTTCCTTCAATTTCTAGACACTGGAGATATAGCAGGGAACCAAACATACATAAATTCCTGCCTTCATGGTCCTAACATTATAGAAAATTCCATAGATAAAATGGCAATGAGGCTGTGATTCTGTTGCCCCTCCCCCATCTTATTCTAATTTCATCCTCTCAGGTAATCTTTCCCTACTTCTAAGAGGAAACTTCAATCTCTGGGCTGAGTCCCCATTTCTCCCCTTGGCCTTTAGGGTCTATTTCCTCCTTACCTGAGAGCAGGAGGCTCTTTGAGAAGCAGCCCTGGGTCCCCATGGGAATCTCCATCTTGGCGTCTTGTGGAAATGCCAAGGGGCCACGAGCTGGACACTAAGGGGGCCAGAGGGGTGGGCCCTGGCTGTCTGAAGTAGGCCAGCTCAGTGGGGATCCCAGGGGTGCCTTAGAGACACCGCTGGGGCTGGCCCAGCCCCAGCATGCCCTGTCCATGGGCTCTGGAGGCTCCACCTATACTCCCTGGGATGGGAGCACAGACAGAGGTTGAACCAGTTTTTCAGGGTGACTGGGGAACTTCCCAGGACTCCTCCCCTGACCCTCTTCAACCTCTTTTTCTCACTCAGCGTGACTACAACAGCAGTCACTGTAGCAATAGTCATAACAGCCTCTGTTTGAACAATTCCCCTGGGTTTGTTCAAACACACACTGCCTCATTCAGCAGCCACCATAAATAACTGTTCCCATTGCACAGATGTGGAAACAGAGGCCCAGGAAAAGAGGCAAGTCTGCCAATAGACAGAGGTGGGATTTCACCTGTGGCTGACTCACTTGAAGGCTCTGAGGCAGGCTGGGTGCGGTGGCTCACGCCTGTAATCCCAGCATTTTGGGAGGCCAAGGTGGGTAGATCACGAGGTGAGGAATTTGAGACCAGCCTGGCCAACATGGTGAAACCCTGTCTCTACTAAAAATACAAAAGTTAGTCAGGCGTGGTGGTGGGCACCTGTAATCCCAGCAACTGGAGAGGCTGAGGCAGGAGAATCACTTGAACTTGGGAGGCAGGGGTTGCAGGGAGCCGAGATCGCGCCACTGCATTCCAGCCTGGGTGACAGAGCGAGACTTCGTCTCAAAAAAAAAAAAAAGCTCTTAGCCTCGTGTTTTTCTTTTTTTTTCTTTTGAGATGGAGTTTCGCTCTTGTTGCCCAGGCTGGAGTGCAATGGCGCAATCTCAGTTCACCGCAACCTCTGCCACCTGGGTTCAAGCGATCCTCCCACCTCAGGGAGTAGCTGGAAATGCAGGCATGCGCCACCACGCCCGGCTACTTTTGTAGTTTTAGTAGAGACAGGGTTTCTCCATGTTGGTCAGGCTGGTCTTGAACTCCTGACCTCAGGTGATCTGCCCACCTTGGCCTCCCAAAGTGCTGGGATTACAGGTGTGAGCCACCGCGCTCAGCCTGTTTTTTTTTTTTTTTTTTTTTTTTTTTTTTCTTGAGACAGGGTCTTGCTCTGTCTTTCCATTCATGAACATTGGTTGTCTTACCATTTAAATATGTCACCTATAATTGCAAGAATATTTTGTAGTTTTTGGATTGGTTTCTTTTTTAGATGCTGTGTCACCCAGGCTGGAGTACAGTGGCACAATCTCAGTTTACTGCAACCTCCGCCTCCCAGGTTCAAGTGATTCTTCTGCCTCAGCCTTCTGAGTAGCTGGGATTACAGGCATGCGTCACCATGCCTGGCTAATTTTTGTATTTTTAGTAGAGATGGGGTTTTGCCATGTTGGCCAGGCTGGTCTCAAACTCCTGACCTCAGATGATCCTCCTGCCTCGGCCTCCCAAAGTACTAGGAGTATAGGCATGAGCCACTGCACCCAGCCCCAGAGTGTATGTTTTGTACTTTTTTGGATCATGTTTATTCCAAGTGTGTTATTCTTTTTTTTTTTTTTTAAGACAGGGTCTCGCTCTGTTGCCCAGGCTGGAGTATAGTTGCATGATCATTGCTCACTGCAGCCTCCAACTCCTGGGCTCAAGCAATCCTCCCGTCTCAGCCTCCTGAGTAGCTGGGACCACAGTTGTGTGCTACCATCCCTGGTCAATTTTTATATGTTTTGTAGAGATGGGATCTCACTATGTTGCCCCAGGCTGGTGTTGAACTCCTGGGCTCAAGTGATCCTCCCACCTTAGCCTCCCAAAGTACTGGGATTACAGATGTGACTCACCATACCTGGCTTAGCCTAGTTTTTAAAAAGCATCCTCCATTCATTCCAGCACACATTCCCAGTGCCCAGTTGTGTGTGCTGGGTGATGTTGGTGACACAGTGATGATTGAGACCACCTCTGCTCTGCCCTCTGTCCACAGTAGGGCACACAATCCTGTAGGGTTTGGGGGGGCAGACCCCTCTCACACAATTATGATCCAGAGTGATCAGGGCTGGGATGGAGGAGCCCAGGAGTCTGGGAGAGCCCAAGGAGACACACCTCATTCAACCTGACGGCTAGGGAGGGCTTCCTGGGGGAGGGGGCATCTGAGCTGAGACCTGGAGTAAGAGTAGAAATGAGGCAGATGATGGGGTGAGGCAGCATGAGGTGCACCAGGCAGCATAAATAGCAATGCAAGGATGTGGAGGCTGAGATAGTCATCAAGGTGTATTGAGGAGGTTGCAATATCTTGGGTGAGTGGAGCCAGGAAGGAGGGTGTGGGGCCTGTGTGTGTGAGGCTGGGAGGTAGGAGAGATCAAATGTGCTCTGTTGGTTGGATCAACAGAGCTTGGATAATGGAGGGTCTAGTGTTATGCTGTTTAATATCATAGCTATTAGTCATATGTGGCTATTTAAATATAAATTTAGGGAGGCACAGGTGACCCACACTTGTAATCCTACCCCTCTGAGAGGCTGAGGTGGGAAGATTGCTTGAGCCTAGGAATTGGAGACCAGGCTGGGCAACATAGTAGGACCCCAACTTTACACAAAACAAATTTAAAAAATTAGGTAGGCTTGGTGGCTTTCAACTATAGTTCCAGTTACTCAGAAGGCTGAGGCAGGAGGATTGTTGAACCTGGGAGGTCAAGGCTGCAGTGAACTTTGATCATGACACTGCACTCCAGCCTGGGTGACAGAGTGAGACCATGTCTCAAAAAAATATACTGAATAGGCCAGGCGTGGTGGCTCATGCCTGTAGTCCTAGCACTTTGGGAGGCAGAGGCAGGCAGATCACTTGAGGTCAGGAGTTCAAGACCAGCCCGGGCAACATGATGAAACCCTGTCTCTACTAAAAATGCAAACATTAGCTGGCCGTGGTGGCGCATGCCTGTAATCCCAGCTACTCGGGAGGCTGAGGCAGGAGAATCACTTGAACCTGGGAGGTGGAGGTTATAGTGAGCCAAGATTGTGCCACTGCACTCCGGCCTGGGCAACAGAGCAAGACTCCATCTCCAAAAAAAAAAACTGAATATATATATATTATTTTATATATAATATATATTATATATAATTATATATTATATTATATATATTATATTATATTATATTATATATTATATTTATATATACATATTATAATATATAATATAATATATAATATATTATAATATATAATATATGTATATAATTATATAATTATATACATATATAATATGTGTATATAATTATATAATTATATACATATATAATATGTGTATATAATTATATAATTATATACATATATAATATGTATATAATTATATAATTATATACATATATTATATATTTATATTATAACTAATATATAATATATATAATATATATAATATATATATTATATTATATATATTATATATTATAAAATATATATAATAATATATAAATATATTATATATATAATATATAAACATATTATATAAATATATTATATATATAATATATAAACATATTATATAAATATATTATATATATTATAAACATATTATATAAATATAATAATATATAAACATATTATATAAATATAATAATATATAAACATATTATATAAATATAATAATATATAAACATATTATATAAATATAATATATAAATATTATATAAATATATATATAATATATAAAATATATTATATATAATATACTATATAATATAGCATATAAATATATATAATATATTATATAAAAATATATAACATATTATATAAAATATTATATAAATATATAATATATAAATATATTTATATATTATATATTTATATATACATAAACATATAAATATATAATATATACTATATAAATAATATAAATCTATATAAATATATACTATATTTATAATATAGTATATATTTATATAGATTTATATAATTTATATATATTTTATATATTATATATAATTTATATATATTTTATATATTATATATAATTTATATATATTTATATATTATATATAATTTATATATATTGTATATATTATATATAAAATATATAATTTATATATAATATATAAATTATATAATTTATATATATTTATATATTATATATAAATATATATAATTTATATAATTTATATATTATATATATAAATATATAATTTATATATATTTATATAATATATATTATATATTTATATATATAATATATATTTATATTTATATATCTATATAATATATATTATATATTTATATATTTATAAATATATAATATATATTTATATATAAAAATATATACATATATAATTTATATATATATTACATATACATATAAAATATATGTAAAATGTATGTGTATGAATATGTATATATAAATGTATATATGTGTATATATATTCAAAGTAACTAAAATTAAATGCATTAAAAAATGCAGTTCCTCAAACTAGCCACCTTCAAGTGCTCACTAGCCTCAAGTGATCAGTGGCTACTCCATTGGACAGCACAGATGGAGAACGTTTTCATCATCATCTCAGAAACTTCTATTGGGGAGTGAGAGCTGACCTAGGGATCTGAGGCAGGCGGTGCCAGGCATTTCTACCCAGTGAGGTCCATCAGGAAGAGACAGCTAGGTCGGGGTGTGGTGTATCCATAGCACTTTGTGTGTGTCTGAGTGTTCCGGACACACGTCTTCAGCTTGTTGGGGGTGATGGTATCTTCTAGAGGCCCCAGGTTGAGGCAAATCAGGAATCTTGACGTTGAACTGCCTTGAATGATGGAGTGGCCCAGCTATACACTGAATGGCTGTAGAGTCCAGGGCAGCTCTGCTGTGAGCTGGTGAGTCTGGCTGAAAACTTGGTTCTACCACCATATGGCTGGGGTATTTTGTGGCACACGACTTCACCTCTCTGGGCCTCAGCCTCCTCCCCTGGAGAATGGGGATAAGCATCACCACCTCACAGGGATGTTGGGAGAACTGTATGCAAGAGGCCCAGCCAACAAGCAACAAATGCCTGTCATTGTTATTATTATTATTGCTGTTGACCTTGTCTTTGGATTTGCCCCACCTCCCACATTGCCCCCACCCCTCGTGACCCTGCTCAAGAGAAGTGTATTTTCCCTGGAGGGATTTCCAATCCTCCACATCCTCAATGTTCCTTAATGCCTGGAAGATTTCATGCTGGGTTCGTGGGGTCAGAGTACCCTCAGAATCCACCTGACAGATTCTCACTCTGTCGCCCAAGCTGGAGTGCAGTGGCACGATCTCAGCTCACTGCAACCTCCACCTCCCAGGTTCAAGCGATTCTCTTGCCTCAGCCTCCCGAGTAGCTGGGACTATAGGCGCACGCCACCACGCCCGGCTTATTTTTGTATTTCTAGCAGAGACGAGGTTTCACCATGTTGGCCAGGCTGGTCTCGAACTCCTGATCTCAGGTGATCCAATCCACCTCGGCCTCCCAAAGTGTTGGGATTACAGGCGTGAGCCACTGTGCCCGGCCCTTCAATCCTTCCTGCAGTTTTGTAGTTTCCTTGGTCTGTCTCCGGGAGAGAAGTTGTTGCAAACCCAGCAGTTATTTCCAGGCATGGATTAAGCAAAGCCAGCTATTCTGGATTTTCCGGTGGCTGGATTCTACTCTCTCTGTCTCCTTCCCTGCCTCCCTCCATTCTTCCCTCCCTCCCTCTCTCTTTCTTCCTCTCCCTTTCAAACAATCACTTCGATTCCTTTTGCATTATTAAAAGAAGAGTCAAGGTTTATTGCAGAACTTGTAGACAGTACTTAGAATAAAATTCAAACATGTTCCAACCACCCAGACAGAGGTAGTCACTGCTGGTAACAGAGGTCTAGGAGTCCATCCTGTCCTGCAGCCTTCATCTGGGCCTCTCCCCAGCCCCAGAGGGCAGGTCCTGTTTGGTCCAGCCTTCCAGGCGGTCCCATTCTTTTGGCCAGGGATTGGTTGAGCGGTGGGCGGCGCTGGTGAATGAGACCGGAAAAGACGCTGCTGGGTGAGGTTTCTGCTGCTGGATGCGGTTTCTCGTTCCTACAAAGGCTCACCCAGGTAGGGATGGGCAGCTTCTCTGGGTCTGAGTCTGGATGTGATGCCTGGAATGCAGCAGCCATCTTGGCACCAGAGGGTGATGCCAATATGTGGAGGAAAGCAGAACAAACAGCAGAGCAGCAGAACTGGGCCTGCATGCTGTGCCCGGAGTAGAGCCAGGCAATCCAGTTTTTTTTTTTTTTTTTTTTTTTTTGGAGACAGAGTCTCACTCTTGTCACCCAGGCTGGAGTGCAGTAACTCGATCATGGTTTACTCCAGCCTCCACTTCCCGGGTTCAAGGGATTCTCCCACCTCAGCCTTCTGAGTAGCTGGGATTACAAGCATGCACCACCACACCTGGCTAATTTTTTTTGTAGAGACACGGTTTCACTATGGTCTGGTCTTGAACTCCTTACCTCAAGTGATCCACCCGCTGCAGCCTCCCAAAGTGCTGGGATTACAGGCGTGAGCCACTGCGCCCAGCCCGTAATTTTTTGTAAAAAGTTAGATTTCAGTAGCACAGACATTTTCACCCCAAGCAATCTGCAACCCAGAGGCTTCTGGGACCTCACAGCTCCTCAAGGTGAGATCGTATCAACCTGAAAAGATTCCCGACTCCCGTGCAGGAGCAATGCAGAGGGAGGGTGTGGAGTGTTTTAGCCTCCTTATGATCTCCATCATACCCTGCCCCCCGCCAAGTCTCTGATAAGGATAGTTGCGGTTTTCTTAACCTTACTATAAGTTTATACAACACCTATACCAAAATTCTGGGCCCACTCTCCATTCCTGGCTCTGTGGACTCCAAGGATGCCCCCTCCCTCCAGAAAAAGGTCATCGCCTACGTCGCTGGTGGGAACAGAACTCAGCACAACTTCTGTGAGGGTTCATTTGTCAATATCTATCACAATGACAAGAAACATACTCTTTGGCCCAGCAATTCCACCTCCAGGAGTGTGTCCTACACTCAGGTGTTAACATGAGCTAAATGACAGTGTGCATTGGCCAGGCACGGTGGCTTATGCCTATAAATCCCAGTACTTTAGGAGGCCAAGGCGGGAGGATTGTTTGGGCCCAGGAATTTGAGACCAGCCTGGGCAAGATGGCAAGATTCCTTTCTCTAAAATAAAAAAAAAAAAAAGTAAAATAAATGACAGTGTGTAAAGTTATTCACTACAACATTGTAATAGTGAAAGGCTGGAAAGGATACAAATGCCTGTCCTTAGAGGCCTCGTTAAAAAAGCCCTGTACAGCCCTCCCATGGAATATGAGGTGGGTGTAGAACAACTCAGGAGGCATTCTCTGAATTACCAGAAACTGAGCAAAAAAAGTAAGGTTCAGGGTGGGCGCGGTGGCTCACATCTGTAATCCTAGCGCTTTGGGAGGCCAAGGCAGGAGGAGCACTTGAGCCCAGGAGTTCCAGCCCAGCCTAGGCAACATAGCGAGATGCCTATCTCTACAAAAGTTAAAAAGAGATTTAGCCAGGTGGGGTGGCGCCCACCTATAGTCCCAGCTACTCGGGAGGCTGAGATGGAAGGATAGCCCGAGCCCAGCAGGTCGAGGCTGCAATGAGCCATGATCACGCCACTGCACTCCAGCCTGGGCAACAAAGTGAGACTCTTATTTCTAAAATAAATAAATAAATAAACAAATAAATAAATAAATAAAGTGCACTATTCAATGGTTTTTTGGTATAATTAATTTTCAAAAATGGTGGTTAAAAAGAGATAACAGACAATTTGCCATTTTAGCTATTTTTGAGTGTATGATTCAGTGGCATTCATTACATTCACAGTGTTGTGTAAAACTGGATATCCATGTGCAGAAGAATGGAGCTGGACCATTACACTCCAAACACAAATTAGAATGGATCCCTCATGTCTTTTTATCTTCTAATTTTGGGACGTTTATGTACTATCTAATTAAAAAAATTAGCTTAGCATGGTGAGGGGCAGCTGTGGTCACAGCTACTTGGTAGGCTGAGGTGGGAGGATTGCTTGAGCCCCGGAGTTAGAGGCTGCAATGAGCTATGATCGTGCCATTGCACTCCAGCCTGGGTGACAGGAGACACCGTCCCTTAAACATTTTTTTTGGAGAGGAAAAAAAAAAAGACAAGCTGTTCCTAAGGTGCCTGGGAATCCCAGCCCTTATGGCCCTCTTCATTTAGCGTCTTGCTTCCATGCCTCTGGTTCCATCCCACGTGGTGACAGTACACATGAAACCTGTCTGCTCCTTGATTTCCACAAAAGACCCCATTGCACACAGCCGCTGGAGGTACAATAAATAAGCTTTAATGAGATTCTGGGTGCTGGAGACAGACAAGGAGCTTACGTGCCACCAAAGCAACCAATGTTCCTTTATCTCCCCAACTCTGTGGGGTCCCACTGGCCTCCTCACCCTTGAGCCCTTTGCCCCTGCCATCCTGCTGGTTCCTATCTCTTCCCCACACTTCTCTGTTCCCGGCTCTTCCATCTCTGTCCAGAGCAAATCCTCTGTCCTGCTTATTTTCTCTTGCAGAGCAGCTCAAGCTTTGCATTCCCATTTAGCATCTTGGCCCAAGGTCTTCTCTCCCTCAACGTATTTTCCCAAACAGTTTTCTTTATAAGAGGAATTCTGCTGTCTGCCCTCAAGATCATAGACCTTTTTAACTTGTCAGTTGCACTGAGCAGCTGGGCCTCCTGGGTCTTGGGTCGCATCCATCTTGGTCCTATAGGAGCGTGTCCTGAGCAACTGCAGCGCTGCCTCCCCCTGCATCCCTTCCCCCTTGTGTTGGAAATTGCATTTGCTTCTTTTGTGGGTTATTTCCTGCCAGTCCCAGCTTGCTGGCTGCAGATGCTGGCAGAAAGTGGCTGCAGATGCTGGCAGAAAGTGGCTGCAGCTGACAACCTTCTTCAAGTTCACATCTAGTAGTTTTCTCTGCTCCTTGGACACCCCCCAGGCAGCTGCTTGCGGCCTGAATTGCAGCCTCTGGTGACCAGGGTCAGTGGCTGTTTCTTGTAACCACAGAGATCTGACGGATACAGAGATTTAGAAGCTCAAGGCCAGAGGCCAAATTTTTACCAAAATTCTCTGGTGGCCCACACCCTTCTGTGTGGTCTGCTATGCAGTAAAGGCTTAACCTTGCCCAAAGAAAGATCGGGCCCTTTATCCTCAGCTCCTGGGCATTCATCTCTAAGCCCTTGGAATATCCTGCCTGGTAGCTGATCTTGGAGTCTTGGGCCACTCTGGGTGGTTCATGCTAATGATGTGATTTATGGTGGGGGTCTTGGGCCACACGGTATTGGCTTGATGTATGAGGTCAGCCGTGTGGATGGTGAGCTGCTTAATTCAGCACTTTGGGAGGCCAAGGCAGAAGTATCACTTGGAGCCAAGAGTTCAAGACCAGCCTGGGCAACACAGGGAAACCTCGACTTTACAAATAATAAAAAGATTAGCCAGACGTGGTGGCACATACCTGTAGTCATAGCTACTCAGGAGGCTGAGGTGGGAGGATGACTTGGCGTTGAGAAGTCAAGGCTGCAATGAACTGTGATCTCACCACTGTACTCTAGTCTGCCAACAGAGCCAGACCCTGTCTCAAGACAAACAAAAAACTCTGGACACAAAGATCTCGAGTGAGCTGCTCTGGTTGGCAGTATTGGCAGTACTTCTTGCATGTTGTCACATGTTGCTGTGAGAATCAGGTGCTGCCTATATGGCTCCACTGGGAGAGGGCAGATGGAAGCCGTCGCCTCATCTGTCGTGGAACGTGTGCTGTGCACCTCCTCCCTTTGCTGATCTTAATCTCTGTCCTTTTACTGTAATAAACTGTAACTGTGAGCCTAACAGCTTTCCTGAGTCTAGTGAGTCCTTCTAGCAAATGAAAGGAGGGTGGTCTTGGAGACCTATGAACTTGCACCTGCCCCCGTCGTTTTGAGGTCTGGCACAGGGAGGGAGGCTGGTCTCTTTGGAGGGGGTCTTCATCCATTGGGGTCGGGTCCAACTCTGGAGGCCCACGTCCTTGCCAGCTCCAGTCTCTCTCCCCTCTCAGTCCCGACGCTGTCACCTTGTGCCCTCTGTCTGTGGATCCTGGGAAGAGCTGTTCTCTCTGCTCACAGCTGAATAGGAGACATGCTAGAAGAGGGTTTTCAAATTTTAGCCTTGGGGCTCTTTTGAACAAAATCAAACATCTTCCCACTGAAGCCCCATGTGCAAAGAACTGCAGGCCCGTCCCCTCCTCTCTCCCTGGAAGCCAGGGCAGTGCTTCTCAAGGTGTGGCCATGGGTGGAATTGAAGGGGCGTGGGGCAGGGGGGAGAGAGCGGATATTAAAATGCAGATTCCCTGGCCCCATCACAGACCAGACTGTCTGGGGCTGCGTCTTAGCAAACTCTACAGGGGATTCCGCCCAGCAGGAAGGGTTGGGAAATGCTGCTCGAGGCACCAGGAGAAAAGACCCAGGCTCCTGAGGCCGGGCCGTGGGCATCTGAAGACGTCTGGTCTGTAGTTCGTGCAGACCCCACACCCTCCTTAGCTCCAACACTGCACTTACCCCATTAGCTGAGGCGCTGGCATGCTCTGTACCTGGGGAAATAGGAGGGGAAGTCGTCAGGAAGGAATAATGCTGGGAAGCATGGGAAGAAGACATGCCTGGGTGTCAGGGCCCTGAAAATGTCAAGTTCTGCCTCTGCTATTACATGGGGGTGCCATTTCCCTTAATGGTATACACGTGTGTCAGACAGGGATGGAGGGTGTGCTTTCTAAGGATTTAGCCATCCAGTTATTCACTTGGTTATGAAATATCCATAAATATCGAGCCTGGCTCTGGAACCAGATGGATGGGTTCAAATTCCATCTCTGTCCTTTAGGAGCTGTGTGAACTTGGACAAGTGACTTAACCTCTCTGTGTTCAGTTTCCTAGACTATTCAACAGGGGTTTATTTAGCAAATAGTAGTATTATTCAGCAAATGGTGAATGTCTACTTTGTGCCAGGTACATTCTAGGTGCTGGGGACACAGCTGTGAACAAAACAGATAAAAATGCCTGCTCTTGGCCAGGCGTGGTGGCTCACACCTATAATTCCAGCACTCTGGGAGGCTGAGGTGGGCGGATTGCTGGAGTCTAGGAGTTTGAGACCAGCTTGGGCAACACAACGAAACTCCATCTCTACTAAAAATATAAAAAATTAGCCAGGCGTGGGAGTGCACGCCTATAATCCCAGCTACTCGAGAGGCTGAGGTGGGAGAATCACCTGAGCCTGGGAGGTTGAGGCTGCAGTGAGCCAAGATCACATCACTGCACTACTCCAGTCTGGGCAACAGAGCAAGATCTTGTCTCAAAACAAAACACAAACAAACAAACAAAAAGCCTGCTCTTGTGCAGTTTATGTTAATAATAACAATAATAGTAATAATAGCAATAACAATCATAGCAAATACATACTCAGTATGTGGCTTACCATGTGCCACCTACTGTGTTAAGTGCTCTACTGTATTATTAGGTACCATCACCCCATTTTACAGATGAGGAAACTGAGTCATACAGCTTAAGCTATTTGCCTATGGTGACATCACTAATCAAGCAGTAGCTTTAGGGCCCAGATACAGGCAGTCTGGCTCTGGAGCTGACACATTGAATCACTCAGCAAACACTTCCTCGAGTGCCTCTTTTATGCCCGGCCCAGTGGTAGGCGGTCCTGGGGACACAGTCATGACAGTGACAGCCTCAGGTCTGCTATCTTGGGGCTCACAGTCCACTGGGGATGACAAACAAGTCCCCCACGGTGATGACCCAGAATGGGCAAGGCTGGAGTGGGAGAGCCTAGTGGATGCTTGGCTCATGCTTGGGGGTCAGGGAGGGCTTCCTGGACGAGGCAGTATCCGCCTGGGTTGTAAGGGAGCAGCTTTGTTTAGTGGTTGAAGGAAAAGCTTGGTAGTCAAAGATCTGGCTTCTTCTCCCCAACAACCATGTCCAGCTGTTTGACCATTGGCAGGTAACTTCATCTCTCAAAGCAAATACTTCCTCCTCTGTAACATGGGGCTCACGGGAGAACCACTTTGCTGGGTGGTTGTGGGCATTCAAGGAGATTGTACAGGCCAGGTGTGGTGGCTCATGCCTGTAATCCCAGCACTTTGGGAGGCTGAGGCGGGTGGATCACAGGAGACCAGGGGTTTGAGACCAGCCTGGCCAACATGGCGAAACGCTGTCTCTCCTAAAAATACAAAAATTGCTGGGCATAGTAGTGCGTGCCTGTAATCCCCGCTCCTTGGGAGGCTGAGGCATGAGAATCGCTTGAACCTGGGAGGTGAAGGCTACAGTGAGCCGAGATCGCACCACTGCACTCCAGCCTGGGCGACAGTGAGAGCCTGTCTCAAAAATAAATAAATAAATACATAAATAATAAAAAAAATTAAAAATTAAAATCGAGGGGGTTATACATACAAAGTGGCATGTAGACAGTGCTCAGCAAAGCATCGTTCCTCTGATTACAGAATGAGCTGGCACACTTCTCCAGAAGGAGCCATGGGAGGGTGCTCCAGGCAGGGGAACGGCCTGTGCAAATCTCTTGAGGTGTGAAAGCATCAGACCCTTTTAGAGCTGAGGATCAGAGGTGCCAGTTCCTGCCACCTCCTCCTAGGAGTCACTCCTGAACAAGGCAGATGGAGTAAGGCTGAGGGCTTAAGCATTATTTCACCCTCCATCCATCTGGCAGGGACTCCCACATCACCTGAATTAAATTCCAAAGTCCCTACCATGGCATTAAGACCCTATACGCTCTTCTCCCACTCTGTAAATAATATTTGTAAATGTAATCAATGAACCAGTGAACAAGGCTCCCTGGCTCTGCACCCTCATCAGTCAAATGGGGGAAACCTCATGGCAGTGGGGTGAGGATTCAGTGAGAGGCACACTGGAAGGACTCAGCACAGAGCCCGTAGTAGGTGCTCAATTACGGCAGCTCTGGTGATGCTCACTCGAGGGACACAGATGACAGTGCCAAAGGACCTCACGGGAACATTTGGACCAATAGAAATAAATCCCGATCCCCAGCAGGATCAGAAAAACCAGGATTCCCAGAACCAGGAAGATGATGGCGTTACGGGACATGCCTGAGTGCTCACTGGGAGGTCCCTCTGAAAGAGAAGGAAACAGGTATTTAGGTAAGGAAACTCTTGGGGTTTATCCCTCATTCTTGAAATGGCATCTTGAATTTCCTTAGGGAGCCACCACTCCACTGCCTCAGTCTATTTAATTCAGGTGGAATGGATCCCACCCTCTGGTGCCCAGAATGGGACTTTGACACAGGCCTGGCCAATCAGAATATTCCATTCTCCCTGGCTGCTATGATTGGTTCATAGGTGGGCTGTGGCCTAAGCTGGGCCAATGAGAGCCAGCCCTGGGACTATGGCTACAGTTACTGAAAGTGGTATGTTTTTTCTCCTGCTGTTGCCATTCTGGTAGAATGTGAGCCTGTCCCTGCCGAGGGCCATCTTGCTTCAGAGCCTGCCTGAGAATAAAGCCAGTATAACGAAAAGCAGAGACAAGAGATGTATAAAATAAAAGTTCCTGGGTTACAAGGTTGGAGCCCCTGGATCTAACCATACCTGAAGGTGAATTTTCAATAAAGTCCTGTTTTGTTTGGTTTTTTTTGCTTAGACTACTTTGTGTTTCTGTCAATTGCAATTGATAGAGGTCTGCCTAATATATTTGGAAAGGCCTGAGTCCCTGAGAGAGAGGGATTCCACATCTATCCCAACCTGTGTGTGTGGAGGGAGTGTATCCAGGCAGCTGAACAACGGTACCAGTGATATAGGTATGGAGTTAACAGGGGAGTAAAGCTGGCCCCACTGGTCCTTTTGTGAGAAGGCTTAGGAGAAGGATGGGAGCCAGAGAGCATTAGACAGGGAACCCTGCCTCGACCTCTTCCTTTGGTCCCTGTTCTTCCCACCCAGGGAGTTCCTCACCTTTGACCTGGACGGTCAGTTCTGCCTGGCGAGCTCCTAGGGCATTGGTGACGTTGCAGATTAAAGTTGTGTTGATTGGTTTGTCCACAGGACGGATCAGGAGCTGGGCGCCCTGGGCCACAGCAAAGGGTGGCAGGGGACCCATGGTCCTGGGAGAGACAGAAAGGTGAGGAGGTGGCCTCTGCTGCAGGTCCGGAGTGACAGTGATTGAGCACGCACTACGTGCCCAGAAACCCTCACGCCCTCTATAGCATAAGCGGAGAGCAACTCTGGAGGCCCCCCAACTCTTCCCTTCCTCTCATGCCCACACCCAACCCATTAGCCAATCATGTCGGCCCCGCCTTAAGATCCATCCAGAATCCCACCTCTCCTCAGGGCTTCCACGGTACCTCCCTGCTCTGGCGCTGTGCATCCCGGCCCCCAGCAGCCGCCTCCACGCTGGGCTCCGTTTCTGCCCTCGCCCCCTCGTCTGTTCCCCACATGGCCACCAGAGGTCGCCTGTGAACCCTAAGTCAGTTCCCATACCTCAGCTCAGTACCCTCTGGGGGCCTAGCCTGGCTCAGAGTTAAACCGAAGTCTTCTGGTGTCACAGGCCCCACGTGATCTGGCCCCTGCTACCTCTGCCCACGTTTTCCATTACTCTCCCCTTTGCTCCCGCCTCTGCATCCACAGTGGCCTCTTTGTTGGTCCTCAAACTCTCCAGTTAGGTGTCCAGGGTGTTTGCTTATGCAGGGACTGATGGATAGAAATGGGTTTGCCCATGCTGTTCCCTCTGCTGGAATGCTTTCCCCCTAGGCACCCGCAGAGCTCACCCTCATCTCCTTCAGGCCTCTGCTGGGATGTCACCTTAGTAACACCTCACTTGGCCACCCTATTTCAACTGTGATGATCACCCTTCCCATCCCCTTCTCTTTAATTTATTTAATTATTATTTTTTTGAGACAGCGTCTCACTCTGTCACCCAGGCTGGAGTGCAGTGGCACCATCTTGACTCACTGCAACCTCCACCTCCTGGGTGCATGGAATCTTCCCACCTCAGCCTCCTGAGTAGCTGGGACTACAGGTGCATGCCACCACACCCGGCCAATTTTTGTATCTTTTTTGGTAGAGATGGGGTTTCGCCATGTTGGCCAGGCTGGTCTTGAACTCCTAGCCTCAAGTGATCCTCCCATCTCTGCCTCCCAAAGTGCTGGGATTACAGGTATGAGTCATGGCGCCCAGTCCCATTCCCTTCTCTGCTTTGTCTTCTCCATGGTATTTATCACCATTGCACACACACTACACACTTTATCTTGCTTCTTGTTTCTTTCACCACTAGAATGGAAGCTCTATATGGGGAGGAAATTTGGTCTGTTTTATCGACCAACGTATGTTGGTTAATTGCACCCGGCACACAGTAAGTAGTCAAGGAACACTGGTTTAATGAACAGAGGTGGAGGAGATGGAAGCATCAGGCTTTGGGTGCTCCGCAGAGCTGGGATGCAAACGCAGCTATCTGGCTCAAGAGCCTGAATTGCGGTGCTTTGAGGCAGGACAGTAAAGGCACCATCACACCAGTTGAAAACCTTTGACCGGCAATTCCTTCCACGGACAACTGCTGACAAGTGACCAGTGGGGATGGACACCACCATGGCATTTGCAGAGTTGAAAATGGAAAATGACATCTGTGTCCTCTACTAGGGACTGGTTAAATAACTGATGACATCCACATATGTTGGAATCCCTTCCCTGCCCTTTGGGAGGCCCAGGTGAGATGACTGCTTGAGTACAGGAGTTCAAGACCAGCCTGGGCAACATAGTGAGATCCTGTCTCTATTCTTTGAATTTTTTTTTTAAAGTGGTGGAATCCCAGCAACACTAAAAAAGGGGCCAGGTTAGCCAGGCGTGGTGGTGTGTGCCTGTAGTCCCAGCTATCTGGGAGGCTGAAGCTGGAGGATCGCTTGAGCCCAGGAATTCAAGGCTGCAGTGAGCTGTGATTGTGCCACGGCACTACAGCCTGAGCAACAGAGTGAGGCCCTGCCTCAAAAAAAAAAAAAAAAAAAAAAAAGCAGGAGAGCTGGGGGTGCTCTGAAATGCATAATATGATTGATGGATGAATAGAGGGACTGAAGGAATCACAGAAACGTGATAAAGCAAGCACAGTAAAATGTTAGCAGGGGAATCCACGTGGTGGAATCTTAAGTGTTCACTGGAAAATTCCTATGATTTTTCTGTATGTTTGACAGTCTTCCTAATACAACGTGGGGGAAAATGGAGTTGTGGATCTATGTGCTTTGACATGGAAAGGTATTCACAAGACAGACGAAAAGGTTCAAAATTATATGTACAGCATAATTCCAGTCTTTGTTTAGAAACAGAGAGAAAAAAGACAGGATGTATAATAAGGGGTCACTGGGTATTTCTGGAGGTGGCTGGGTACACTTGAACTATAGGCACTACTTTCTTCTTTTTGCTCATAACTAAATTGTTTGATATTTCTACAGTGGACACAAGTTATTTTTGTAATAAGGAAAAAGACCTAAGGCTGGGCGAGGTGGCTCACGCCTGTAATCCCAGCACTTTAGGAGGCTGAGGTGGGTTGATTGCTTGAGCCCAGGAGTTGCAGACCAGCCTGGGCAATGTGGCAAAACCCTGTCTCTGCAAAAAAAATACAACAAAATTAGCTGAGTGTGGTGGCGTGTGCCTGTAGTCCCAGCTACTCAGGAGGCTGAGGTGGGAGGATCACCTGAGCCCAGGGAGGTCCAGGCTGCAGTGAGCTATGATCACGCCACTGCACTCCAGCCTCGGCAACAGAGCCCCTTCTTTAAAAAAAAAGGGCGGTTCAGTAAAATTATGTAATTTATGTAAAATTATGTATTATAAAATTATGTATTATCTCTTTGCCTTTTTCTTACCTTGCTCTTGATCTCAGCCTCAGTGTGAATCTGGGGAAATCTTATTGCTGTGAGCCTCAACTTTCTCATCTAGACAATGGGGATATATAGTACTTGCTCCATCCAGAGATAACCAAGTAGGTTACACAAGGTGACGGTGAGGTGGTTACAGTCTAGAGTGGGGGTGTCCAATCTTTTGGCTTCCCCGGGCCACATTGGAAGAAGAAGAACTGTCCTGGGCCATACATAAAATACACTAACACTAACAATAGCTAATGAGCTAAAAAAATTCGCAAAAAAAAAGTCTCATAATGTTTTAAGAAAGTTTACAAATGATGTGGCCTGCAGGTTAGACAAGCTTGGCCAAGAGGCGGAGGACCAGCTTTGGAGCCGAGCGCTGATTCAAGGGCCGCTTCTGCCCTCTCGTGGCTGGTCTTTAACCTGGGCAGGGCAACAGCTGCTGACTGTGCACAGCATGGGGTCACATGGGATTCGGGGGAAGTACCGGGCACAGAGCAGGCACACCCCAAAAAGCAGGTGCATCCACCAGCCAGGATTCAACCACCTGCTAAACGCCTCAACCGCAAAACAGAGATGTCAAAACAGAGATGCCCCCCACTGGGGGCCCGAAGTCAACCTCCTCTTTTTCTCTTTTCTGAATCTCCCTCCTCTCTTAGACCAGGAGTCCAGGCCCCAGTCTGTCCTGCCTCAGACCCAGGGGTCCAGGCTCCCAGCTTCTCCTCCCTCAGACCCAGGGGTCCAGACCCCCCAGCCCCTCCTCCCTCAGACCCAGGGGTCCAGGCCCAGCCCCTCCTCTCTCAGTCCCAGGGGTCCAGACCCCCAGCCCCTCTTCCCTCAGACCCAGGAGTCCGGGCTCCCAGCCTCTCGTCCCTCAGACCCAGGGGTCCGGGCCCCCAGCCCCTTCTCCCTCAGTCCCAGGAGTCCAGGCCCCCAGCCCCTCCTCCCTCAGTGCTAGAAATCCAGACCCCCAGCCCCTCCTCCCTGAGACCCAGGACTCACGTGCTCCAATTATAGCCTGTGGGCTCTGGGTTGCTGCGAGCATCGCAGGTCAGGGTGGCCTCATTCTGGCCAAGGTACCAGTTGTTATCATAGCCAGAGATGGATACCTCTGGGGGGTCTGCAGGAAATGGATACAGAGGTTCAGAGACTGGGAGGCTTTGGGGGGCCTGGGGCTACGCGGGATTCACGACACTGCAGGAAAAGGCCCGGGGATATTTGGAAAACAGCGGGAGCTGGAGAGGCCTAGGAGGAGTCTAGGTAGATGGGGTGCCACAGAGAGCAGAAGCCTAGGAGTCCTTGGTCAGTGGGGACATGGAGAAGGCTTCTGAGGAGCTGCTTTTCTCCACTAGCTTTCCTGGGTAGCCTGGACCAGGCATGTCTTGGGTGTCCTGCAGGAAAATGCCTCCTCCTTTTCTCACTCATAGGCAATGACCACTCACAACACACAGCAGTGTATTCAAGGTTCTGACAAGTCCTGCAGGAAAGAGTCCCAGATAACCCTGCTCTAGGCTGCTGCTCAGCCATCCCATACGTGATTGACAGCGAAGACCTTTCAATGTCCTTGGGGGCAGGCCAATGGGACAGGGTTTTATTCGGGGGCGAGGGGTAGGAGTCAGTGTAGATCTCCTCCTCGCTCAGACCCAGTGACAGTGTTGAGGGACTCCAGTATAGACAGTACCTGAGGGAATCTGTGTACCAATTGCCTGGCGGGGAGTAAGCAGTATAGACAATGGTGGGAGGAACAGTATGAATGATGTCTAGAAGAGCTTGTGTGGATATTACTGATGGGTTCAGTGTAGACAGGGTGTTGGAATATTACAGCAGATGCTATATTGTCGGGCCAGTGTTGAAAATGTGGTGGTGGGGGTGAGATCACCCCCACATATACAGTGTGTCCCCGGGAGCTGACGAAATTAAGACAGGCTCTGTGTATGTGTGTAGACAGTATTTGGATGAGCCAGTGTAGATGATGTGGGAGCTTAGTCTAGATCTGTGCTGTCCAATATGGCACCTACTGGCCACATGTGACTACTGAGCACTCGAAATATAGCCAGGCCGAAATACACACCAGATTTCAAAGGCTTTACTAGGACAAAATAAATGGGAAAGATCTCAAGAATAATTTTAAAAAAACAATTACAAGTTGAAATAATATTTTAGGTATATTGGGTTAAGTAAAGGCAATTATTAAAAATTAATTTTGGCCAGGCACAGTGGCTCATGCCTGTAATCCCAGTACCTTGGGAGGTTGAGGCAGGAGGATCACTTGAGCCCAGGAGTTTGAGACCAGCCTGGGCAACATAGGGAGATCCTGTCTCCAGAAAAAATAAAAATAGGCCGGGTGCGGTGGCTCACGTCTGTAATCCCAGCAATTTGGGAGGCCAAGGTGGGTGGATCACGAGGTCAGGAGTTTGAGACCAGCCTGGCCAACATGGTGAAATCCCGTCTCTACCACAAATACAAAAATTAGCTGGGCACTGTGGCCAGGGCTTGTAATCCCAGCTACTCGGGAGGCTGAGGCAGGAGAATCACTTGAACCCGAGAGGCGGAGGCTGCAGTGAGTTGAGATCGTGCCACTGCACTCTAGCCTGGGTGACAGAGCAAGACTTCATCACAAAACAAAAAAACAAAAACAAAAACAAAAACAAAAATTAGCTAGGCATGGTGTCACACGCCTGTAGTCCCAGCTACTCAGGAGACTGAGGCTGAGGTGGGAGGATCACTTAAGCCCAGGAGGTTGAGGCTGCAGGGAGCTGTGCCACTGCACTCCAGTCTGGGTGACAGAGTAAGACCCCGTCTCAAATAAATAAATAGATAAATAAATAAACAAATAAATTTCATCTCTTTCTTTTCTTGTTTTTGAGATGGAGTTTTGCTCTGCTGCCCAGGCTGGAGTGCAATGGCGTAATCTCGCTCATTGCAATCTCCGCCTCCCAGGTTCAAGTGATTCTCCTGCCTCAGTCTCCCGAGTAGCTGGGATTACAGGCACCCGCCACCGTGCCTGGCTAATTTTTGTATTTTTTAGTGAAGACAGAGTTTCACCACATTGATCAGGCTGGTCTTGAATGCCTGACCTCAGGTGATCCACCTGCCTCGGCCTCCCAAAGTGCTGGGATTACAGGCGTGAGCCACCGTGCCTGGCCTCTTTCTTTTAATTTTTTAATGGGGTGGCCGCTGGAGAATTTAAAATCCTATATGCAGCTTGCATGCTATTTCTGTTAGACAGCACTGGTTAGAGAGTCCTGGGGCTGTCAGTGGAGATAAATGTGTGGGTGTCAATGTCGATGATGCCATGAGGGAGCTGGTGGAGGTAACGCTGTGCAGGAGAATCAGGACAGATGCTGTCAGGGGGCTGTGCAGACAGAACACAAGGAGGCCAGTGTGGTGATGTGGGGTGAGACTGGATAGCCTGTAGATGAGCCAGTGTAGACAATATTGGGCAGAGGAACATGGAGACTACACTGGGGGACTCTGCAGACACTGCTTAGGGGAGCCAGCACAAACAATGTGAGAAGATCAATGCAACTAGCACCCGGCGGAGACAGTTGATCGTGGCTCAGGGGAACTGGTCGATACAATGTGGGAGGTGAATGCAGACAGTTCTCCAGGGAGTCAGTGTAGACAGTGTCAGGGGGCACTTTAGAGAGTGCCTAGGAGAACCAGTGTAGAAAAAGTGGGGTGTTTACATAGACAGTGGTCATAGGAGCCAGTGTAGACACTATGGGAGACAGTGAAAACACCCCACAGCTGGTGGCCAAAATAGGTGGTGTAGACAATGGGGTTAGTGCTGTCTGTGGCCCAGGAGAGCCAGTGTAGACAATGGTAAGGCAGTGTAGAAAATGGACAAGGGGCCAGGTGCAGTGGCTCACGCCTGTAATCTCAGCACTTCGGGAGACTGAGGCGGGAGGATCACTTAAGCCTAGGAGTTTGAGACCAGCCTGGGCAACACAGCAAAACTCTCTCTAGAAAAAAACTGTAAAATTAGCCGGGCATGGTGGCTGCACCTGTAGTCCCAGTTACTTGGGAGGCTGAGGGAGAAGGATTGCTTGAGCCTGGAAGGGTGAGGCTGTAGGAACCATGATCATGCCCCTACACTCCAGCCTGGGTGACAGAGCGAGACCCTGTCCAAAGGAAAAACAAAACAAAACAAAAAGCCGGGCACAGTGGCTCATGCCTATAATTCCAGCATACTTTGGGAGGCTGAGGCAGGCCGATCACCTGAGGTCAGGAGTTCGAAACCAGCCTGGCCAACATGATGAAACCCTGTCTCTACTAAAAATACAAAAATTAGCCAGGTGTGGTGGTGTGCACCTTTAATCCCAGCTATTTGGGAGGCTGAGGTAGGAGAACCACCTGAATTTGGGAGGCAGAGGTTACAGTGAGCCGAGAACATGCCACTGTACTGCAGCCTGGGTAACAGAGTGAGACTCTATTTCAAAAAAAAAAAAAAAAAAAGGAAAGAAAGAAAAGGACAAGGGAGTGGGTGTAGACAATAAGGGAGGCAGTGTTGATCGTGGCCAGAAGAACCAGTGTAGCAATGTGGGGAGGGTCATTGTGGATACTTGCCTGGGGAAATGGGTGTAGGCAGTTTAGGGGCAGTGTAGACTGTGCTCAAGGGAGTCAACAGAGTGTCAGGTATCCGTGCAGACAGCCGCTAGAGGAGCCAGGGCAGACAGTCTGGGTACCAGCATTGACTATGGCCCAAGTAAACTGGTGTAGACAATAGGGACAGTGTTGTTTACGGCCCAGGGGAGCTGGTGCAGACAATGGGGGTGGGTCGTGTAGACAGGAGTCAGGGGAGCCGGTGCAGATGATGGAAGCAATGCCTACAGTGCCTTGGGGAGTCAGTGTAGACAGTGGTGGGGGCAGCCCGGCAGGGGTTCTTGCCATCGCTGACTTGGGCACACTCACAGTACACGGTGAGGTTCACAGTCAGCAGCTGAGGCTTCTCAAAGCTCTCGTGCTCCACCTTGCAGGTCACATTCTTGCCGTCCACCTGGCTTGAGGGCACCAATATCCAGAGGCTGGTGACAGTGACTGTGCCAGACAGGAACCCTGGCACCTGGCTCGTATTGGGCATCCCGCCCAGGTCTGAGTGCCAGGTGATTTGGGCTGGCGGGCGACCCCCTGTGGAGACGCAGCGGGCCATGGGCACTGGCTCTCCAGTGAGCTGGACCTTCTGAACCTCAGCTGTGTTCTGGGGCTTGGCTGGGAAGAGGAACAAAAGCAACAAGTCATTCAATGAACCCCTCCGTGGCAGAAGGGGGCATTCATTAAGGGTACAGGATGGCATGGTTGCTGGGCGGGGTGGCTCACGCCTATAATCCCAGAACTTTGGGGGGCTGAGGTGGGTGGATCACTTGGGGTCAGGAGTTCGAGACCAGCCTGGCCAACATGGAGAAACTGTCTCTATTAAAAATTAGCCAGGGTATGGTGGCACACGCCAGTAATCCCAGTTACTTGGGAGGCTGAGACCAGAGAATTGCTTGAACTCGGGAGGCGGAGGTTGCAGTGAGCTGAGATTGTGTCACTGCTCTCCAGCCTGGGCGACAGAGTGAGATTCTGTCTCAAAAAAAAAAAAAAAAAAAAGATACAGAATGGCATGGTTTAAATCCCAGCTGTGTCCCTGAGCAGCTGTGTGGTCTTGGGCAAGTCTGTGCCTCAGTTTCCTTGTCTGTTGACAGGGGATAGTGATGGGATCACAGGCAATGAGAATATGCAGGTAAAGCTCTTAGAATGGTATATAATAAGCGCTCAATAAATATTGTTTGGTGGAAAGTGCTGGAGCCCAGCAGTGACCAAAATAGCCCTGGTTCTGCCCTCATGGGTACACAGTCCAAGGGGGCAGACGGACTCTTTCCTAGGCAGTGATGACTCGGAGAGGGCAGGGCTGGAAAGGGGAAACCCAAAGGGGGTTATCCTGGTCTGGGGCTCAGTGGAGGAGAGGAAGCCTGAGCCCTGAAGTTGAGAAGGGAAGTGACTTGCCCATGGTCACACAGCTGTAAGCAGCAGAGCTGGGCTTTCACATAAAGTCTGTCTGACTCCAAAACCACCTTGACCATCTCTTAATCATCATCCTGGTGATTCCCAAACCTGGAACTTCCTTCCCCATCATTACCTATATTATTTACCGAAGATTTCTCCTTAACTTGACTCACTGTTTCTGTTTTACCCTCATCCTAAACCATGATACCCAGAATCCCAGGCTTGCTGGAGTGACAACAGCTGCCTTTGGTTGGGTGTTGTGTGCTAGGCACAGTTCCAAGCCCTTGACATTTCATGAGTTTCTCATGCACAGGCTTGGAATAGTTCTTGGCACATAAGCTTAAAAAGAAAAGAAAACAAAACAAAACAAAACAAAACAGAAAACAAGTTGGGCATGGTGGCACATTCCTGTAATTCCAGCTACAGGGAGGGTAGGAACATCCCTTGAGCCCAGGAGTTCCAGGCTGCAGTGAGGACCTACTATGATCACACCACTGCACTCCAGCCTGGGCGACAGAACTAAACTATCTCAAAAAAAAAAAAAGGGTCAGTTTTTTTGAATCCTCATGGTGATCCCTATCCCACAGATGAGGAAACTGAGGCACAGAGACTTCTTGCTCAAGTTCCAAGAGGAAGGCTTCATGGAGCTCATGAAAATGAAAGCATGATCCCCTCCTCTTTTGGGTATCAGGATCCTTGCTTTCCTGTCTGTCTGTTTCAACTTTCTCCTTCTTCACCAGATAAAGTAACAGTAACCGACAGCTCTAAGGGGCTCACATGGGCCAGCGGTGAAGCGCCGCTGCCCTAAGGCTGCAGCTTTGGTCTTGGGCAAGTCTGTGCCTCAGTTTCCTTGTCTGTCAACAGGTGATAATGATGGAATCACAGGCAATTAGAATATGCAGGTAAAGCTCTTAGAATGGCACATAATAAGTGCTCAATAAATATTGTTTGGTGGAAAGTGCTGGGGCCCAGCAGTGATCAAAATAGCCCCGGTTCTGCCCTCATGGGTACACAGTCCAAGGGGGCAGACAGACTCTTTCCTAGGCAGTGATGACACTCAGGACAGCTTTCCAAGGGTGATGCTGTTGTCACCAACCCTTTTACAGATGAGGAAAGGAGGGACCCAGAAGAGGCCACCCAGGCCTCCTCCCTTCCTTCCCAGTCCCCTCCCAGCTCCCTTTCCAATATACCCCTCCTCCTCCCTCAGGGCTTTCTGATCCCAGGCTTGGGGGTCCTTACTCCCTGAGATCTCTGCTTTCTTCCTGCCCTGCAGCCCCTCCCCCCACTCACCTCCCCCCACCCCACCCCACATCATTGCGCTGCCCCCTCCTTTTGTCCCCAGGGGATCTGCTGTGGAGGGAATCTCCCTCCCTCCCAGGCCTCCCCGCTCTTTGCCAACTTCCCTGATCCTCCCACCAAGTCTCTGCCTTTCATTCAGCCTCCCCAAAACCCCCTGCTCACCAAGCACTCGGAGCCAGATATCCACGCTCCTGCTGCCCTGCGGGAACGTGACGAACAGGCAGGTGTAGTTGCCTTCATCCTCTACGCGCAACCCGAACATCCTCAGCGAGGCATTCCGCAGCTCCGCGCCCAGTCTGGCTGCCACGAATTCCAGCCGTTTGGACTCCGAATAGCTGGGGCCCTGCGTTTGGTGGAAGACGGCCATGCTGCCAGATTCACCATGCCGCGCCCAAGTCAGCTGTGACACATGCGTCACCTCCATGTTGGGCACCTGTAGGTAGCAGGGCAGCGTCACGGAGTCGCCCAAGAAGCCGGGCACCTGGGTGGGCGCCTGCACGACGACGTCCCCTGCGGAGAACCGAAGAGAAGGTGTCAGACCCGGGGCGTTCTTGGACTAGATAGGGAGGGGCTCCAGGAGCCCGGGCACCTGGGCGTGCACTTGCACGCTGGGGCCCTGGATCCCCGGTGGACCGTGGGGTGTGGGGGGAGGGGGAACTGGGGCACTAGTTGGGGCCATGGCAGGCGAGGAGGGTAAGGGCGTCTGGGATGGTCTGCAACTTGGCCGTGCTCCTTCACTTTGGCTATTTATTACCGTATTTCTTCTATTATTACCGTATTTCCCTGAATCTCAACATCACTGATTTAAAAAATTGTGGTAAATATTGTGGTTAAAAAACTAAATTTACCATTTAAGTCATTTAAAGCATACAGTTCAGTGGCACTATGTACATTTCACGATATTGTGCAACCGTTACTACTATATAGCGCCAGAACTTTTTCTTTTCTTCTCTTTTTTTTTTGAGACGGAGTCTCTCTCTGTCGCCCAGGGGGAGTGCAGTGGCGCGATCTCTGCTCACTGCAAGCTCTGCCTCTGGGGTTCAAGCGGTTCTCCTGCCTCAGCTTTCCGCGTAGCTGGGATGACAGGCTCCCACCACCACACCTGGCTAATTTTTTGTATTTTTGTTTTTAGCAGAGATGGGGTTTCACCATGTTGGCCAGGCTGGTCTTGAACTCCTGACCTCAAGTGATCCTCCCACTACGGCCTCCCAAAGTGCTGGGATTACAGGTATGAGCCACCGCACCTGGCCCAGAACTTTTTCATCGCACCAGTGTCGTAGGTTTCACATACCATGACTGTTGTCATTTATAGCACAACTTGCCATTAGGGGTTAGAATAACCCCAATGTAGAAAACGGGGAGAAATCTTGGGTCTTCAAATCCATGAAACACTGCATTATTACTCTGGGTGGGTCCTGGTTGGAAGAATGTGGGGGATTGAGGCACGAGAGGAAGGCAATTATAGCCCAGGAGTTTTGGGTCCCTTCAGTTTTCTGCTGTGGAGCTTCAGGCCGGTTACTTAACCTCTCTGATTCTTTTTCCTAGTTTGTAAAATGAGACTTAGAACAGTGGACACTCACAGGGTGCTGACACAGATCAGGGGCTATTCTGGGTGCTTCACATATATCTTGGCATTTAATCCTCAAATAGCCCCCCTGAGGCAAGCACTACTGTTAACATCATTTTACAGACAGGGAAACTGACACAGAGTATAGTGTCCTCCAAGTCATACAGAGGTTTAGTGGCAGAGGTGGGATTTGAACTTGGGCGGTCAGAGACTGACCTCTAATCCCCCAGGTCCTATATAAAAATCTTTCTGCTAAGGGCCCTAGCACATAGTAGGTCCTCAAAATGTGACAGCGCTTATTGACACTAATAAACATGGTCCTATGCATTCTTTTTTATTTTTAAATTTTTATTTAGTTAATTATTTTTGTAGAGATGGGGTCTTGCCATATTGCCCAGGCTGGTTTTGAATTCCTAAGCTCAAGTGATCCTCCCACCACAGCCTCCCAAAGTGTTGGGATTACAGGCATGAGCCACTGTGCTTGGCTGCAACCAGCCTGGGCAGCATAGCGAAACCCTGTCTCTACCAAAAATACAAAAAAAATTAGCCAGGTGAGCACCTATAATCCCAGCTACTCCAGAAGCCACAGTGAGAGGATCGCTTGAGCCTGGGAAGTCGAGTTTGCAATGAGCCGGGATTGTACCACTGCACTCCAGCCTGGGCAACAAAGCAAGACCTTGTCTCTCTCATACACACACACACATACACGCACACACGCACTATATATATATATATATATATATATATATACACAAAACATATAAATAAATAATAAAATATGTTATCTATTTACTCTTTAAATGTATAATAAAATATATATTATTTATTATATAAATAATATATGTTATAAATATATAATATATTTAATATATATTTATTAAGAAATATATTATTATATATTATCAATTATATAATACATAATACATATTATATATTATAATAATATATATAATATATAATATACATATTATATATTATAATAATATATATAATATATAATATACATATTATATATTATAATAATATATATAATATATTATAATATATTATATATTACTATAATATATATTATATATTTTATTATATATTATATATTACTATAATATATATTATATATTTTATTATATATTATATATTACTATAATATATATTATATATTTTTATTATATATTACTATAATATGTAATATATAATAATAATATATAATATATATATTTATCAGGAGTTTGAGACCAGCCTGGCCAACATGGTGAAATCCTGTATCTACTAAAAATACAAAAATATTAGCCAGGCATAGTGGCACATGTCTGTAATCCGAGCTACTCGGGAGGCTGAAGCAGGAGAATCGCTTGAACTCGGGAGGAGGAGGCTGCAGTGAGCCGAGAGCAGGACACTGCACTCCAGCCTGGGTGATGGAGTGAGACTGTCTCAAAAAAAAAAAAAAAAGAATGAAAGAATGAATGAATGGCCAGGCCCCTGGAGTCAGACATTGGGGGTCAGAGGGGTAATGGTGTCAAGTGTCACCCACTGTCCTCCTCCCCAACATCAACCATCCCCTCCGTCCAGACCCAGCCTGCCAGCACGCTGCTGGGTTATGGCCTGGGTATGCTGAGCAGGAACCTGGGTAAGGTAATCCGGCATGCGTCACCATCTGCTGATTTTCCGGGATTCACTTGCCTTTTTGGGAAATTTCCTCACCCAACTCCATCCCCTTTCCGAGGGGCCCAGAGGAGGGTCTTGTGCCCGACCCGTGTTGCTGCCAATTTCGAGGAATTTCTGTACCCAACTCCGACCGCTCTCCGGGTGGCCAAGAGGAGGGTCCTGCCCTCGCACCCTCGCACCGTGTTCCTTCCAACCCCGGGGCAGAGATGGGGGGTGGGTGGCGCCGGGCGGGGCCGTCATCTTCGGGAACCCAAGGGGGCGAGTACCCGGCCTGGATGCGGAGCTGGGAGCCAGACAGGGGCCACCGGACTGCGCGGGGGTCACTCACCGGTTCCTGGGGGTGGCCAGGACAGCACCAGTAGCGCCACCAGCAGCAGCGGCCACGCGGCGGCCATGGCTCGGGCCATGCCAGTTGCTCCGAGCAGCTGGGCCTCCCGCGGGCGTCTCCTCGCTTCCCGGCGCCCGCTCGCTCTGCCGCGGTCGCTGCGAGTCCAGCTCCCGGAGCTCAGGTCCTGGAATCCCCGGGGGGCCGCTCCTCCAGTGCCTGGGGTGGGAAGGGGAATACCCACTTCTTCAAGCTCCAGACAAGTGACTGGAGCGGAGGGGAGTTGGCGGCCAGTCCCGCCAGGCGCGGGGTGGGCCACCCAGGCTGGCCCTCCCCGCGCGCCTGCGCCTGCGCAGGTCTCTCCCGGCGCTCAGTCCCGCTGCAGACGCGCGCTCGCTCCGTCGGTGCCCACTAGAAGAGGCGGCTTCCTGTGTGAGGTCGCCCACATTCCAGGTGAGGAAACGGAGGCACACGGAGAGATTCAGCAACTTACTAACGGCTCGCGGTTGCCGAGTGGCAGAGCTGAGGTTCCAACTCGTGATGGGACAGATCCTGAGCCCACCAGGCTGTCCTTCCACGCAGCCTAAACTTCCCATGGGCTTTGGGGTCAGACAAGACCAGGGCTCATGTTGGGCAAGTGGTTTCTCCTCGAGGGCCCTCAGATTCTTTATCTGAAAAATGGGCATAGTAGGGCGCGGTGGCTCAGGCCTGAATTCCAGCATTTTGGGAGGCTGAGGCAGGAGGACTGTGTGAACCCAGGAGTTAGAGGCTTCAGTGAGCTACCATTGCGCCACTACACTACAGCTTGGGTGGCAGAGCCAGACCTGTCTCAAAAAAAAAAAAAAAAGTTTGGGGGCTGGGGGAGCAAGCGCAGTGGCTGACGCCTGTAATCCCAGCACTTTGGGAGGCCGAGGCAGGAGGATCACCAGAGGTCCAGGAGTTCAAGACCAGCCTGGCCAACATGGCAAAAACCCATCTTTACTAAAAATACAAAAATTAGCCGGCATGGTGGCACATGCCTGTAATCCCAGCTACTGGGGAGGCTAAGACAGGAAAATCACTTGTACCCGGGAGGCAGAGGTTGCAGTGAGCCAAGATCGGGCCTCTGCACTCCAGCCTGGGCGACAGAGTGAGACTCTGTCTCAAAAAGAAAGAAAAAAGGGCATACTAACAGTACTTACCTCACAGCGTGGTCTGTAAAACTTAAACAAGAAACTGCCTAGCTCAATTTCGGGGATATAGTTTGTACTAAATAAAAAGCTGATATACCAACAATAGCAGCAGTGGCAGTGACAATTATTATTATTGTTGCTTTACAGTTGGCATCAAATAATAATGTTCATGAGAATGGTCATTCATTCATTCTTCATTCAGCATATATTTATTGATCCAGCCAGTATCCCAGGCACTGGGTATACAGCAGAAAATAAGACAGACAAAAATCTCTGCCTTTAATGAAGACCGTGTTCTAGTGGAGGGAAACAGACCATAAACAGATTAATACCAGAACTCCATCAGGTCTGGGGAAGATAAGGGTTATGGACCAGCCTGCAGTAGGGAGAGGGGAGGAGGGAGGGGGGAGAGAGAAAGAGAGAGAGAGAAAGAGAGAGAGAGAAAGAGAGAGAGAGAGAGAGAGAAATGAGAGAGAAACAGACACACTCAGAGATAAGGGCTGGGAGACAGAGACAGAGAGATTGAAAGAGATAGAGACACAGCATAGACAGAGGGAGATGAGAGAGAAATGAGAGGTGACAGAGAGACTCAGAGAGCCAAACCCTCAGAGACAGAAACTGAGAGACTTCCTGGTCCCCAGAGGTGGCTGTCCTGGCCAGGGTCTCCATGAGGCCGACTAACAGCTCTGGTCCCTGTGCTCTGACATCTTTATATGTTTTTTATTTTTATTATTATTTTTAGACAGGGTCTCACTATTTCACTGAGGCTGGAGTGAAGTGGCGCCATCATTGCTCATTGCAGCCTCCACCTCCTGGGCTCAACTCCTGCCTCAGCCTCCTGGGTAGTTGGGACCACAGGCATATGTGATCACACCCAGCTAGTTTTTAAATTTGTTGTAGAGATAGGATCTCGCTATGTTGCTCAGGCTGGCCTTGAATTCCTGGCCGCAAGCGATCCTCCCACCTCGGCCTCCCAAAGTGCTAGGATTGCAGGCATGAGCCACTGTGCCTGGCCCCACATTCCTGTATCTTTCTGTAAAATCCTTCCTTTGGCTTTTGGCTGGCTTGGAGGTTTCTGTCCCCGGGTGCCCTCTCTAACTTGGATCTGATGCTTGTGTATGACACATCTGATGCTTGGGGTCTCTCACCCTGGATGTATGTAGGTGAATTTCTAAATGGAAACAGGGAGGCTAGTCTCTTGGAAATCTCTGAATTTTCTGTCAGTGTTGTTTTGCTGAGTTATTTCCAAATTGGGAATCTGTGGCCATCGTTATGTTCCTCCTCTGGATGATGCTGTCACCATCTGGGATTCCCCCACTTCTCTGGGCTCCCAAGCTCCTGTGGCTCCAGGGACTCCTCTCAGGGCCCTGGAGGGTCAGAGGCTGCTCCGAAGAAGCAGGCTTAGAAGAAAAAGCAAGTTTGGTTCGGGGCATATCTGCTTGCTTCTGTGTGTTTCTCTGTCAAGAGTCTAAATTCCTTGAGTGTTTGGACCAGTTGTAGACATTTTCTTCACTCAAGTGCTGAAATATCATCTGATAAAATAGTGAATGGAGATCTCCAATGGGCATCTTATTTTTTGTGTGTGTTTGTTTGTTTTGAGACAGTCTTGCTCTGTCTCCCAAGCTGGAGTGCAATGGCGTGATCTCGGCTCACGGCAGCCTCCGCCTCCCAGGCTTAAGTGATTCTTGCGCCTCAGCCTCCCAAGTAGCTGGAATTACAGGCCTGCACCACCATACCCAGCTAATTTTTTTGTGTTTTTAGTAGAGATGGGGTTTCACCATGTTGGCCAGGCTGGTCTCGAACTCCTGAACTTAGGCGATCCACCCTCCTCAGCCTCCCAAAGTGCTGGGATTACAGGCGTGAGCCACCATGCCCAATGGGCATCCTCTTGATGCTGTGGTTTTCAAACTTCTGGATCCAAAAGGATCATCAGGAAGCTTGTGTAATTAAGCAAATATGAATCCATTTCCTTATTCTTCCCTCTCCCATTAAAAAATAAAATGGTAGCATTATTCTGTATCTTTCTGTTTTTCACTTAGCAACATATCTTGGTGATTTTCCCATAGGCAGATATATTGAGCTACCTCATTCATTCATTCACAAATGTGTACTATTCCATTACATGAATGCACCGTCATTTTTGAAACTGTCTTCAGGGGATGGGCTTTTTGGGTGTTTCCAGCCCTTTTGTACTTGCAAACTGTGCTTCCCTGGGTCATCATGTCCATGGCATTTCCCATGTATGTAACAGTATCTGTCATATTTATTCCCAGAAGCTGATTTGCTGGGCCAAAGGCCATGCACATTTGTGGTCTAGAGGATGTTGCCAAATTGCTGTCCAGCACTCATGCCAGCAAAGTAAGGTCGTGGAGTGGCTTCTACCCAGAAATGCTCACGGCAGTCAGGGAAGGTTTAAAATTTTCAGATATGCCCCCACCCCCTGTATTTCTACAAAAAATTAAAAAATTAGCCAGGTGTGGTGGCACATGCCCATAGTCCCAGCTACTTGGGAGGCTGAGGCTGGAGGATCCCTCAAGCCCAGGAGTTTGAGGCTGCCATGAGCCATGATTGCGCCACGGCCCTCCAGCCTCGGTGACAGAGTAAGACTCTGTCCACCCCAAAAAAGAAAATGTCAGATGTGAAGCTTTGTCCAGAAGGGTGTGATGTAGGAGGCCTGGGAGCAGGGGGAGAAAGAAAGACATGGAGAGGAAGAAAAGGAGATTGGGAACGAGGGCTCCAGAGACTCCCTTGGTTCAAATTCTGCTTCCACTAATTGGTAGCTGGGAATCCTAAGCAACTGGTATCGCTTCTCTTGCCTCTTTTTTCTCATCCATAAAATAGGGGGTCATAAAATCATGTGGTGTTAGTTAAATAAGTTATTTAGAAATAAGTTATATGTGGCTGGGCATGGTGGCTCATGCCTGTAATCCCAGCACTTTGGGAGGCTGAGGTGGGTGGATCATTTTGAAGGGGGCCTGCCCCTCCACACCTCTGAGTATTTCTCACAAGGTGGAGACGAGAGACTGAGAAAAGAAATAAGACACAGAGACAAAGTATAGAGGAAGAAAAGTGGGCCCAGGGGACCGGTGCTCAGCAAGTGAGGACCTGCACCGGCACTGGTCTCTGAGTTCCCTCAGTATTTATTGATCACTATCCCTACTATCTCGGTGAGGGGGATGTGGCAGGACTATAGGGTAATGGTGGGGAGAGGGTCAGCAGGAAAACGTGAGCAAAGGACTCGGTGTCATAGATAAATTTAAGGAAAGGAGCTGTGCCTGGATGTGCACGTAGGCCAGATTTATGTTTGACTTTACACAAATATCTCAGTGCAGTAAAGAGCAGTATTGCTGCCAGTGTGTCTCACCTCCAGCCATAAGGCAGTTTTCTCCTATCTCAGTAAATAGAATGTACGATCGGGTTTTACACCGAGATATTCCATTCCCAGGGACGAGCAGCAGACAGATGCCCTCCTCTTATCTCAACTGCAGAGAGGCCTTCCTCTTTCACTAATCCTCCTCAGCACAGACCTTTTATGGGTGTCGGGCTGGGGGACGGTCAGGTCTTTCCCTTCCCACGAGGCCATCTCTCAGGCTGTCTCAGTGGGGGAAATCTTGGACAATACCCAGGTTTTCTTGGGCAGAGGTCCCTGCTGCCTTCCGCAGTGTATGGTGTCCCTGGTTACTTGAGACTGGAGAATGGCAATGACTTTTACCAAGCATACTGCCTGCAAACACATTTTTACCAAAGCACATCCTGCACAGCCCTAAATCCATTAAACCTTGAGTCAATACAGCACACGTTTCTGCGAGCACAGGGTTGGGGCTAGGGTTACAGATTAACAGCATCTCAAGGCAGAAGAATTTTTCTTAGTACAGATCAAAATGGAGTTTCTTATGTCTTCCTTTTTCTACATAGACACAGTAACAGTCTGATCTCTCTTTCTTTCCCCCACACTTTTGAGGTCAGGAGTTCAAGACCAGCCTGGCCAACATGGTGAAACCCCATCTGTACTAAAAACACAAAAATTAGCTGGGTGGTAGTCGTGCACACCTGTAATCCCAGCTACTTGGGAGGCTGAATCACTTGAGGTGGAGGTTACAGTGAGTCAACGTCATGCCACTGCATTCCAGTCTGGGCAACAGAGTGAGACTCTGTCTCAAAAAAAAAAAAAAAAAAAAAAGAAATATATGGTCTAAAAAGTTATTTATTTAACTGCTCAACAAATGGCAGCAATTATTATTGATGTCTCCTGGGGCTTATGATTCTTTATCTGAAAAATGGGCATAGCATGGCACAGTGGCTCAAACCTGAAATCTCAGCACTTTGGCAGGCTGAAGTGGGAGGACTGTTTGAGAAGAACGCATTAAAGCTCTTTGGTGCGATGCCTGACAATTACCACTATGGAGACGTGGCTGCTCTTTAAACAATTTTTAAAATTTTTTTATTTTTGGCAGAGTCTTGCTCTGCTGCCCAGGCTGAAGTACAGTGGCACAATCTTGGTTCACTGCAACCTCTGCCTCCCGGGTTCAAGCGATTCTCATGCTTCAGCCTCCCAAGTAGCTGGGATTACAGGCCCGCACCACCACGCCTGGCTAATTTTTTTTGCATTTTTAGCAGACAAGGTTTCGCCATGTTGGCCAGGCTGGTCTTGAACTCCTGAGCTCAGCTCAGTCAATCCATCTGCCTCGGCCTCCCAAAGTGCTAGGATTACAGCTGTGAGCCACTGTGCCCGGCCAAAAAAATTTTAATTTTTAAATTTTATTTTTCTTAAACACCAACTCCAACCAGAAGACCTGGCTGCTCTTTTATTTATTTATTTTTTTTTTTGAGACGGAGTCTCGCTCTGTTGCCCAGGCTGCAGTGCAGTGGTAACGATCTTGGCTCACTGCAAGCTCCACCTCCCGGGTTCACGCCATTCTTCTGCCTCAGCCTCCCGAGTAGCTGGGACTACAGGCTCCTGCCACCACGCCAGCTAATTTTTTGTATTTTTAGTAGAGACAGGGTTTCACTGTATTAGCCAGGATGGTCTTGATCTCCTGACCTCGTGATCTGCCTGCCTCACCTCCCAAAGTGCTGGGATTACAGGCGTGAGCCACCGTGCCCGGCCATCTGGCTGCTCTTGTTATTAATGATCTTAATGTTGTTCTCTAGTACAGCTGACCCCTCCCTCACCAGGAAGCCCTCCTGGATCCTCCAGTCTCCATTAAGACTCCCCCCTGGCCTCCCAGAGGAGAGTGATGACTCTGGGTCATCACTGGGAACAGGTCTGTCTCCCTCACTGTACTATAAGCCCTAGGAGGGCAGGCCCAGGGCTGCTGTGGTCACCTCTTGAGGCAGGAGAATAGGGAATTAGGGTAACCAAGGGTAAAGCCATAAGCAAAAGAACGCAGGTACACCTAGTTCTAGGCAAGATTAGGCAGCACACAAGCCACATCCCCATTCGTGTGATAACAAGGGACAGGGTTTCACCATGTTGCCATGCTGGTCTTGAATTCCTGACCTCAGGTGATCTGCCCGCCTTGGCCTCCCAAAATGCTGGGATTACAGGCGTGAGTCACCGTGCCTGGCTAACATCTCTTACTTATTTTATTTTATTTTTGAGATACTGTCACTCCCTCACCCAGGCTGGAGCACAGTGGCCATGATCTCGGCTCACTGAAACCTCTGCCTCCTGGGTTCAAGTGGTTCTCCTGCCTGAGCCTCCCCGGTAGCTGGGATTATAGGCATGTGCCCCCACATCCGGCCAATTTTTGTATTTTTAGTAGAGATGGGGTTTCACTATGTTGGCCAGGCTGGTCTTGAACTCCTGACCTCAGGTGAGCCACCTGCCTTGGCCTCCCAAAGTGGTGGGATTACAGGTGTGAGCCACTGCGCCTGGCCTGCTATGACACATTAATCATGTAAGGTAAATAGTCAGTGGCTGGCACATGGAGAGCCCTCAACAGACAAGACTTGGACTCAGTTCTGCTACTATTATTGCTAAGCAGAATGCCATGTTAGGTGGTTCTGTGTTGGTCACAGAAGCACCGAATTTTCCTCAAATGTGAGATATATCCCCCAGAGGAGTTTCAGCCATACTTGTGTGCCCTGTGCCTGCTATCTGTCAGGATCCTCCTATGGAGAGGTATTAAACTTGAACAGTGCAAAGCTCAAAGGTTGATCTTATTTGCAAACATGCCTCTCCCACTCTCAGGAAGAGAGGCTTCATGAGAAACCATTCAGAAGTGGTGGTGTTTTAATTTATTTTTTGGTTCTTTTTGAAAAAGAGAAAAAAAAAGCAGCATGTGTAAAAGACATATTTTGGGGTCTGGCCAATTTCCAAGGTAAAACCTCCCCCCTGTTTTCTGAGCACTGAGCTCCCACAGACAGGGATGAGCCTCTGATGCTTTGCTTGCACAACGTGTCACGGCGATGGGACCAAGGATGGCACCGAGTCAACCCATCAGATGTTTTCTTCAGGTGTTTCAGAAACAGGGCAAAGGGAGTCTGGTTACGTTGGGTTGTTCCCTTGAACAGAGATGTTGTAGACTTGGAAGCTATGGGATGGGTTTTTTTTTCCACGTGGATAGAGAGGTACAAAGCACCCATCTGCAGAGAGAGACAGAGAACTGTAAATTCCACATGCAGGAGGAAAGGAATTGTAAGGGCTTGGGGTGGGGGTGAAGTGTGTGTGTGGGGGAGGCTGGCAGAGAGAGCTGTGTGTACTTCCACATTTCTTCGTAGATTGCAAAAATGGCCACAGATTTTTCCCTTCTTAGCAAGAGGTGGAGTCAACTTCCCCATCCCTTGAATTTGGCCAGTCATGTAACTTTGGCCAATGAAGTCCTTTCTGTGGCAGAAGTGATGGCATGTCCATTTTGAGCTTGAGACTTAAGGGGCCTTGAAGTTTCTGCTGTTACTCTTGGAATCCTGCCTCTGCCATGTGAACAAGCTTGGGTCACCCTGCTGGAGGATGAGAGACAACATGAAGGAGAGGCCAGTTGTCCCAGCTATGAGGCTATCCTAGTCCAGACAGCCCCTGGGCAATCTGTCAACTGACCCCAGATGCAGGAGCGAGCCTGGCAGAGACCAGAACTACCCAGCTGAGCCCAGCCCAAATGGATGACCCATGAAATTGCAAGCTAAATAAATGGCTGTTGTTTCAAGCCAGTGAATTTTGGGGAGGCAGTTTGTTACAAAGCAAATGCTGACTCACACCTATGGATTGCTGAAAAATTTCATAGGTCCTTATATTAAACTGTTCATTTTATTTTTTCCTGAGCTACGTCAGTGAGTTTCTTTTGCATGGAGCCCAAGAGGTTTATGAAATATAGACTGCTTGTTTAGGCAGCTTCCAGGAATTTGATGAGCTGGGCAGATGGGGTGCTGGCAGTTGGCAAAAGAAGAGAAAAGCAGCTCCTGGAGCTCTCCACAGGAGGGGAACATCTCACAGACAAATGACCAGGGAACCAGGAGGGAGGAAATCACATATGGAGTCTCTGCCCAAGAACTTCTTTCTGTTCCCAAACCTAGGATTTCCTTCACACCCTTCCTGGTATTACCTCTTCAGCTGACAGGAGAGTTGCCCACATTTCAGCTGCATATTCCTATTCTCTGCCTGTCAGTCCTGCAGTGGAGAGAGAGAGAGAGACAGAGAGAGAGAGAGAGAGAGAGAGAGAATAAGAATCATCGACTGAATTATTATCCGTTCCCCAAATTAATATGTAGTCCTAACCCTCCAATGTGACTATATTTGGAGATAGATTCTTCAGACACAGTAAGGTTAAATGAGATCATAAGAGTGGGGTCCTGATCCAATAAGACTGGTATCCTTACAAGAAGAGGAAGAGACCCCAGGGATGAGCATAGAGAAAAGGTCACGTGAGGACACAGTGAGAAGGTGGCCTTCTGCAAGCCATGGAGAGGGGCACTATGGGACATCAAACTGGCTGCCACCTTGATCTTGGACTTCCAGCATCCAGACTGTGAGAAAATAAATTTTTGTTGTTTAAGCCCCCCCGGTCTGTAGCATTTTTGTTACAGCAGCTGGAGCAAACTAATACAATCATCATCATCACATGGCTGAGGTTTATTGAAGGCTCATCACATTCCAGGCACTGTTCACAGCTCATGACTCCCACCATTTTACTTAATCCTCACTCCTGTCTTTGGAGGGAAGTATAATCACATCCCTGGGTTTTTTTTTTTTTTTCTTTTTTCTTTTTTTTGGAGACAGTCTGGTTCTGTTGCCCAGGCTGGAGTACAGTGGCGCTATTTTGGCTTACTGCAACTTCCGCCTCCCAGGTTCAAGAGATTCTGTTGGGAACATGCCCCCCAAAATCTGGCCATAAACTGGCCCCAAAACTGGCCATAAATAGTGGCCTGACCCTCCAGTTCTTTCTTTTCTGGAGGACGCTGGGCGAAAAGTAGTTGCCCCAGTGACTGTTCGAGCAGCGCCTGGAGCGACTGCTGTCAGTTCTATTCAGGCAGGAATCCAGCAAGCTAGAAGAGAAGGTGATTTAGAGGCTTGGCAGTTCCCTGTTAGAATACACCCCCCAGATCAACAGGGAAATATTATAGCTACATTTGAGCCTTTTCCTTGTAAATTACTCAAAGAATTTAAACAAGCTATTCATACTAAAAAAGAATGTAGAAATAATCAGCAAGTCAGCTGCCAGATAGGGGAAAAAAGAAAACTGCTGAGTCTGAAATATGTCCAACATGTAAAAAAGGAAAACACTGGGCTAATCAGTGTCACTCTAAGTTTGATAAAGAAGGGAACCTGATTTCAGGAAATGCCATGAGGGGCCTGTCCTGGGCCCCATTCCAAACTGGGGCATTTCCAGCTCAGGCCATTCCCTCACACCCGTACAATGTCTGTCCCCCGCCACAGCCGGTAGTGCCGCAGTAGATTTATGCTGCACAAAAGCTGTGAGCCTTCTGCCTGGGGAACCCCCGTAAAAGGTCCCAACAGGAGTCTGTGGACCCTTGTTAGCGGGGACAATAGGATTACTTTTAGGAAGGTCTAGTTTAAGTTTAAAAGGGGTACAAACACATACAGGAGTCATTGATTCAGATTACAATGAGGAAATTCAAATTGTTACATCTACTTCTGTTCCCTGGAAAGCAGAGCCAGGAGAGCGCACAGCACAGCTCCTGATTGTGCCGTATGTGGGAATGGGGAAAAGTGAAATTAAATGAACAGGAGGATTTGGAAGCACAAAGAAACAAGGCAAAGCAGCTTATTGGGTAAATCAAATTACTGATAAACATTCCACCTGTGAAATAACTATTCAGGGAAAGAAATTTAAAGGCTTGGCAGATACAGGAGCGGACATTTCAATCATTTCTCTACAGCACTGGTCGTCCACGTGGCCAATTCAACCCACTCAATTTAACATAGTTGGAGTTGGTAAAGCCCCTGAAGTATATCAAAGTAGCTATATTTTGCATTTTGAAGGGCCAGATGGACAACTTGGGACTATTCAACCAATTATAACTTCTGTATCTATAACTTTGTGGGGGAAAGATTTATTACAACAATGGGGAGCACAAGTTCTAACTCCAGAACAATTATATATCCTTCAAAATCAACATATGATGCATGAAATGGGGCATGTCCCTAGCATGAGACTAGAAAAAAATTTGCAAGGTTTGAAAGAACCGCTTCAAGCGGAAAGACAAAGTTCCCGCCAAAGATTAGAATATCATTTTTGATGGCAGCCATTGTTAAGCTTCCAGAACCTATACCTTTAAAATGTTTAGAACAGTGGCCGCTGAGTAAAGAGAAACTGGAGGCTTCAGAGGACTTAAAACTGGCCTTTAATAGTCATAGATTTAAAAGACTGTTTCTTTACTATCCCCTTAGCTGAGCAAGACTGTGAACGGTTTGCATTTACATACTGTAGCCTGCTAAGCATTTTCATTGTTTTACAGATGGGTCTAGTAATAGTACAGCTTCTTATTCTGGCTTGAAAGGTAAAGTTTTCCAGACGCCCTATACTTCAGCTCAGAAAGCGGAGCTTGTAGGTGTAATTGAGGTATTGACTGCTTTTGATATGCCTATTAATATGATTTCTGATTCTTCATACGTGGTTCATTCCACACAGTTAATTGAAAATGCTCAGTTATGATTTCATACAGATGAACAACTGATGACAAAAACAAAAAAGAGGGAGAAACAGGGATTATGGGACAGCCCATACACAATTGAGTCTAGCATTATTAACTTTAAATTTTTTGAGCCTGCCCAAAGGCCAGATGTTATCAGCAGCTGAACAGCATCTACAGAAACCAGCTGCAAAGACAGAAGCAGAACAATTGGTTTGGTGGAGAGATCCAATAACAAAAAGTTGGGAAGTAGGTAAAATAATAACTTGGGGTGTTGGTTATGCTTGTGTTTCTCCAGGCCAACATGAACAGCTGATTTGGATACCATCAAGACACCTGAAATTTTAGCATGAGCCAGATGCCAAGGAAGAGACTCCGGGAGGATCCTGAGGACCCCCCGGTTGCAGCCATGTCGAGGCTGATGCTGAGGAGGACCCCAACTGTCACGAGAAACACCCGTCGAACACAGCCACCCAGCTGGAGACAGATCAAGAAGCTGTCACAGATGATGGAAGAAAACCTGAGGAAAGCGGGACAACCACTCAGAATGAGTAATGGTAGCTATGATAGTGGTAATCACCATTGCCGTGAGTATTCCTTAAAGAAGGGCTGACACAGAGAACAATTATACTTATTAGGCATATTCATCAATCTTGGCTGGCAATAATGCCTGGATGTAATCACTCTATGACACAGTTACATGTGCTTTCTGATCTCAGTATTTACCATAACAAATCTCCTCCTATAATTGAGGCATACTGCCCTCAAAAACCTATCTGTAACAAAATTGAACCTGGCCAGAAAAAATGAACATACTTGTTTAGGAAGATTGCATTGCAGAACAGGCAGAGGTGCTGCACAACGATTCCTATGGAATCATTATTAATTGGTCCCCTAAAGGGATGTTTAGCTTAAATTGCACCAACAGGCCCCCCCGCAAAACCTGGCCATAAACTGGCCCCGAAACTGACCATGAACAATATCTCTGTGGCACTGTGACATGTTCATGATGGCCATGACGCCCACGCTGGAAGGTTGTGGGTTTACTGGAATGAGGGCAAGGAACACCTTGCCCACCCAGGGCGGAAAACCACTTAAAGGCGTTTTTAAACCACAAACAACCGCATGAGTGATCTGTGCCTTAAGGACATGCTCCTGCTGCAGATAAGTAGCCATACCCATGCCTTTATTTCAGCCCATCCCTTTGCTTCCCATAAGGGATACTTTTAGTTAATCTAAAATCTATAGAAACAATGCTAATGTTAATAAATACGTGGGTAAATCTCTGTTTGAGGCTCTCAGCTCTGAAGGCTGTGAGACCCCTGATTTCCCACTTCACACTTCTATATTTCTGTGTCTTTAATTCCTCTAGCACCGCTGGGTTAGAGTTTCCCTGACTGAGCTGGTCTTGGCATGATTCTCCTGCCTCAGCCTCCCAAATAGCTGGGATTACAGGCATGCACCACCATGCCTTGTTAATTTTTGTGTTTTTAGTAGAGATGGGGTTTTACCATGTTAGCCAGGCTGGTCTCGAACTCCTAGCTTCAAGAGATCTTCCTGCCTCGGCCTCCCAAAGTGCTGGGATTACAGGCATGAGCCACTGTGCCCAGCCTGTTTTTAATTTTTATTTTCAATTAAAAAAATGTTTATTGAGACAGAGTCTCACTCTGTCACCCAGGCTGGAGTGCAGTAGAGCAATAATGGCTCACTGCCACCTCGAACTCCCAGACTCAAACGATCCTCCCACCTTAGCCTTTCGAGTAGCTGGAACCACAAGCATGTGTTATCATGCCCAGTGAATTTTTCTTTTCCTTTTTTTTTTTTTGTAGAGACATGAGTCTCGCTATGCTGCCCAGGCTGGTCTCAAACTCCTGGACTCAAGCAATCCTCCTGCCTCAGCCTCCCAAAGTGCTGGGATTACAATTGTGAGCACCACACACTGCCATATTCCTGTTTTACAGATGAGCCACTGAGGGGTTAAAGGGCTCCCCCAAATTCCACAAGGTCATGTACAGCAGAGCTGAGATGTGAATATAAGTAGCCTGGCTTCAGGTCCCTCTCCTCAACTACAAACAATGGGGATCTCTCCTGGCCCTTGGTGGGCATGGTAGGCATGCATGGGGTTCCTGCCTAGCCCATATACACTTCTTTTCTGAGAAATGTTCCTCCTCACTGGGAGGGTCAAGGCAGCCATGTCCATGACACGTGGCCTCATCTGCAAGGTCACAGCTGATTGGATGAGGCTAGCTCCTTCCAGCTGATGCCCCCATTGGCCTTGTCCCAGGAGTCTGTTGCTCACAACTAAATAGGTCTTGGCCACAAGGGCGGGGAAGACAGAAAGTGACCCTTCTTGCCTGCTCATGAGGGCAGGGACTTGAGGTGCCTGGGTGAGGATTTTCATGCCAGCCTGACTCCTCACCTTTCCCCTCTGTAGACTTAGATCAGGGTTTGATTCAGGGCCAGCCATTCATTCGCTGTGTGTCCTTGGGCAAGTTAATGAGCTTTTCTGAGCGTTAGCTCTACTCACTTGGGAAATGACGACAATAATAGCACCTAGCCCTGAGAGTTGGGGCTTTCAGCACCTGGTACGTGCTGAGGGGCCAGGACATCGGAGCTGCCACAATGATGAAGGCAATCTGGGTGGCCGAGGCTGCAGGCTGGCCCTCCCTTGCCCCTAGATGGTTGTGTGCAGGACTCATGGATGGAGACCTGGCCCCAGTTCCTCCCAGCTGGTCCACAATGTCTCCCTAAACCACTACCACCTACAGATTTCTCTTCCTCACAACATAGATTACAGAGGTCTGTACAGTTACTGATGGTGGAAAAGGCAGTGTAGACAGGAGCTAGAACAAAGTGGCAGGCAGGAGTCTAGGCTTGAATCCTTTCTCTCCAGCTGTGGGCCCTGGGCAGATCACTACTCTCTGGACTGAAATGAGATCTTCACCCCTACCACAGCCCCCTCACCTCCCCAGCTCTTATGGAGATTAAATAGAGTAATGCTTGGTGGCTTATGCTTGTAATCCCAGCACTTTGCAAGGCAGGCAGATCATGAGGTCAAGAGATCAAGACCATCCTGGCCAACATGGTGAAACTCCGTCTCTACTAAAAATACAAAAATTGGCTGGGCATGGTGGTGCCCGCCTGTAGTCCCAGCTACTTGGGAGGCTGAGGCAGGAGAATCACTTCAACCCAGAAGGTGGAGGTTGCAGTGAGCCGAGATTGCACCACTGCACTCCAGCCTGGCAATGGAGTGAGACCCCGTCTCAAAAAAAAAAAAAAAAAAAAGAAAGCATATAATAGGTGCTCAATACATGGTAAGATCAAGTTTTTTAAAAACATTATTTTTTTAATTTTTAGAAATAGGGTCTTGCTCTGTCAAGCAGGCTGGAGTGTGGTGGCACGATCATCGCTCGCTGCAGCCTCAAATTCCTGGGCTCAAGCAATCCTCCCACCTCAGCTTCCCAAGTGGTGGGACTATAGGTACGTGCTACCATACTCAGCTAATTAAAAAAAAAAAACTTTAGTTTTGGTAGAGACGGGGTCTCACTATGTTGCCCAGGCCGGTCTCAAACTCCTAGGCTCAAGTGATCCTCCTGCCTTGGCCTTCCAAAGTGCTAGGATTACAGATGTGGGCCACCATGCCTTGCTGATGGTAAGATATTAATAGCGTTGTAGTACTAGCCAACATATAGGATCAAATATAAGTCAGATGCCATCCTTCCCTTGCACTAGACCCTCCATGGCTTCCATCTCACTCAGAGCAAAAGCCAAGTGCTCAGAGAGCCTACAAGGCCTTATGCAAGGGTCTAGCTGCCTTCCCCTGCCTCCCTACTCCCTCTCTGACCCACATGTTACTTCTCTGCCCATTCTTCACACCACTCTGGCCACCCTGGGCTCCTCACTATTTCCTGAACATGCCAGGCAATCCTGCCTCAGGGCCTTTGCACTTGCTGTTCCCTCTGCTGGATATGCCATTCCTTCAGACCCTCACGTGGCTCCCCACTCCCTCCCTTTGTTCAAATGTCACTGTCCCAGGGAGGCCTTCCCTGACTCGTTAAATGCCACCCCACTCCACAATCTTTGTCCTGCTTCCCAGCCTCACTCCTCTCCTTAGCGCTCATCCAACATACTATCTTTTTTAAAAGATTTATTATTATTACTTTTTTGACTCAGGGTCTCACTCTGTGTCCAGTGTGGAGTGCAGTGGCATGATCCTAGCTCACTGCAGTCTAGACTTCCTTGGGCTCAGGTGATCCTCCCATCTCAGCCTCCTGAGTAGCTGGGACTATAAGTGCATGCCACCATGCCTGGCTAATTTTTATATTTTGAGAGAGATGACAAGATGTCTTGTCATGTTGCTCAGGCTGGTTTCAAACTCCTGGGCTCGAGTGATCTACCCACCTCGGCCTCCCAAAGTGCTGGGATTACAGGTGTGAGCCACTACACCTGGCCCATCCAATATACTATCTATATTTCACTCATTCATTGTGTTTCTTGATGGTGTCCCCGACCAGGATGCAAGTTCCATGAGGGCAGGGTCTTTCTGCTGTTTCTTCCCTCGGTATCCTCAGTGCCTGGCACAGAGCGGTCACTGCAGATATGTGTAGAGAGGACGAACATAGTACTTACCACATTCCAGGCACTGCTTTAAGTTTCTTAGAAATATTCACTCACTGGACGGGTGCAGTGGCTCATGCCTGTAATCCCAAAACTTTGGGAAGCTGAGGTAGGCAGATCATGAGGTCAGGAGTTTGAGATCAGCCTGACCAACATGGCGAAACCCTGTCTCTGCTAAATATACAAAAATTAGCCAGGCGTGGTGGTATGCACCTGTAATCCCAGCTACTCAGGAGGCTGAGGCAGGAGAACTGCTTGAACCTGGCAAGCAGAGGTTGCAGTGAGCCGAGATCGCACCACTGCACTCCGGCCTGGGCAACAGAACAAGACTCCATCTCAAAAAAAAAAAAAAAGAAAAAGAAAAATTCACTCACAACAACCCAACCCAACAACCCAGAGAGTCAGATGCTATTATTATCATCCCCATTTTGCAGATGGGCAAACTGAGGCACAGAGAAGGGGAGTGGCTTGCCCACAGCCTCACTGCTAGTAAGTTACAGAGCTGGGACTTGAAGCCAGACAGCCCAGCTCTAGTGTCCTCTTCTATCTCTTTGTTGCTGTGATCCCATTTTGGAAACCAGTGAGTCAGATGGGCTCCTCAGGAGTCGCTATCACCCTCCCTGATGGGGGTGTTGGTTTCATCTCTGTTTCCTTGTTGAGCCAGCTCTGTGCCCCATGGGGGCTGAGTGGATGTTGCCCAGTGGACGGGGGTGAGGGATAGAGGTACCTTAGGCTCTGGATGATGATGAAACACATGCCTGCAATCAGTGCCCCGGCTCCCAGGATCCCAGCCGCAAGGAGCCCGATGGCAGAGCCTCCTGACAGGGACAGAGTGGGGTCTGGCTCCATGGGCTCTGCTTCTGTGGGCTGCATGATGGGTTCTGGGGACCAAGGAGGGGTGAGATTGGAGGAGCCATCTGCCCGCCCTCCCTGTGCACCCCTCCCTCCTGCCATTCCCCCTCCCAAGTGTCTCTTCAATCCATCCTTCTCTTCCATCCTCCAGGTCTCTGGCCCCCTCTCCTCCCTGCTCTCCTGCCCTAGTCCAGCACCCATCCACCTTCCTACCACATGGAAGCCAGGAGGATCTTTCTAAAGCTCACACCTGACCCTGTTCCTCCCCTGCTCAGAACCCTGCTGTGGCTTCCCAGCACCCTGGGGCAGAAGTCAGTTTCTCACCTTAGCCTTCGAGGCCCTGCCACCTGGCCAGCCTCATCTCTCTCATTGCCCTGCCTTTATAGCCATGCAACCCTGGACTCCACTCAATTTTCCAAGCTCATCCCTTTCTTTCTCTCTTGCCTCCAGGCCTGTCCATGCTGCACTGTCTCTCTGGAATGCCATCTCTCTCTCTTGGCTTGCATAATTCCTTTTTTTTTTTTTTTTGAGACAGAGTCTCCCTCTGTCACCAGGCTGGAGTGCAGTGGCACAATCTTAGCTCACTACAACCTCCACCTCCTGGGTTCCAGTAATTCTTGTGTCTCAGCCTCCCTGGTAGCTGGGATTACAGGCACATGCCACCATTCCCAGCTAAATTTTGTATTTTTAGTAGAGATGGGGTTTCACCATCTTCTTCACCATCTACTTCACCATGTTGGCCAGCGTGGTCTCAAACTCCTAGCCTCAAGTGACCCACCCGCCTCAACCTCCCAAAGTGCTGAGATTACAGGAATGAGCCACTGTACCTGGCCAGCTAAGCATAATTCTCAGCTCAGGTGTCCCTTCTTCCAGGAAGCCCTCCTTAACTCCTAGGCTGAGTCTCATAGCTCTCTGGGCTCCCCCATCCCAGCCCTGCCCACTCTGGTGATCACTGTCTGTGGACACTGGACTGTAAGTCTTGTGAAGGCAGGGCTGCAGCTGTCTTGGTCACCAGAGTGTTCCCAGCTGTGTGGGCTGGCCACACAGCAAGTGCTCATAAACATTTCCTGGGCAGTTGATGAATGAGCAAAGGAGGTCTTGGAAGTATTGTCCTTCTCACTGAATATCAGGGTCACTAGGTGATATAAGATTTACATTTTTTCCCCCAGTGCATCAGCCCTGAAGCTCCCACTGGACCCTGGCCAGGGAGGTGAGGTGGTTCTCTGGGACCCAGCCAAGCTGAGATTCCCATCACGCATTCCATTTCCATGTCCCAGCTCTGAACCTTGACTCATGCATTCTTTCCTACCCCAAATACCCTCCCTCTCTTCTCTCCTGGCCAGTTCCTCTGCATACCTCTAGTTCACTCCAAGCCATGGTAGTCCATTTTCATACTGCTATGAAGAAATACCTGAGACTGGGTACTTTATTAAAAAAAAGGAGGTTTAATGGACTCCCAGTTCCACATGGCTGGGGAGGCCTCACAATCATGGCAGAAGGTGAAGGAGGAGCAAGGCATGTCTTACATGGCGGCAGGCAAGAGAATGTGTGCAGGGGAACTGCCTTTTGTAAAACCATCAGAACTCGTGAGACTTATTGACTATCACGAGAACAGCATGGGAAAAACTTGACCCCATGATTCAGTTACCTCCTACCGGGTCCCTCTCATGACACATGGGGATTATGAGAGCTACAATTCAGGATGAGATTTGGGTGGGGACACAGCCAAACCATATCACCATGTGTCCCTCCATGAATAACACACTAAAAACAATATTCACCATAACAGCTGCTATTCAAGGCACCTGCTGCCTGACAGTTGTTCTGCCAAACTCAGTCACCCCTTGTTTTCGTTCCTTATAACAACCCTGAAGAGGTATATAGGATTACCTCCATTATACACATGAGGAAACTGGGGCTCAGAGAGGGGAAGTCACTTGCGCTAAGTTACCCAGCCAGGAAGGCACGGGAACAGGGACTGAACTGAGTTTTGACCAGGTCCCAAACCACTTCTCTGATCTCAACAACTTGCTGTCATTTTGATTGCCACCTAGGGCTCCATATACCGACTGTATATGGTAATAGCTACAATTAATAATGACAATGCTAATTGCAACAGTGTTATTGGCTCACGGTTATTGAGCACTCATTAGTGTTCGATAGTGCTAGACATTATTGTTTTAAGCTATTCACCGGCTTATCTCATTGAATGCTCACAACTACACACTGGGGTAGGCACTATTATCTTCCCAGTGTTATAGATGAGGAAACTGAGGCACAGAGAAGTCAAGGCACTGGCTCAGAGTCACACAGCCAGGGATTCAAATTCCAAAGCCATTGCTTTGAACCACTCCTTAGATGATGACAATGGTGATTTTTTTTTTGAGACAGTCATCCTCTGTCACTCAGGCTGGTGTGCAGTGGTGCGATTACAGCTCACTGTAGCCTTAAACTCCTGGGCTCAAGTGATCCTCCCATTGCAGCTGGGACTACAGGTGGCATTACCATGCCTGATTAAATTTTTAGTTTTTTTTTTTTTTTTTTTTTTTGGTAGAGACAGGGTCTCACTATGTTGTCCAGGTTGGTCTCTAACTCCTGGGCTCAAGTGATCCTCCTGCCTCAGCCTCCCAAAGTGCTGGGGTTACAGGTGTGAGCCACTGCACCTGGCCCACTCCTTAGATTTTGATCTGCATTTTTTGTAGGTATGTGCTGAGACTCAGAGAGGCAAAGAGGCTTCCCATGTTCATGTAACAAGCAAATGGTTGGAGCCAAGGACCCAGGTAGCCTGGTCCAGATCCTAAGCTGGGCTTTCATCATAGTTAACCTCTTTGAGCCTCAGCCTGTCATCTGAAAATGGCCTAATTGGCTGGGCGAGGTGGCTCATGTCTGTAATCCCAGTAGTTTGGGAGGCCAAGGTGGGTGGATCACTCGAGCCCAGGAGTTCGAGACCAGCCTGGACAACACAGTGAAACCCCGTCTCTCCTAAAAATACAAAAATAGGCCAGATGTGGTGGTGCATGCCTGTAATCCCAGCTACTCAGGAGGCTGAGGCATGAGAATCACTTGAACCTGGGAGGCAGAGGTTGCAGTGAGTTGAGATCACAGCACTGTACTCCAGCCTGGGTGACCGAGCAAGACTCTATCAAAAAAAAAAAAAAGAAGAAGAAGAAGTAGAAGAAGGAGAAGGAGAAGAAGAAGGAAGAAGAAGGAGGAGGAGGAGGAGGAAAAGAAGGAGAAGAAAGAAAAAGAAGAAGAAAGAAAAGAAGAAGAAGAGGAAAGAAGAAAGAAGAAGAAAGTGGCCTAATAATCCACAGTCCGCCAGGTGGATGGAACATTGGAATGACATTTTGCCTATAAAGGGTCTCACAGGGGACTGCTCATAGTAGGTGGCTTAATGGAATCATAGAGGCTGCCACAGGCTGGAGAGGGTGCAGGGCTCTTGGGTGGGGTGGGGTGGGGTGGAATGGGGGACTCACTTGGCAGCGAGATGGTTACAGGCTCAGAGACCAGCTGTTTCTTGCTGTTTGTGGCTATGCACATGTAGGTGCCCAGCTGCTCACAGGACAACCGTCGGATGAACAGCTTCTCTCCCATCCCACAGGGCACCCCACTGAAGGTCCAGCTCAGCACAGGCTCAGGGTCCATTGTCACCACCCACTGCAGGATCACAGAATAGTTGAGCTCACTCTGGATGACTCCCCGGATAGCAGCTGGGAATGTCTTCAGTGGCATTAGTTGGAGGCTGTCTGTGCAAACAGGGAACAAGGCCACAAGAGTGGAGTCCACTCAGAAAAGCTGGGCATTTCTTCTGCCCACCATAGAGACATCCATTCTTTCATGTGTTCATTCATTCATTAATTCACCCATGAATGTGTTTGAAGAGCCTGGTCTGTGCCCAGTGCCCCCAGTCCAACCCCTTGCCCTTCCCACTTCCAACGGCCAGCACCTGCATCCCGTTGCCTGAGGACTTTCACTGGTGGCCAAAGCCTACTCTGCCCATGGAGGCAGCAGGCTGGAAGTGCTGGGGAATGAGCACATCAGGGAGCAGCCCTCCACAATGCCAGGACACGTTGGTATATAAATTCCCCAGCTCCCTCTCTGCTATGTGGGATAACTCTGCAGAGTCATTCCACACCAGGGCCTGAGTTCCCCAATGGGACTGTGCTCCAGTTGCCCATGGTAACCAGCTTGGGAACACAGCTTTTATTATTTCCTGCCTTCTCTGCCTAACTTCCCCACTCTCGAGTTCCTTGCACCTCCCAAACAGACTATCTGTCCTTGAATCCTCGCCTCTGGATCTGGGTGAACCAAATCTAGGACTCTAAGGCTCTAGGACTCGGGGGCTCAGCAGTGATTAAACAGACGCTGTTGCTGCCCTCATGAAACTTACGATTGAGTGAGGAGAGGGTCAACAAACTGACAAGTATATATAGTGGTGGTAAGGGCTGTGAGGAAAACTGCACAGGGCTGTGGGGTTGGACTGGGGGTGGGGTAAACCCGTTTCAGGTAAGGTGGGTCAAGGAGGACCTCTTTGGGGAGGTTATGTTTGAGCAGAGTCCTGAAGAAGCAGAGGAATAAGCCATGTGGATTCCTAAGAAAAAAATGTTCCAGGCAGAGGGAACACCAAGTAAAAGGCCCTGAGATGGGTGTGAGCCAAGGTGGGCATAGAGAGGAGGGAAAGGGAGAGAGGGCTGGGAGAAGAAGTCAGAGAGATAATGGGAGCAGATCATGCTGGGGTTTCCTGGGCCAGGGTGAGGACTCTGATTTTGACTCTGAGTGCAGTAGGACCCATGGGAGGACTGCCCAGAGGAGGGACGTGAGCTGGCTTAGGTTTGAACAGGCTCACTCTGGCTATCATGTGAGAACTTGACTTTAAGTTTGGAGGAGTGGAAACAGCCCAGCGAGGAGGTGACCCAAGAGGTCCCCACTTCTTGTCTGCATTTTTCAGGTGAAAGGCTCTGAGGTTTGGGGCTCATTAGGGCCAGGCTTCGTGGTCTAGTAGGGACACATCTGGGATTTGAACTCCCAGACTGTGCTGGGAACTTCCACTTAGAGCTGATTTCTGATTTCAATGCAATGTTATAAGTGAAAAGAACTTTAGCACAACCAGAGACCTCATGAAAGGCTTCCTGGAGGAGGTGTCTGAGTTAAGCCTTGAAGGAGGAGAAAGAGCCCACTAGGTGTACAAACAAGAGGCAATATAACAGCCACCTGGATTGGGCTCTTTTTTTTTTTTTTTTCTTGAAACGGAGTTTTGCTTTTTCATCCAGGCTGGAGCTTGGCTCACTGCAACCTCTGCCCCCTGGGTTCAAGCAATTCTCCTGCCTCTGCCTCTCTATAGCTGGATTATAGGCACCCGCCACCACATCCGGCTAATTTTAGTATTTTTAGTGGAGATGGGGTTTCACCATGTTGGCCAGGCTGGTCTCAAACTCCTGACCTCAGGTGATCCACCCGCCTCGGCCTCCCAAAGTGCTGGGATTACAAGCATGAACCACCATACCCGGCCATGGATTGGGCTCTTACTGTGAGCCAAGCACACGTGTTAATCCATGGCTTGTTATACTGCATGCGAGACCCATGCCCAGGTGTCTAAATCATTAGTAGACTGTGATCAACATTCAAAACATGAAAAGAAATATTATAGAAAACATCAGAGAGCATTACTCATAGTAATAACTGTTACTACACTTGCCTTTTGGTTAGTTGTGGGATATACTGGACATGATGTGAAAAGCATTTCTCATGAAAGCCACTGGATTTATTCATTTAATCCTCACAACAATCCTATGAAGTAATTATTATTATTCCTTTTTTTTTTTGAGACAGGGTCTTGTTCTGTCACTCAGGCTGGAGTGTAGTGGTGCAATCATAGCTTACTGCAACCTCCACCTCCCGGGCTCAAAGTCTCCTCCAGAGTAGTTGGGATTACAGGCGTGCGCCACTACATCCAGCTATTTTTTGTAGAGATGGGGTCTCACCATGTTGCCCAGGCTGGTCTTGAACTCCCGGGCTCAAGTGATCCACCCACCTTGTCCTCCCAAAGTGCTGGGGTTAAAGGTGTAAGCCACCGTGCCGGCCTTATTCCCATTTTGATGAGAAAAGGAAGGCTCAAAGAAGTCAAGTCCTTTGAAACAAACAGGGCTATTTTTTTTTTTTTTTTTTTGAGACAGGGTCTTGCTGTGTCCCCCAGGCTGGAGTGCAGTGGCAAGGTTACAGCTCACTGCAGCCTCAACCTCCCGGGCTCAAGGGATCCTTCCATCTCAGCCTCCTGAGTAGCTGGGACTATGGGCGCACATCACCAGGCTTGGCTAATTTTTAAATTCTTTGTTGAGATGGGCGTCTCATCATGTTGCCCAGGCTGGTCTCGAACTTCTGAGCTCAAGCAATCCTCTCACCTCGGCCTCCCAAACTGCTGGGATTACAGGTGTGAGCCATAGCACCTGGCCAGGGCTAACATTTACTTGCTCTTTGTCAGGCATTGTTGTAGGCATTTAGCACTGATTAACTCACTTACTCCTCACAGTCACCCTATGAGGTAGGTTCCACTATGACCTCATTGCACAGATGGGGAAACTGAAGTGCAAAACAGAAAGTTACTTTTTTGCAGGGACTCAGGGGCATAACAGATGCCAGAGGGATTTGATCCAGGGAGTTCTGGCCACACAGCCTGCACCACCGAGCGTGAGTTCCTGCAACCTCTCTCTTTAGAAAGGGCCCTTCGGACTGAGAATGGCATAGGCGAAGGTGTGGAGCCAGGCCTTTAGAAGAATTAGCCTTCAGGCCGGGCCCGGTGGCTCACGCCTGTAATCCCAGCACTTTGGGAGGCCAAGGCAGGTGGATAACCTGAGGTCAGGAATTTGAGACCAGCCTGGCCAACATGGTGAAACCCTGTCTCTACTAAAAATATAAAAATTAGCCGGGCGTGGTGGCGGGCGCCTGTGATCCCAGCTACTCAGGAGGCTGAGGCAGGAGACTCGCTTGAACCCGGGTGGTGGAGGTTGTAGTGAGCCGAGATCGCACCACTTCACTCCAGCCTGGGCGACAGAGCGAGGCTCCATCTCACACACACACACACACACACACACACACACACACACACACACAAAATTAGTCATCAAATCACAGAAATACAGATGGATGAACCTCAGCGGTCCATAAATTCTCTGGGAGGGGAGTAAAAACCCCTCTGTGCAGAAGTGGGGTTCTAAGTGTGCAGTGGCATGGTCTTGGCTCATTGCAACCTCCGACTCCCAGGTTCAAGCGATTCTACTTCCTCAGTCTCCTGAATAGCTAGGATTACAGGCGCCTGCCACTATGCCCGGCTAATTTTTGTATTTTTAATAAATACGGGGTTTCACCATGTTGGTCAGGCTGGTCTTGAACTCCTGAACTCGTGATCTGCCCGCCTTGGCCTCCCAAAATGCTGGGATTACAGGCGTGAGCCACTGCGCCTGGCCGACACTGGAACTTTTTGAGTCTTTGTTAGAGCATCAGAATCTGAACCCTAACTAAGTTGATCTCTGTTATGAACTGAATTGAGTCCCCCACCAAACATATATGTTGAAACCCTAACCCCCAGTACCTCAGAATGTGACCGTATTTGGAGATAAGGTCTTTAACGAGGTGATTAAGTTAGAATGAAGTTGTTAGGGTGGGTCCTAATCCAACCTGACTGGTGCCCTTATAAGAAGAGGAAGTTTGGACACACAGAGAGACACCAGGGATGTGCACACACAGAAGAAAGACCATGCAAGGACAGAATGAGAAGGCACCCTTCCGCAAGTCAAAAAAGAGAGGCCTCAGAGGAGATGAAACCTGCCAGCAGCTTCATCTTGCAATCCATCCTTCAGAACTGTGAGGGAATAAGTTTCTGTTGATTAAGCCTAGAGTATTTTGCCCGAGCCGACTAGGACAGTCTCTGGACTATCTTCTAAAAGGAGGATGGGTCTGGTTACTCTCAGGGCTTTGTTTTCCTAATTCAGATATGAAAGTTTGAGTCCAGGTGATAAAAATATAGATGAGGTTGAAGGCTGCTACCAGACCTTCTCTACCTTTCCCAAGTGATGATGAATGCGTATCTCATGAATGTCTGTTGCAAGTCTTGGCTGTTATAATGTGGATATTTATCCCTGCCAAAATCTCATGTTGAAATGCGATCCCCAGTGTTGGTGGTGGGGCCTCAGTAAAGGTGTTTGGGCCACAGGGGCGGATCCCTTATGGCTTGACGCTGTCCTCATGGTAGTGAGTTCTCATGAGATCTGATTGTTGTAAAATGTGGCACTTCCTCTCTGACTCTCTCTTTCTCTTGCTCCTGTTCTCACGGGAGACACCTGCTCCTCCTTTGCCTTCGCTATGATTAAAAGCTCCCTGAGGGCTCCTTAGAAGCTGAGCAGATGCTGGCATTACACTTCCACCTGTGGAACCATGAGCCAATCAAACGTCTTCTTCTTTTTTTTTTTTTTTTAAATAAATAACCCAGTCTCAGGTATGTCTTTATAGCAATGGAAGAACAATCTAACACAACGACAAAAAATAGCCACAACACATTGCAACTCCTCTCCTTAAGAGGTGGGGCCTTTTTCCTTCCTGTTGAAGCTGGGCTGGCCATGTGACTTGCTTTGACCAATAGAAGGTGGCAGAAGTGATGGTGGTCAGTTTTGAGCCTGGGCCTGAAGGAGTTTTGCAGCTTTACCTCTTGTTCCTCTTCCATTGCTGAGTGAACAAGCCTGGGATAGCCTGCTGGAGGTTGGGAGGCTATGTGGCCCACTCATCCCCATCACTCCAGCCACCAGCTGGTCCATGGCCAGGCACATGAAGGAGGTCATTCTGGACCAGCCAACACCCAGACACCCCAACAGCTGAACACAACAACTGTCCAGCTAGATAAGTGATTGATGTTTTAAGTTTTGGGGTGGTTTATTGGGGAGCAATGGATAACCAGCATGCAAAGTGTCCTGGTGGGCTCTTCTGAGGTCCAGTGGGTCTGCTTTCTGAGAAGTCAGCCCCTCCCACTGCGGGGCCCCACTCACTCTTGACATGGATCTGCTCCGTCACACTCCTGTGTCCCCTGCTGGTTTCCAGCACGACGGTGTAGCTGCCCGAGTCCTGAGCCGTCATTTTCTAATGACCAGGCTGCCTTGGGTTCCCAGCATCTCCCGGCCAGTGTGAGCAGGTCCTGGGAGGCCCTTCGGGGAGAATATCATGGCTGCTGGCTGGGCGTCATACCCTCAGAACCAAGACGTGGTGAGAATGCCTTCAAGCCTTCCGGGGACAGGAAGATGGACACTGGCTCCTTCGGTCAAGGTGTTCAGCTGTGCCGAGAAGGGCAGCTCTGAGAAGGCAGAGCAGGTGCAGGATGTGAGCAGGGCGCCTTGGAAGAGCAGGGAAGGAGGAGGAATCATTGATTCCTCTCCTTGACCCCTTGAAGCACGCACGTATATTATACTGGATGTTGCAAAAATTGGTTTTCTACCCTTCTCTGCTCCACTCTGCTGCCTGAAAGGCTGACTTCTCTGAGCTGTGTTGTTGGGGTCCCCTTACCTTTTGCTGCTGGTTGGTTTCTGTCAGTGGGCACGTTGGCAGAAGAGGAGAGGGCAGCGGGGGAGTAAGCTTGAAGGGATTAGTCCTACAGTTGGCTGGGTCCTTCTGTTCCAGCCCACAGCTCCTGTTGAGTGTCTCTCTCCATATACTACTAATGTCTTCTGGTTCTGGGATCTGCTTTGCTCCATTTACTCCTACCCAACCCCTCACCCAACATTTTCTCACCACCTTATTTAGAAATAATAAAGGGTTATAAATCAATGTGAATGGTACATTTTTAAAGGGTGACATAATGTTTGTTCTGGACACTGATTAAGTTATAACCTTGCCACTATTTTTTCTTTTTAAAATTAACAAATACAAATTGTGTATATTTATGGTGTACAATGTGATGTTTTAAAATACATATACATTGTGGAATGGCTAAATTGAGCTAATTAACATATGCATTACCTCATGTACTTATTTTTTTTGTGGTGAGAACACATAAAATCTACTTTCTTAGCCAATAATTTACTCATTTAAAGCGTACAATTCAAGAGCTTTTAGTATACTCACAGAATTGGGCAACCATCACCTCAAGCAATTTAAGGACATTTTCGTCACCCCAAAAAGAATCCCTGCGTCTCTTGGGCACCACACCTAATCCTTTCACTCCTGATAGGCATTTTTTTTTTTTTTTTAATATAAGAGTAGGCCGGTGTGTTGGCTCATACCTGTAATCCTGCACTTTGCGGGGGCGGGGGGAGGGGTGGGGCAAGGCTGGAAGATTACTTGAGCCAGAAGTTCAAGACTAGCCTGGGCAACTGAGTGAGGCCCTGTCTCTACAAAAATAAAAAATTCGCTGGGCATGGTGGCACGCGCCTGTAGTCCCAGCTACTCAGGAGGCTGAGGTGGGAAGATTCCTCAAGTCCAGGAGTTTGAGGTTTCAGTGAGCTATGATCCTGCCACTGCACTGCAGCCTGGGTGACAGAGCAAGACCTTTCTCCCTCTCTCTCTCTCTCTTTTTCTCTCTCTCCCTCTCTCTCTCTACATATATGGTATTACTCATATATACTCATATATATATATTTATTTATTTCCATTTTTATAGCAGAAAACTTAGACTCCTAGAAATAAACACTATGTTTTGGAAACTTTTACTGTTTTTTTTTTTCAAGCTTTATGCTTGTTATTGTTTCTATTTCCTTCTTCTTTTTTTTTTTTTTTTGAGATGGAGTCTCGCTCTGTCGCCAGGCTGGAGTGCAGTGGTGCAATCTCGGCTCACTGCAAGCTCCACCTCCCGGGTTCAAGTGATTCCCCTGCCTCAGCCTCCCGAGTAGTTGGGACTACAGGCGTGCGCCACCACGCCCAGCTAATTTTTTTGTATTTTAGTAGAGACAGGGTTTCACCATGTCGGCCAGGATGGTCTCAATCTCCTGACCTTGTGATCCGCCTGCCTGGGCCTCCCAAAGTGCTGGGATTACAGGTGTGAGCCACCACGCCTGGCTGTTTCTATTTCTTTTAAACAAAAAGTAGAATTATGTTCAGCAATTCTTACAAGGCATCACAAAAAACAACGTCTGCTCCTCATTATAGAATAATTTGGAAAGTAAAGTAAAAAGCAGTAAAACAAATCCTTAAGCCTAATACTCAGATAACCACTTTGGGGAGTATATTTTCTTTGAAGGTTTTTCATAATTTTTAAAATTAATTTTTAATCACTCAAGAGCTTCTCCTTAGGAAAAAAAAGTAGACCCATATAAAGCCAAATATCCCTTTGACCTCCACCCCTACGCTTGTCCTGGTCACACTCTCGAGGTACCTGCTGTTATCAAGAGAACATTTTGTATTTACAGAGTTGAAGTTCGTTGCACTGTGGCTTTGTTTTCCTTTGGACAATGTTTTGTAAGCTCCCCCAGCTCACTTTGCAAACATGTTGTAAACCACTTTCTAAAAACTGGTTGCTGTTTTATCCAGTGGCACAGCCAATTTCCAAAGTACCCCACCCTCCCGCCCCCAGGAAGATCCAGCAACACACAGCATGCCGTGTTTCCATCACAAAACTACAGCAGCCTAGGAGAAACTTTCCAATCTCCTTTTCTTTCCTTCCTCCCCTCTGCCCTCCGCCCTGAGAGAGGCCTCAGACAACAGCTCTGACAAAATAGGGAAGAGGCCCACCACGTCCCTTTCCTCCTTCCAGTGTGACACCTGCCTGAGCTGGGGACAGAGCAAAGCTTTGAACTAGGTGGACTTTGAGGTTTTAAAATTACATGGAACTGAACTTTTTTTTTTTTTTTTTAAAGATGGAGTTTCGCTCTTGTTGCTCAGGCTGGAGTGCAATGGCACCATCTCAGCTAACCGCAACCTCCGCCTCCTGGGTTCAAGCAATTCTCCTGCCTCAGCCTCCCAAGTAGCTGGGATTACAGGCATGCACCACCACGCCCAGCTAATTTTCTGTTTTTAGTAGAGACGGGGTTTCTCCATGTTGGTCAGGCTGGTCTTGAATTCCTGACCTCAGATGATCCGCCCGCCTTGGCCTCCCAAAGTGCTGGGATTACAGCACTTTGTAATCCCAGCCACTGCACCCGTGAGCCACTGCACCCGGCTCAGAACTGAACTTTATTTATTTATTTTTGAGACGGAGTCGTGCTCTGTCGCCCAGGCTGGAGTGCAGTGGCACGATCTTGGCTCACTGCAAGCTCCGCCTCCCGGGTTCACGCCATTCTCCTGCCTCAGCCTTCTGAGTAGCTGGGACTACAGGCGCCCGCCACCAGGCCTGGCTAATTTTTTGTATTTTTAGTAGAGACGGGGTTTCACCGTGTTAGCCAGGATGGTCTCGATCTCCTGACCTCGTGATCCGCCTGCCTCGGCCTCCCAAAGTGCTGGGATTACAGGTGTGAGTCACCGCGCCCAACTCAGAAGTGAACTTTTAAGACCTGGATAAGGAAGCAATTCATTCACTATCTGAGAGGCAGATGTGTGTGGTCTCTGGAAAGTGTGGTCTGGGAAGCCAGCCCATCTGGCTTCAAATCTTCAGTCTGCCACTTCCAAGTGTGTGACCTGGAGAGGGCACATGACCTCTCTGAACCTCAGTTTCCCCTTCTGTGAAATAGGGATCGTACAGCTCTGATCTCAAAGAGTTGTGATAAGAGGTAAATGTTACTATAGGAAAGCACTTAGAACGGGCTGACAGGCTGGGCGCAGTGGCTCACGCCTGTAATCCTGGCACTTGGGGAGGCCGAGGCAGGAGGATCGCTTGAGCCCAGGAGTTCGAGACTAGCCTGGGCAACATAGTAAGACCTCATCTCTACTAAAAATAAAAAATTAGCTGGGTTTGGTGGCGCATACCTATGGTCCCAGCTACGCAGGACGCTGAGGCAGGAGAACAGCTTCAGCCCAGCAGGTTGAAGCTGCAATGAGTCATTATCGGGCCACTGCACTGTAGCCTGGACAACAGAGCAAGACCTTGTCTCAAAACAAAACAAAACAAAAAAACAAAAACCCCAAACAGGCTGGTATATAGATCTATTCAGTTACAGTGACCTTCTATTACGGCTGTTATTATTTTATGATTGTTATTATTTATATGTATTATTACTAAGTTGCGGATTGCAGGGGTGAGACAGGGCATTCTGGTGGAAGGGGGCTGGGCTGGGGTCCCAAATTCTGATCCTGCCCCTTGCCAGCCCTGTGATCTTGGGTAGGTGACCTGTTCTCCTCTTTGCGCCTCACTTCCCTTCTTCCTAAAAGAAGCCAATAGGGTCATCTCTTGTGGCGGAGTGGCCTTCAAGAGTTCTCATGAGTTGGGTGCCTGAGCTGCATGGGCCTCAAACTGACAGGGTCAAAGCTCTGAGTGGGGGTGACTTGGACTCGTAAGGAGACACTCTCCTCCTTGTCCCTGGCCCGTGGTGAAGCCGCTGTCTCCAACGCACCTGTTAAAAGCAGCTTCCTCCAGGTAGGGGTGTGGCTGGAGCTGACGTCCAGAGGACCCCTCATCTCGTGTTCTGTCCAGGGACTGTGCAGAGAAGGTCTCCTCATCACACATGGGGTCTTCATAGACCTGTACAGTCGCGTCTGCAGCCCCGGCCTCACCCTGCAGGACCCTGCTCACGATGACCATGCCCTACCCTGGCCACTTCCCCACATGACTTACACCAAGTTGGCTGGGAAGTCACCTCCAGCCGCATCCTTCTCTAGCATCGGGTCAGTGGTGGTGGTGGGTGGGGACCAGGCTGGGACAGGGTTCCTGGGAAGGGGGCTCTGAGGTTTTGCTCTCATTCTCTCACCGTACAATCCCCGCCGGGAGATGGAGGGAGAAGCAGAATCGCCCGCTCCTATCACTCACATCAAAGGCAAGGAATGGCCAAAGGTCAACCTGGTAGGAGGTGACGGGGCTTTGGACTCTGAACCACAGCTTTTCTCCTCTGTAAAATGGAGGCGTTAATAATAGTGCCTGCCCCAGAGTCAGACAGGGCCGTGGACACAAGGTGCTTGGAGTAGTGCCTGGTCACGTAGTAGGCGCTCAACGAATGGCAGTCACTATGAAGTCAATGCTAATTATAATTTGGTGTCTAGGATGTCCTGGAGGCATGTTTAGAATCCCGTTATCAGGAGCTTGCTCAGACTATATCCTGAATTTTAGATTCTAGAAGGATAAGCTACACTAGCTACTTTTTCCTCACCCTTCTCACTCCCCAGGTCCATTCTTTCCTCCTCAAATTAATAATTATATTACTCAAACTAATAGCTGGTGTTTATTGAACACCTACTATATGCCGGACACAGCATTAACCTTGTAACAGGGTTGCCTAATTTGAATCCTCATAGCAACCTCGAGGGGTAGATATGAGCATCCCCATTTTCTCGTGGTGCACAGGGGCTAAGTAACTCACCTACCATCACACAACCGTTCACAGGGGCTTTCTGCCAGTTTTTGGAGGCACCAGCTCAGGGGCTTTGCATGAGCCGTTCCCTCTCCTTAGAACCTTACTCATGTAATCTCAAAGCTGACTGTATCTTATTATTTTGGCTTAATTCACACACATCACTCTATCAAAAAGGCCTTTCTTAATGCCTGCTGCAACTCAGTTCCCCACCTCTTTGCTAGCAAGCCACACTGTTTTGTTTTCTTTACATCATTTACCGCTATTTTAGATGATTTATTTATTTGTCCACTTGTATTATCTGTCTCTCCCTCCTTAGTCCCACCTCTCCGACTTGAATATCAGATCCAGGAGGGCAGGGATGTTGTCTGGCTTGTGGCTATGTCCCTAGTGACTAGAACAGTGCCTTGCATATAACAGGTGCTCAATACATGTTTTTGTTTTTGAGACGGGGTCTCACTCTGTCAGCCAGGCTGGAGTGCAGTGGCACGGTCATAGCTCACTGCAGCTTCAACCTTTTGGATTCAAGCAATAATCCTGCCTCAGTCTCCTGAGTAGCTGGGACTACAGTCTCACACTACCATTCCCAGCCAATTAAATTTTTTTTCTTTTTGTAGAAATAGAGTTTCACTATATTACCCAGGCTGGTCTCAAACTTCTGGGCTCAAGTGATCCTCCTGCCTCAGCCTCCCAGAGTGCTGGGATTACAGGCATGAACCACCTAGCCAGCCTACATGTTTTCTTTTTAGTGAATAAATGAATGAAGAGCAAGTGAGTGAAATGGGAGTGTTCAGACTTGAACTCAGATCTTTCTGACTTAGAAGCTCATGCTTTTCCCTCCCAGAGAGGTTCAGGTTCCACCCAGGGGCTAAGGTTCACCCATAAGTCTCTAATAATAGTCATTATCAGGTGACACAGTTATTTCTTTATTAGCATTTGCTAAAGTGCCTTTTTTATAGTTGGTCTGAAGGCCTCTGCTGGAGTGATTAGCTAGGTCAGGAGACCACTGTAGGAAAAAGTAAATATTTACGATGCAGTTAATAACCATTATGTTGTAAGGTTTCTGGGGTTTCTACCCAGCCAGTACTCTCTTGTATCCAGGTAACAGCACCTGGAGTTCTCTTTTGGAAACCAGCCTCCTCATGGCTCCAGGGAGGTGAGGGGCCCAGGACTGGCCAATCAGAGCACTTCATCCCCTGACAACAGTGATTTTTGGAGACCTGGGCGTGGCACTCAGAACAGGCCAAGGAGAAGCAATCTCTTACGGATTTTATTGGAACTCTGGGGAATAAAGCAATTTTTCTTTTTTCTGTTTTTAAATTTTTATTTATTTATTTAAAGACAGAGTCTTGCTGTGTTGCTCAAGCTGGAGTGCAGTGGTGTGATCTCTGCTCGCTGCAACTTCCACCTCTGGGGTTTAAGAGATTCTCATGCCTCAGCCTCCGGATTAGCTGGGATTACAGGCATGTGCCACCATGCCCAGCTAATTTTTTCATATTTTTAGTAGAGACAGTCTTTCACTATGTTGCCCAGGCTGGTCTTGAACTCCTGGCCTCCAGTGACCCACCTGCCTCGGCCTCCCAAAGTGGTGGGATTATAGGCGTGAGACACCGCACCCAGCCTAAAAGCATTTTTTCTTGCTTCCGGGTTTGCTGAGCTGAAGAGATCTCAGTGTGCAGCTGCTGGGGGCCATCTTTCTATCATGAGTAGAGAGATTGCCTAAAAACGAGGCCAACACATGTGAAAGCATAGTCAATGCACAGAAAGAGAGATTTCTAATGGCATCATTTAAACACCTAGATTCAGCTGTGCCTGATGTCCATACTGATCCTTCAGCTTGTGTGCTATGCTGGTCTGTGTATTCTCATTGTTTCCCCTGAAGTCAGTTTGTTTTGGGATTCAGTTACTTTAAATCCCAAAAGAACTTTGATTGAGGTCGGGCACGGTGGCTCACACCTGTAATCCCAGCACTTTGGGAGGCCGAGGCAGGCGGATCACTTGAGGTCAGGAGTTCTGGACCAGACTGACCAACATGGAGAAACCCTGTCTCTACTAAAAATAGAAAATTAGCTGGGCGTGGTGGTGCATGCCAGCTACTCGGGAGGCTGAGGCAGGAGAACCTCTTGAACCCAGGAGGCAGAGGTTGTGCTGAGCCAAGATCACGCCATTGCACTCCAGCCTGGGAAACAGGAGTGAAACTCGGTCTCAAAAAAAAAAAAAGAAAAGAAAGAACTTTAATGGAAAGGAAAGATGAAAAACAGAGCTTTGAAAGGATCTGACTCTCAATCTAGCTGAGACTCAGGCTGGATAAGGGAAGACTCTGGGGAAGAGACGGTGAAGCGGACCCCTGCAGGACGAGGAGAACTTAGCAGGTCACTGTTTCTGAGGACTGCAGAACTCCATGTAAACCTCTGCATTAAGAGATGACCAAGGCCAGGTGTGGTGGCTCATGCCTGTAATCCCAGCACTTAGGGAGGCTGAGGTGGGAGGATTGCTTGAGGCCAGGTGTTTGAGACCAGCCTGGGAAACATAATGAGACCCCCATTTCTACAAAAAAATAAAAAAATTAGCTGGGCATGGTGGCATGCATGTGCCTGTAGTCTTAGCTACTTGGGAGGCTGAGGTGGGAGAATTGCTTGCGCTCAGGAGTTCGAGGCTGCAGTGAATTATTATTGAGCCACTGTACTCCAGCCTGGGCAGCAGAGCAAGGCTCTGTCTCAAAAAAAAAAAAAAAAAAAAAAAAAGAGAAAAAGAAAAGAAAGAAAGAGATGATCAAAGTTTAGCAGGGCATCTAGCAGCATAAGGTCGTGTTCTTAGGATGACTCCAGCCCCCAGTTAAAATACCACCCGAGAAAGCTCTACCTTGCCAGGAGAATTTACTGTCTGACCTAGCCAATATCTGGCAATATACCCCTAATTTCCCTTTTCAGAGCATTTACTAAGAAGGGCCTACAATTATGACTCCTTCCTTTTTCAGACATGGGTGTATATGTATCTATATCCTACAACTCAGGGGTGTTTCTAGAGGATCTGAAAGCCATTCCTTTGAAATAGAATTGTCAGAAGGAGAGGACCTCCATCTCCCAGTCTCTGCGGGAGGATAGAATTCTAACTATGACAATTGCCAGCTAGCAGACACAGCTGGCTGAATCCCATTGACACTGTACAATTTTTTTTTTTTAGATGGTGTCTTGCTCTGTTGCCCAAGCTGGAGTGCAGTGGCATGATCTCGGCTCATTGCAACCTCTGCCTTCCGGGTTCAAGCGATTCTCCTTCCTCAGCCTCCTGAGTAGTTGGGATTACAGGTGCACACCACCACGCCCAGCTAGTTTTTGTGTTTTTAGTAGACACGGGATTTCGCCATGTTGGCCAGGCTGGTCTCGAACTTCTAACCTCAGGTGATTCACCTGCCTTGGCCTCTGAAAGTGCTGGGATTACAGGCATGAGCCAGCCAACTTTTTATGATTTTTACTTGCAGTGCCCTTCTCTCGCCATCCCTCATTCTGCCTTCTAGACACCCAGCCACCTCTGCAGGAATCTGAACGGAGCTCAGCTCTTTCCCCTACTGCCAGTGGTTACTGAATAAGATCCTTTTCACAGCTTTAACTGATGTCCCGCTTTGTTTATTGTGAACATTTCTCAAACCTCAGTGTTTCTCATACCACATTCGTAATTCTTTCCATATGCACACATCACCTACACTTTTCTTTTTCTTTTTTTTTGAGACAGGGTTTCCTTCTGTAGCCCAGGCTGGAGTGCGGTGGTGTGACCACAGCTCACTGCAGCCTTGACCTCTTGGCTCAAGTGATCTTCCTGCCTCATCCCCCCGAGTAGCTAGGACTACAGCACACACCACCATGACCGACTAATTAAAAAAATTTTTTTGTAGAGTTGGGATCTTCCTATGTTGCCCAGGCTGGTCTCAAACTCCTGGGCACAAGTGATCCTCCTGCTTTGGCTTCCCAAAGTGCCGGGATTACAGGCCTGAGCCTCTGCACTTGGCTACCCTTTTTTTTTTCTTTTGAGACAGAGTCTCGCTCTATCACCCAGGCTGGAGTGCAATGGTGTGATCTCAACTCATTGCAACCTCTGCCTCCTGGGTTCCAGCGATTCTCCTGCCTCAGCCTCCCAAGTAGCTGGGATGACAGTCGCCCACAACCATGTCCAGCTAATTTTTGTATTTTTAGTAGAGACAGTGTTTCAGCATGTTGGCCAGGCCGGTCTTGAACTCCTGATCTCAAGTGATCCACCTGCCTCGGCCTCCCGAAGTGCTGGGATTACAGGCGTGAGCCACTGTGCCTGGCCTCCGGCTACACTTTTCTTTACTCAACATTTTTCTTTAAAATGACTCATCTAAAATAAGTTCACTCATTTTTTTAAACAATAACACCCACGAAATTATATATGAATATGCTAATTATATTTAAATGTAGATGACAGTAACAAAATGAAAATAAAACATATCTGTCCACATACCATGTGGAATTTTTTTGTGTGTCACTGAAAGAGCAGGAGCCCATATGGAGGAAATAGTCATGACAATTGCTAGTATTTATGGAGAACTTGGCTCTGAGCCCAGTCCTACTCTTTGCATAGATTAGCATTACATATATTCGTTTATGTAACTTCACACTTTACATCGTTTAGCTCTTTTATCCTTTCAACAACGCTGTGAGGCAGGTGCTGCCGTTCTCCTATTGCAGAAAAGGAAACTGAGGCTCAGAGAGGTTAAGTGACTTATCCAGGCCACGAAGCTGCTGAATAACTGGGCAGAACCAGGTATCAGGCTCTGGAGGCTGTGTTCTTAAGTGCAACAACCTTTTAAAGTCATTTGGGTCTCCTAACATCCCTAGCTGGTAGAAATTGCTTCCATTTTTTTACATGAGGAAACAGAGATTCATGGAGGTTAAATAAATTGTCCAAGTTCACGCTCAAGTAAGTGGCAAAATCAGGATTTGGACTTAGGGATTTGGACCTGGGATCCTGAGTTTGGCTCTGTGATAGGTGAAGAGAGGTCGGTGTTGGGTGAGAGTGTGGGGCTGTGGGGAAGTGCATTCCAGGTTGAAGGAACAAACAGGTTGAACTTGCCCTTCCATCCTGGAACCACTTTGAATCTGTTAGGAATAACGTTTAAAATTTTAAGGAAATTGAACACTTGAACAAAGGATTTTTAGCAAAGCAATTTTATTTTTGTGCAGAGGGGTGGGTGTCTCTTTGGCCAGTTGCCATGAGAGCATACCTGAGCAAAGGGGCACGAGAGTCTATTTTTCATGCAAGTCTTGCTCTTTTACCCTTTCCCCATTGGCTGGGGTTGGGTCGTACAATTTAAACTAATTTTGGTTGGCTAAACGTTTGGTTTTTTTTTAGATAAGGTGGGCACGTAAAAGAAAGTGGAGAGGAAAGGGGAAGGGGTGTTTGTAATGAGTTAGAAAGTTAGTTTTTTTTTTAAATAAGGAAAGGAATGTGAGTTGGTATTGATAATGCTTGGTACTGTGGCATGTCTGGGCATTTAACAAAGGCAAAAAATAAAAGGGGGTTACTATAAATTAAAAAATAAAAGATTGATTGGGTTATTTAAAAAAAAAAAAACCTCATCATATTCCACAAATCCATGTGCCCAGCTTCAAACAGACCTTGAGCAATCTCTGGAAATCTGTTTATTTCTCGTTGGTCAGTTCCTGGTTCCAATTTTCTCAGCAGCCATTCCAGCCTTCACTGCCATATACAAAGCCTAGATCACTCATAATTATACCCAAGAACCAGCTCAGCTTCCTCTGGTTAAATTTCACTCACTGGGTCTGAACACATTTTATTTCCTGCCCCCACCCATAAACTTGTGAGCCAGTCTCACTTCCTTCCTCCCATTCTCAGACAATGAATTTACTGACATTCAAGGTCAAGACCTGTTCTCCCGGCTCCTTGAGTCCCTGTACCATCAGTCATCATTTCTCCTGCCCTGTGTGAGGGAATCCTACATTTCTCACATCTCTATGAGAAGGACATGTCACCGACCTGAACTGGGTCTGTTTGCCTGCACACAATGGAAAGCCACACACCAAAGCCTTGGGAATTTTTTTTTTTTTTTTTTTTTTTTTGATGGAGTCTCACTCTGTCGCCCAGGCTGGAGTGCAATGGCGCGATCTCGGCTCACTGAAAGCTCCGCCTCCCGGGTTCACGCCATTCTCCTGCCTCAGCCTCCCAAGTAGCTGGGACTACAGGTGCCCGCCACCACGCCCAGGTAATTTTTTGTATTTGTAGTAGAGATGGTGTTTCACCGTGTTAGCCAGGATGGTGTCGATCTCCTGACCTCGTGATCTGCTCACCTCAGCCTCCCAAAGTGCTGGGATTACAGGCGTGAGCCACCGCGCCCAGCCAACCTTGGGATTTTGTAGACAGAAAAGTGTATTGCAAGGCTGTCAAGCAAGGAGATAGGAGTCAGGCTCAAATATATCTCCCTGAGCTAGGGGTTGGGACAGGTTTTATAGTCCCAAGGGTAATGAGGCATGATCTGATTGGATCTTGCCTTATTGTGAACATTTCCCAAACCTCAGTGTTTCTCGTACTACATTTGTAATTATTTGCAGGGAGGCATGATCTGATTGGATCTTGTAATGAGGTGATGTGGGGAGGCATGATTTGATTGGACCGTGCCCTGGGGTGATGCCAGGGCTCAATGTGATTGGATCCTGGATCCCGCCATGCAGTGTCCACTTCTTAATTCAATCCTCACTTCCCAGTCTGAGTACTTGGGTTTCAGTCAAGGTTGCACGTTTGGTTCACCTGGGCATGCTTAGGTTATGGACCTTCAACCTGGGAGTCCGTGGCAACTGAAAAACAACTTACAGCTTTGTTACATAAAAGTTGAATCAGATTGGTCTGGTGTGGTTACAAATGCCCCTATATTTCCCAGTCGAAGGCATCCCCTGCCCCTCCTAGAGGTTTTGGAAATCTCTTCCTACAATTTGATTTTGTGTGTGTGTGTGGAGATGGGATCTCATTTTGTTGCTCAGGCTGGTTTTGAACTCAGGGCCTCAAGTAATCCTCCCACCTCAGCCTCCCAAAGCACCGGGATTATAGGCATGAGCCACTGTGCCCAGCCCATCTTCCTACAGTTTGGTTGTCACAATGCCTGAGGATGAAACAGTAGTGACATTTATTGGGCAAAACCTCCTGCAATAATAGGTGGGACTGTCCCATACAACAGAAACTTGTCTCAGCTAAAATATTAATACTGCCCCAGTTAGAAATCTGAAGTTGGAATAAAACTTTTGGCTTTTGTCCCCTGCTATGAGTTTGATGAGTCTGGGAGAAGAAAATGAGCTTACTTGGCTCAGATCCTCTCCTCCCATTTTTGGATTTACCTGTCTCCAGAACGACTACAGTTTGGTCTGCTTCCTCCTACTATGTGATAATGTACCTGCCTTAGCAGAGGAAGCAACTATTGGGGTTGTAAATATATATGGCAGAGAAGCTAGTGGTGCCTCCCCAATCTACGAGTCCTTTCATAGTTAGAGGAGTTTAAGTTTGGCCAATGGTTGCCTGGAATAAAGACTAAATTTCCCAGCCTTCCTTGCAGCAGCTGTAGTCACGTGAGCATGTTCTGGTGAATGGTATGTGAACAGAAGAGTTGTGTGCCATTTCTGGGTCATGCCCTTCAATAAAGTTCTCCCTTTCTTGTTTTCCCTACCTTCAGGTGGAAGTGGGGACATGCTGGGGGATCTGGGAACAAGTGTGCGACACGCTAGGGGCCCTGGGAACAAGCGTGTCGATGAAAACCCTCTAAAATATATACATTTTTTGAGACAGAGTCTTGCTCTGTCACCCAGGCTGGACTGTAGTGGCACAATCTTGGATCACTGCAACCTCCGCCTCCTAGGTTCAAGCAATTCTCGTGCCTCAGCTTCCCGAGTAGCTGGGATTGCAGGGGTGTACCACAACGCCCAGCTAAGTTTTTTGTATTTTTAGTAGAGACAGGGTTTCACCATGTTGGCCAGTCTGGTCTCGAACTCCTGACCTCAGGTGATCTGCCCACCTTGGCCTCCCAAAGTGCTGGGATTACAGGCATGAGCCACTGTGCCTGGCCCTGTAAAATATTTTAAGAGATTTATTCTGAGCTAAATATGAGTGACCATAGCCCATGACACAGCCCTCAGGTGACCCTGAAAACATATGGCCAAGATGTTTGGGGTGTAGCTTTGTTTTATACATTTTAGGGAGACACGAGACATCAATCAAAACATTTAAGATATACATCGGTTCAGTCCAGAAAGGTGGGATAACTGAAAGTGGTGGGGGAGGGGCTTCCATATAGGTCGATTGAAAAATTTTTCTATTGGCAATTGGTTGAAAGAGTTATTATCAATAGAAAGGACTGTCTGAGTTATGATAAGAGGTTGTGGAGACCAGAGTTTTATGATGCAAATGAAGCCTCCAGGTAGCAGCCTTCAGAGAGAATGGATTGTAAATGTTTCTTATCAGACTTCAGGTCTGTGTCGATGTTAAATGCTGGTCTGTTTTTCCTGAACTCCAAAAGGGATGCGGCCATAATGAAGCACTCATACAGGAGCTAGAAAGAAATTGTTTAGGCAGATAGTAAGGGCAACAGAGTCTGTGGTGGAATTTCCCTTTTAACAAAAAGCCGCCCCAAAGTCACGTCTTTTATACAAAGAGCATCCTGAAAAACTGAGCTGTAAACATAGATAACCAAAGTAGTGGCTCGCTTGGGTGAATGCCGGCAGCTGTGCCAATAGAATAGGGCTACCTGGAGGCCAGGTATGTTCAACATGGAGGCTTTATCCTCCCTTTTCTTTGTCACCACATGTACAGTAAAAAAAAAGCAGGCAACATGGCACAGGCCAGGTAGACAGCCCATCTGCATAATAAAAGATTGGGGTGGGGTGGCCAGCTTTTTCAGGAGCTATGCAAAAGGCACACCTAACCCTAACCAGCTCTTTGCATGCTATACAAATGGCACACCTGGTTCGACCAATATTTTGTGCCCTATGTAAATCAGACACTGCCTTTTCAAACTCATCTATAAAACCTCCTGCACTTCACCATGGACCGGAAAACCCTCTTGGGACCCCCCTCTCTCTGCAGAAGACAGCAAAATTTTCTCTTTATTTCACCTATTAAACCTCTGCTCCTAACCTCACTCCTTGTGGGTCCACATCCTTGATTTCATTGGCTTGAGGCAACGAATCTCGGGTATTACCCAAGACGAACAACCCTGCTTCAGCACATCCAACCCCAACCCCCATCCCACCCGTCATGGGCTGAACCAGTCTTTCAGGTTAAATTTGGAGTGGCCTGGCCAAGGAGGGAGTCCGTTCAGATGGTTTAGGTGTGTGGTAGGTGGCGGCTTTGAGTTGTATTTTTGGTTTACAAGCTCAGCATCATAGGGATAGCAGAGAACAAGATGGAAGAGCACAGACTCATGATACCCTCACAAAGCAGAACTGCATACCAGCTAGGACTGTTACAGGAGAGAGAAATTCATTTCTATGGAATTTAAGCCATTGCTATTTTTAATCTATCACCAGCATCCAAACTTACATCCTATGTTGATATTTAGATTGGAGGCGACAGGAAGCAAAGGAGGTGATGACAAACCCATTGGGCTACACAGCTTGGCCACATTCCCTGATATTGCGTATTGCTTAGGAAATACTGATGACATGCTGATCTGTCTCTCTCTCTCAGTTGGTTCTGACTTCTGGCCAGGACTAAGGATGTCATTTGTTGATGAAAAAAGCTAAACTCTAAAATATTTGAAAATATTTATTCTTAGCCAAATGTGAGGACCATGACCTATGACACAGCTTCAGGAAATCCTGAGAATGTGTGCCCCAGATGGTTGGATTACAGCTTGATTTTGTACATTTTAGGGGGACAGAAGTTACAGGCAGACATCAGTCAGTACACGTAAGGTATACGCTGATTCAGCCCAGAAAGGTGGGACAACTTGAAGTGGGGCAGAGGGGTTACAGGTCATAAATGGATTCAAAGATTTTCTGATTGGCAATTGGTTGAAAGAGTTAAGTTATCATCTCAAGACCTGGAATCAATAGAAAGGAATGTCTGGGATAAGATAAGTTGTTGTGGAGACTAAGGTTCTTTTTTTTTTTTTTTTTTTTTTTGAGACAGAGTCTTGCTCTGTTGCCCAGGCTGGAGTGCAGTGGCGTGATTGCGATCTCGGCTCACTGCAACCTCTGCCTCCCAGGTTCAAGCAATTCTCCTGCCTCAGCCTCTTGAGTAGCTGGGATTACAGGCACCCGCCACCAATGTCTGGCTAATTTTTTATATTTTTAGTAGAGATGGGGTTTTGCCATTTTGGCCAGGCTGGTCTCGAACTCCTGACCTCAAGTGATCTGCCTGCCTTGGCCTCCAAAAGTGTTGGGATTACAAACGTAAGCCACCACACCCGTTTAGATTTTTTTTGAGATACCACTGAAACAGTGTCATTGCCTGGGGTAAATACCCGAGATTCGCTGTCTCACAGCCACAGAAAACTAGGACATGGACCACCAGAGTAAGATTAAGAGGGGAAGTTTAATAGGTGAAAGAAAGAGAAGAGCTCTCTGCACAGAGAGGGGTTCTGGAGAAAATAGGTTGCCACTTTGGCAGTGAAATGCAGAAGGTTTTATAGATGAGATTGAGGAGGCTGTGTCTGATTTACATAGGACACGAAAGATTGGTCGGACCAGGTGTGCCATTTGCATAGCACATGATGAACTGGTTAGGACTAAGTGTGCCGTTTGCATAGCGCGCAAAGAAGCTGGCTGCCCCACCCAGCTTCATTATGCAGATGGGTTGTCTACCTGGCCAGTGCCATGTTGCCTGCTTTTTTTTTTTTAACCGCACATGTGGTAACAAACAAAAGGGAAGATGGAGCCTCCAGGTTGAACATACCTGGCTTCCAGGTAGCCCTTTTCTATTGGCACAGCTGCCAGCATTCACCCATGCAAGCTTCCAGCTTGCTTATCTATGTCTGCAGCTCAATTTTTCAGGCTGCTCTTTGTTTAGAAAAGAAATGATTTTGGGGCTGCTTTTTGTTAAAGAGGAATTCCACCAAGGACTCTGTTGCTCTTACTATCTGCCTAAATAATTTCTTTCTATCTTCTGTATCATCACCAGTGTGTTTTGAGAGGCTCTTGCCTGTGTGAATTCAGCAAGCCCTGCAGAGGTCTGGAGCCGACAATTCCAGTTAGCAGCAACAGCAGCAGCTTTTTGATTCCCCACCTGCCTGTGATGGTGGAGACAGCAGCTCCTCTGATGGGTCACTTTCGCAGCTTCAGATCATCGTGGGGTACTAATGGAGTCAGAGTCCTTTCTCTTTTCCATCATAGAACAGTCAGATGTCTTTCCCAGGGATGGATCTGTCCCCTTCGCCTTCTGAGAAATTGAATTAGGCCAGGTGCAGGGGCTCACACCTGTAATCCTAGTGCTTTGGGAGGCCAAGGTGGGAGGATTGCTTGAGGCCAGGAGTTCCTGACCAGCCTGGGCAACATAGTGAGACTCCATCTATTTTTTTAAAAAGTTAGCTAGGCAGTTAGCTAGTGCCTGTAGTTCCAGCTACCAGGAGGCTGAGGTGGGAGGATTGCTTTAGCCCATGAGTTCCGGGCTGCCGTGAGTTACGGTTCCTGTCACTGCACTCCAGTCCCAGCCATTCCCAGGAGACAGAGTGAGACCCTGTCTTTAAAAAAATAAAAAAAGTAAAAAACAACAAAAAAAAGAATTTAAGTTAATTCAATCTTCAATCAAATCAGAAGCACATGAATGTCCTAACACCAGACTGACCCCTGAAATATCTTAGGAAACACAAGTGCAATAGTATTCCAAATGAAAGCAATTTTCTCATCTTGCTGTTTTCAGCCACCATCCATATATCAGCATGAAGGAAAATATTCATTTAAATGAGACAAGACTGTTACATTATCTATATGTTTTAATAAAAATTTCTAGCAGAGTCCTGGGTGGTCTTTTTAGCTCTATGAGGGTAGGGGAAGGGAGAATGGCCAATGAAAACTCATAATTCTTTGTACTTTTTAGGAAAAAGGAGTGTCATTACCAGGAATAACAAATTAGAAATGAAGACAATCAGCCCAGCTTTGGGAAGTTAGAGGTGGCTCTTGCAGGATGCAGCAAGAGCAGTCTCTGAAGTCTGGGTGTCTTATAGGACTCCTTTGTGAGAACCACATTTACAAGGAAGGTTTTATGAGGGAAAGAGTGTCTGCTTTTCTATAGTTGCAGAAGAGAGAATGATTTTCTCCTTTTTATGCTGCTGAGATTTTTATTTCCAGGAGTTACAACAGCCCAGAGTTTCAAGGCAAAATCTTGCAATCACATTTTTTGGTATTGAGAGGAGAACAAAGCAGCAGCTCTAATACGGTAAAAATGTGACAACATGGGAAAGAAATAGGAGTAACAGGATTACTAATAAATAGAAGATGATGCATGCAGCGTTTTGCATCCCCAAGATGAATAAACAAAGTAGGAAAGAAAAGTGCCAACTTCGGTTGTGCTGTGCTAGGACGCCTGAGAATCTGGGCCAGTCATTTGGACTCAAGAATCTGTCACTTTCAGCTGTATCTCATTCAAAGGTTAATGGTGACATTAGGTTTTCCCATATCTTGGAATAATATCCACATCTGCCCAGTTGTCTCTTGAAGAGTGGCATTTGGAAAATTCTTGACTTCTTGCAAAGCTGAGACGTCTACAATGGTGACAACTTGCAGTCTTTAAGTTTTAATTGAGTTTCCCCTCTGCCTCTTGGTGTCGACCCCACATTTACAAACATTTTCAGGGACATTCCTCCTTGCCTCCTGTGTTCCTGTTCCTCATCCCATCCTATGCTTAACTGAGCCGGGGCTGTGTTTAGACGAGAAAACCAGCCCCTCAAACATGACTTTGGATGCTTTTGGCCATACAAAGTGGATAACTCAATTCAAAGTGGTTTAAAACACTGACGTGTATTATCTTATGTAGCAGGGATTCCAATGAAAGGGCAGTTCCTCGGTTGGTTAATACAATGGCTCAGTAATAACACCAAAGATCCAGGTTCTTCATCTTCCTACCCCAGCCTCAACAGGTTGTCCTCTCATGGTGACTTCCCTCCCAGTCCAAGATGGTGGCCAGCCGCATCCAGAGACACAAAAGGGGAATTGCTGCTCCTAGTTCTCTTCAAGATCCAATAAAATCTCTCCCATCAGCCCCCAGCAGACTTCTTCTCACTAGGCATTGGCCAGAACAAGGTCCCATGCCCATTCTTCTTTCCCTTTTCTCCAACTGTCCAAAGAATACCCAACGGTTTCTGCTCCCAACTCCCAATTCTCACTCATCTAGAGAGCTGGTCAGGACCCTAACAGGTATGCCTGAGAGAATAGTTATGTGCTACCTGGGCCAGGTTGCCCTCTGCTCTTCTCCTAGACTGTCCGCCATTTGCCACCAAATTCTTCCTGTTGCTTGTCTACAATGACCCTGTCATTTGGGCTGTAACAAGAGTAATCTATCTTGTGTGAATGATATATAGAAGCTATTGTTATTGTTCTATCTCATCCTGCTCCACCTTGCCCTGCCCTTCTCTGGAAGTGGATACAGCGGGGGATACCCCACTCAATCTAGTTCTTACATCCCCTTCTCATCCCAGGTGGCTGTGGACCAGAATCAGGACCAGTGCCTTGCCCACCTTGGTGGGAGCCATTTATTGTGCTCTGTGTGAATGGTGTCCCCTGGTCGTGGAGGTGTGTATTTTGGGTGAGGACAATGGTAAGATAAGGGCTCGTCTAGATGGGGGTGCAAGACTGGATCCTTCATCTCTGGGTTGGGGAGGTGAAGAAGATCGGAACTCACCCCATTTACAGTTCCTGAAGATCACCAGGTAAACACTCCCTCTGGCTGCCACACAGGAAGAGTGGATTGTTGATTCACATTGGCTCCCAGCTGGGCAGGGCAGGGACCTTGTCCTGGCTGGGGCTAGGATTCTTATCAAGAGTTTCTTCTGGCTGGGCTCCAAAAGGCGATTAATGGCTGCTTGGCCTTGGGCCTGTTCCCCAGGTTGCCATCTGCTCCAGGTTAGTGACATCCACTGGCCCACTGTGGATAGTTTTTGGTGGAATCAGTTCTCCAAATGTCTGTCAGGAAACTTTTCAGTTTAGAGACCCTCAGGGGCTGAAGGTTTAGGATGCCCACCATCTCTACAGAAGGAAGAAGGTTTTGGAAGAGACGCTTCTGATGTCCACATCCTCTATGTCCTTGGTAATACATACCCTGATTTTTAAATGGATGCATGGGAGTCCAGCAAAAAATATATTCTCTAGGTTCCCTGGAGCTAAGTGTGGCCATGTGGCTGACTTTTGGCCAATAGATAGAAGTAGAAGTGTTATATGAGGCTACTAGGAGCTGGCCTTAAAGATAGCTTTTGTTCCTAATCCTTTCACTACTGAACAGAATGTGGATATGATGGCTGGAGCTCTGGCAGCCATCTTGGACCCCAAGTTATGTACTGAAGATGACAGGCCAGTAATAATTGAAGGAGGCTGTGTCCCCAGGATTATGAAACTGCCACATTTGCCCTGAACTCTCTACCTCCAGACTCCATTTATGTCAAAGAGAAACTTCCATCTTGTTGAGGCCATTTGATTTTGGGGTTTTCTGTTACTTGCAGCTGAAGCTAGTCTTGACAAAATGCTCTCTCTGGGAGGAGGAATGCAGGATGCATCCTGTCAGGGCAGGTGTAGCTCTTAAGGTTCTTTTGGGTCTATATGGCAGGAGTCCAACTTGAGGCAGTTTACACACAAAGGGAAATTTGTTATAAATGAGTTCCAAGACAGGAGAGCACAGAGACACCCAGAACCAGAGGTTCCAATCCCCTCAGGGACCTCTCTCTCTCATTGTCCCTCTCTCTCTCAAAGTGCCTCCCAAAGTGCTGGGATTACAGGCATGAGCCACCACACCCAACCTCTATTTTTAATTTTTTGAGGAGCCACCATACTGTCTTCTACAACAGCCATACTAGGTTGCGTTCCCACCAACAGCACACAAGGTTTCCTTGTTTGCTGCTCCACATCCTTGCCAATCCTTGTTATTTTCGTTTTTGTGATGGTAGCCATTCTAATAGCTGCGAGGCAATATCTCATTGTAGTTTAGATGTGTCTTCCGCTAATGATTAGGGATAGTTGAGTATCTTTTCATGTACTTATTGGCCATTTATTATGTTCTTTGGAGAAATGTCTATTCAAGTTCTTTTTGCCCATTAAAAAAATTGGATTTTTTTTTAAAATAGTTGTATTCTGGAAGTTTTCTATATATTCTGGATATCAATCTCTTATCAGAAATATGATGTGCAGCTGGGCATGGTGACCCACATCTGTAATCCCAGCACTTTGTGGGGCTGAGTTGGGAGAATTTCTTGAGCCCAGGAGTTTGAGACCAGCCTAAGCAACGTAGTGAGAACTCATCTTCACAAAAATCTAAAAAATTAGCCAGGCATGGGGCAGCACGCACCTGTGGTCCCAGCTACTCGGGAGGCTGAGGTGGGAGGATTGTTTGAGCCCAGGAGTTTAAGGCTGTAGTGAGCTGTGATTGCACCACTGCCCCCCAGCCTGGGTGACAGAGCAAGACCCTTTCTCAAAAGAAAAAGAAAGAAGGAAAGAAGTAAAGAAAGAAAGAAAGAGAGAGATAGATAGGAAGAAAAAGAAAGAGAAAGAAGAAAGAAAAAGAGAGAGAGAGAAAGGAAGAAAGAAAGAGAGAAAGAACGAAAGAAAGAAAGAAAAAAAATATGATTTGCAGATATTTTCTACAGGCGCACACCTGGCAGGCTGAGGTGGGAGGATCACCTGAGTCTGGGAGGTTGAAGCTGCTTGAGCCAATACTGTGATCCTGCCACTACACTCCGGCCTGGGTGACAGAGTGAGACACTATCTCAAAAACAGGCAAACAAACAAACAGCCTAAATCATATCTCGCCCCTTCTCTGCTCAAAGGCTCCAGTCTCAGGCTGAGTCAAAGCCAAAGTCCACAGTGACTGTCTAATCCACACCCGCCCCCTCCCGCCCTGCAGTTCTCCGCCCTCTCTTTTTACCCTCTCCCCTCACTCACTTTCCTCCAGCCACACCCTCTATCCCTGTTCCTCACACAGCCAGGCTACCCTCCAGCTCCAAGTGGACCTCTGCCCTGGGACGCCCTCCCGTCTAGATGGTCCTCTCCCGGATCTGCCCTGGCTTCTTCCCTCACCTCCTCCAGGTCTGCTCAAGCATCTCCTCCTCCAACCTCCTAGCATTGTAACATTTCTCATCTCCCTTCCCCGTTCCTGCCTTCTCCATGGCATTGACCATCCTCAGACAGACCCTGTAATTTACCCATTTGCCTTGTTCATTGGCTGTCTCCCAGCTGGACGTCAGTTCCTCAAGGGCAGGGACTTGGTCCTGCACCCTGCCACATCTCCAGCACCCAGCACAGTGCCTGGCTTCATTAATTCATTAATTCTTTCATTCAACATTCAACTATGAAGGCTCAGCTGAGTTCCAACTGGCAGGAGTGTTCGTTAATTTTTTTTTTTTTTTTTTGAGGCATAGTCTTGCTCTGTCACCCAGGTTGGAGTGCAGTGGAGCAATCACTTCATTGTAACCTCAAACTCCTGGGCTCAAGAGATACTCCTACCTCAGCCTCCCAAGACCACAGGTGTGCGCCACCACACTTAGCCTATTTTAAAAGAATTTTTGAGGTGGGGCACAGTGGCTCACGCTTGTTATCCCAGGACTTTGGGAGGCTGAGGCAGGCAGATCACTTGAAGCTGGGAGGTCGAGACCAGCCTGGCCAAAATGGTGAAACACTGTCTCTACTAAAAATACAAAAATTAGCCAGGCTTGGTGACATGTGCCTGTAATCCCAGCTACTCAGAGGCGAGGCAGGAGAATCTCTTGAACCTGGGAGGTGGAGGTTGCAGTGAGCAGAGATCATGCCAGTACACTCCAGCTTGGGTGACAGAACAAGACACCATCTTGTTTTGTTGTTCAGGCTGGTCCGGAAGTCTTGGCCTGAAGCAATCCTCCTGCCTCAGCCTCCCTGATTGCTGGGATTACAAGCCTGAGCCATCGGGTCTGGGAATAGCTGTTGAATGGGTCGGCCAAACAAATATCCCAGTGCTGCCTTCCTCCTAAGCCCCACTCAAGTCCTCCTGGCTGCCCGCAAAGGCAGCTCCCTTTCCTTTCTTTCCTGGTGATCACTCTCCCGTCCCTGGCCCCTAACTATGACCTCTTCTAAAAGTGCCCCTACCCCCAGGCGCACCTCATTCCTCCTTCCTCTGCTCCACATCCCTTAGTCAATCCCTTCATGAAAGCATGTTTTTCACACTGCAAAAAAAGCACACAGTGAAGCTGTCCTATTCTATAGGCTTATATATAAGCCTATAGAATATTTTTTTTGAGGTGGAATTTCACTCTTGTTGCCCAGGCTGGAGTGCAGTGGCGAGATCTCGGCTCACTGCAACATCTGTCTCCCGGGTTCAAGCAATTCTCCTGCCTCAGCCTCCTGATTAGCTAGGATTATAGGTGCCCACCACCATGCCCAGCTAATTTTTTTGTATTTTCAGTAGAGACGGGGTTTCATCATGTTGGCCAGGCTGGTCTCGAACTCCTGACCTCAGGTGATCCACCCTCCTCAGCCTCCCAAAGCGCTGGGATTAGAGGCATGAGCCACCGTGCCCGGCCAGAATACATGTTCTTCTGGGGCTCCACATCAATGTCCTAGGCTTACACCTGCATTGTCCTTCCAACTGTCTTGGGCAGGTGACTTTGTGCACACGATCCTCTTTCTTCCTCTGTGGAAGGATGACGATAACTTCTACCTCACTGTGTCATTGTGAGCACTCAGTGACACATGGCGTGTAAAGTCCCTGGCACAGAAAATAAATTCAATAAGAGGGGGACGCAGAGGGGGACGTCCACATGTGTCAGGCCTCGTGTTTGTGCTTGGGAAATTGTAGGGGTGGGTTGCCCCTCCACACCTGTGGGTGTTTCTCGTAAGGTGGAACGAGAGACTTAGGAAAGAAAAAGACACAGAGACAAAGTATAGAGAAAGAAATAAGGGGACCCGGGGAACCAGCGTTCAGCATATGGAGGATCCCGCCAGCCTCTGAGTTCCCTTAGTATTTATTGATCATCTGTGGGTGTTTCTCGAAGAGGGGGATGTGTCAGGGTCACAAGACAATTGTGGGGAGAGGGTCAGCAGACAAACACGTGAACAAAGGTCTTTGCATCATAGACAATGTAAAGGATTAAGTGCTGTGCTTTTAGATATGCATACACATAAACATCTCAATGCTTTACAAAGCAGTATTGCTGCCCGCAGGTCCCACCTCCAGCCCTAAGGCGGTTTTTCCCTATCTCAGTAGATGGAGCATACAATCGGGTTTTATACCGAGACATTCCATTGCCCAGGGACAGGCAGGAGACAGATGCCTTCCTCTTGTCTCAACTGCAAGAGGCATTCCTTCCTCTTTTACTAATTCTCCTCAGCACAGACCCTTTACGGGTGTCGGGCTGGGGGACGGTCAGGTCTTTCCCTTCCCACGAGGCCATATTTCAGACTATCACATGGGGAGAAACCTTGGACAATACCTGGCTTTCCTAGGCAGAGGTCCCTGCGGCCTTCCGCAGTTTTTGTGTCCCTGGGTACTTGAGATTAGGGAGTGGTGATGACTCTTAAGGAGCATGCTGCCTTCAAGCATCTGTTTAACAAAGCACATCTTGCACCGCCCTTAATCCATTTAACTCTGAGTTGACAGAGCACATGTTTCAGAGAGCACAGGGTTGGGGGTAAAGTTATAGATTAACAGAATCTCAAGGCAGAAGAATTTTTCTTAGTACATAACAAAATGGAGTCTCCTATGTCTACTTCTTTCTACACAGACACAGTAACAATCTGATCTCTCTTGCTTTTCCCCACAGAAATTTATGGTCAGTAAAGGAGATAAGACTGATGCTATCTGGGCCAGAAGATGGGAAAGCCCAGTGTTCTGGGGGTGACTTCCTGCTTGAAGCAGGAAGCTGGGTCTTCAATTGTTCATTCATTCATTCACTCGTTGTTCAGCTATGAAGGCTCAGCTGAGTTCCAGCCAGCAGGAGTGGGTGGGGAGTGCAGAACAGAAGGAAAGGCAAGCCTGGTTGAGGGAACTCAGCAGGCAAAGGACCAATGCTAAAGGGGCTGGAGCCAAATCTGGCTCTGAGAACCAACACGATCCTTGCTCATTTTGAAGCACCCCAGTTCTCGGTGCACTGGATGGATCTTACATGGCAGAAGGGATGAGGGTCTCCCTGGGGTCTCTTTTATAAGAGGGCACCAATCCCATTATGAGAGCTCCTCCCTCATGATCTCATCACTGACCCAAGCCTCATCTCCTAATACCATCACCTTGGGCATTAGGATTTCAACATATAAAACCTTTTTATTTCAACATATAAAATAAAATAATTTATTTTTATTTTAATTTACTTTATTCATTTTTATTTTATTTTACATTTATTTTATATTTGTATTTATTTTATTTTACATTTATTTTATATTTGTATTTATTTTATTATACATTTATTTTATATTTGTATTTATTTTATTTTACATTTATTTCTATTTTATTATTTTATATTTTTATTTATTTTATTTTTGTCTTATGACCTCACTAGAGTAGTTGAGGGCATTACTCCCAACTTCTTCCACTCGTCAAAGCAGTCCATACATTTATTTTTATTTTTATTTTTATTTTTTTGTGTGTGACAGTGTCTCACTCTATCGCCCAGGCTGGAGTGCAGTGGCACGATCTCAGCTCATTGCATCCTCCGCCTCCCGGGTTCAAGCAATTCTCCTGCCTCAGCCTCCCAAGTAGCTGGGACAACAGGCGCGCACAACCACGCCTGGCTAATTTATTGTATTTTTAGTGGAGATGGGGTTTCACTATGTTGGCCAGTCTGGTCTCAAACTTCTGACCTCAAGTGATTCGCCTGCTTCAGCCTCCCAAAGTCCTGGGATTACAGGCATGAGCCACTGCACCCAGCCTATTTTTTTCATAGAATAAAGTGAAAGCAAGTTTTTTAAGAACGTAAAGGAATAAAGAGTAGCTACTCCATAGGCACAGCAGTGGCATGGGCTACTCGGCTGAGTACATTTACAGTTACTCTTTGATTATATGCTAAGCAAGGTGTGGGTCATTCATGAGTATTTCAGGAAAGGGGCAGGGATTTCCTGGAACTGAGGGTTCTTCCCCTTTTTAGACCACATAGGATAACTTGTGGACATTGTCATGGCATTTGTAAACTGTAATGATGCTGGTGGGAGTGTCTTTTAGCATGCTAATAATGTGTTATAATTAGAGTAGTGAGGACTACCAGAGGTCAGTCCTGTCACCATCTCGGTTTTGGCTGGCTTCTTTACCACATTTCATTTTATCAGCAAGGTGTTTGTGACCTGTGCTTGCCTCCTATCTTGTGCTGGCCTCCTATCTCGTGCTGGCCTCCTATCTCATCCTGTGACTATGAATGCCTAACCTCTTGGGAATGCAGCCCAGGAAGTGTCAGCCCTATTTTACCCAGCTCCTGTACAAGATGAAGTTGTGAAATGGCCTCATTTCTGAGGTGACACCTGAGGTTTGTTGTCTCACGGCCATGGAGAACTGGGACACGGACACACAAAGAGTGAGGTTACTGCATAATTTGTGGTAGTGGGTGACTGCGTTTACACTTTCCCCTGGGGGGAAAGAAAAGAGTGAGGTTGACAGCAGAAGTTTAATAGGCAAAAGAGAGAGAATAGCTGTCTGTTACAGAGAGGGGGTCCCAGAAAAATAGGTTGCTGGTCCATGGTGAAATGCAGGGGTTTTTATAGATGAGCTGGTGGGGAGGCAGTACCTGCTCTACATAGGGTGTAAGAAACTGGTTAGGACCAGGTGTTCCATTTGCACAGGGCATGAATTTCTGGCAGCCCCCACCCCAGTCTTATTATGCAGGTGGGTTTTCAGCCTGAGCTGCACAATGTTATCCATTTCTTTCTTACTGTATACTTGCTAACAAAAAAGGGAAGATTGAGCTTTCATGGTGGACATGCCTGCCCCGCAGGTAGCCCTTTTCTTTCTTTTTTAGAATCTATTTTTATTTTTATTTTACTTTAAGTTCTGGGATACATGTGCACATCAGGCCTCTGAGCCCAAGCCTGCATGTATACATCCAGATGGCCTAAGGCAACTGAAGAACCACAAAATAAGTGAAAATGGCCGGTTCCTGCCTTAACTGATGACATTACCTTGTGATATTCCTTCTCCTGGACAATTAGTCTCTGGAGCTCCCCACCGAGCACCTTGTGACCCCCACCCCTGCCCGCAAGAGAACAATCCCCTTTAACTATAATTTTCCACTATGTACCCAAATCCTATAAACATGCCCCACCCCTATCTCCCTTTACTGACTCCTTTTTTGGATTCAGTCTGCCTGCACCCAGCTGATTAAAAAGCTTTATTGCTCACACAAAGCCTGTTTGGTGGTCACTTCACATGGACGTGCATGACAGTGCAGAACATGCAGGTTTGTTACATAGGTATACATGTGCCATGGTGATTTGCTGTACCTATCAACCCGTCATCTAGGTTTTAAGCCCCGCATACATTAGGTATTTGTCCTAATGCTCTCCCCGCCATCCCCCCACCTCCTGACAGGTCCGAGTATGTGATGTTCCCCTCCCAGGTAGCCCTTTTCTATTGGTGCAGCTGCTGGCTCTCCCCCATGCAAGCTTCTAGCTTCCTTATTTATGTTTGCAGCCCGATTTTTCAGGCTGCTCTTTGTTAGGAAAAATGATTTCTTGGGCTACTTTTTGTTAGAAGGGAAGTTCTGCTGAGAGCTCTTTTGCCCTCACTATCTGCCTAAATAATTTCTGTCTCCTGTGTTAGTTGCTCTGGTCTGAACACCTCTGGCAATTCTGTAACATAGAGTCATCTTTCCAGGAGACTCTCTCCCTTGCTGGCTTTGAGGAAACAAGTGGTCATGTTGGGAGGCCCATGTGGGCAAAATCCAGCAAGAAATGGAGATCCTCAGTCCTACAACCAGTTAGCAATTGAATGCTGCCAATGTAGCAGAACAAGCTACAGACAAAACCCCTCAGACACTGACTTAAAGAAGGAAGGGCTTTATTCAGCCAGTAGCTTTGGCAAGACTCACGTCTCCAAAAACTGAGCTCCCCTAATGAGCAATTCCTGTCCCTTTTAAGGGCTTACAACTCCAAGGAGGTCCGTGTGAGAGAGTTGTGATCGATTGAGTAAGCAGGGGGTATGTGACTGGGGGCTGCATGTACCGGTAATCAGAACAGAACAGAACAGGACAGGGATTTTCACAATGCTTTTCCATACAATGTCTGGAATCTGTAGATAACATAACTGGTTAGGTCAGGGGTCGATCTTTAACTACCAGGCCCAGGGTGTGGTGCCGGGCTGTCTGCCTGTGGATTTCATTTCTGCCTTTTAGTTTTTACTTCTTCTTTCTTTGGAGGGAGAAATTGGACATAAGACAATATGAAGGGTGGTCTACTCCCTTACCAACGCCCTGGTTTCCAAGCAGATCCTTCCCGAGTTGAGCCTCAGATGAGACAGCAACTCTGGCTGACATTTGGTTGCAGCTGCAAACCAAAAAGTATCTAAGACAGGTCTCAATCAATTTAGAATTTTATTTTGCCATGGTTAAGGATCATGATCCATGACACAGCCTCAGGAAGTCTTGAGAACACGTGCCCAGGTGGTTGGGTTATAGCTTAGTTTTATACATTTTAGGGAGACAGAAATTATAGGCAAAGACATAAATTGATACATGTAAGGTATACATTGGTTTAGCTCAGAAAGGCAGGACATCTTGAAGCCGCAGAGGGGGCTTCCAGGTCCCAGGTGGATTTAAAGATTTTCTAATTGTTGCTTATAACATAATATCTGAAACTGTGTAATTTATAAAGAAAAGGAACTTATTTCTTACAGTCATGGAAGCTGAGAAGTCCAAGGTTAAGGGGCCACATCTCGTGAGAGCCTTCTTGCTGGTGTGGACTCTCTGCAGTCTATAGAGTGCAGGGCATCACATGACAAGGGGCCATGCTAGCTCAGGTCTCTCTTCCTCTTCTTATAGGCTACTAATGCCACTCTCATAATAACCTATTAATTCATTAACCCATTAACCCATGAATGGATTAATCCATTCATCAGAGCAGAACCTGCATGACCCAATCGCCCCCTAAAGGTCCCACCTTTCTATACTGCCACATTGCCTATTAAGTTTCAACATGAATTTTGAAGGAGACAAGCATTTAAACCGTAACAACGTGGTTTCCATATTTGATATGAGAATGATTATTAAAGTTCAGGTCCTCTGTCCTGTTCTCTGTGTCCTCATCTAAAATTTGACACATTGGCCAGGCGTGGTGGCTCATGCCTGTAATCCCAGCACTTTGGGAGGCTGAGGTGGGTGGATCATTTGAGGTCAGGAGTTTGAGACGAGCCTGGCCAACATGGTAAAACCCTGTCTCTACTGAAAATACAAAAAAAATGACCTGGGCATGGTGGTGTGTGCCTGTAATCTCAGCTACTCAGGAGGGTGAGGCATGAGAATTGCTTGAACCCAGGAGGCAGAAGTTGCAGTGAGCTGAGATTGCACCACTGCACTCCAGCCTGGGTGACAGAGTGAGACCCTGCTCCAAAAAATAAATAAAATAAAATAAAATAAAATTTGACACATCACATTAAGTTAATGACAGAGACAAATTTTCTTTTTCCTTTTCCACCAAAGGAAAGCCATATGGAGTCAATTTTAGAAAATACAAACTGAAATATTAGCTATTAGTACTTTTTTTGGTAAAAGTATTGGTGGTGTGTGGGAACATATTATTGATGAGATGTTAGATGCTTGTTTTCTGGGCTCGCATGATAACCTGTGATGAGGACTCTGTGTTTTTGTCCCCAAGATCTGCTCTCTGATATTCAACCTTCTCCATCCTCCTCTGTGTCCCAGAAGGCCACCTGCATTAGTTATTTATTGATGTATGACTAATTACTCCAAAATGTAGTGGCTTAAGACAATAAAACATTTGTTATCTCATAGTCTCTTTGAGTCAAGAATCTGGGCTCAGCTTAGCCAGGTCTTTTCCCTCTGATGCGATCAAGCTACTGGACGGGGGCTGCAGTGTCATTCAAAAGCTCAACTTGGGATGAGGGTATGGGGTGATTGTTCTGCTCCCAAGCTCACTCAGATGGTGTTTGCTACTGGCAGGTAGCTTTCCCCTCAGAAAGTGATTCAAGACAGAGTGAGAGAGAAGTTGAAAATAGAAGCAACAGCCATTTTGTAACCCAATCTGAGAAGTGACAGCCATCACTTTCTGCTGTACTTCATTCATTAGAAATGAGTCACTAGGTACAGCCCACACTCAGGGGGAAGGAATTAGATGAGGGCATGAATATAAAGAAACAGGGATCATTGGTTCTTGCAACTTCTCTCTAGTAAAGGAATTGCAGTAGACTTGCATCATACACACATTTAATTTATGAAATTTTAACTATAGAAACAGGTGGAAATACAGCTCTAATTTGAGGCAGCAGCTCCATCTATGGCTCAATGGTGAAGCTGTATTTTGCAGATTTGTCCTGTTGGGTACTGAGCATCTCTGTACACACTGTAAGTATGCATACAGCTACTGCTGTACAACATTTTATGTATAAAACCACATTCACTGCATGCATAGGGGATTTAAGACATATTCAAGGTGAAACCGAGCTAACCTCAATGTTCACCTTCACTCCTAAACCTAAAGAATGCTTTCACTTGATTCAGAATTCTGGGTTGACAGTTGTTTTCCTTTCAGCACTTAAAAAATGTGCCACCAAGATACAGGTCATAAAGACTTTGCTGATGAAACAGGATGTGGTAAAGAAGCCAGCCAAACCCACCAAAACCAAGATGGCGACAAAAGTGACCTCTGGTCATGCTCATTGCTCCTTATGTGCTAATTATAATACATTAGCATGCTAAAAGATATGCCCACAAGCACCATGACAGTTTAGAAATGCCATGGCAACATCTAGCACTTACCTTATATGGTCTAAAAAGGGGAGGAACCCTCAGTTCCAGGAATTGCCCACCCCTTTCCAGGAAAATTCATGAATAATCCACCCTTTGTTTGGCATATAATCAAGAAGTAACTGTAAGTGTACTCAGTTGAGCAGCCCATGCCATTGCTCTGCCTATAGAGTAGCCATTCTTTTATTCCTTTTCTCTCTTTCTTTCTCTTTCTTCTTTCTCTTTCTTTCTTTTCTTTCTTTCTTTCTCTCTCTCCTTCCTTCCCTCCTTCCTTCCTTCCTTTCTTTCTTTCTCTCTCTCTCTCTTCCTCTTTCTTCTTTCTCTTTCTTTTCTTTCTTTCTCTCTCTCTCCTTCCTTCCCTCCTTCCTTCCTTCCTTCCTTCCTTCCTTTCTTTCTTTCTTTCTTTCTTTCTTTCTTTCTTTCTTTCTTTCTTTCTTTCTCTTTCTCTCTCTTTCTTCGTTTCTCTCTTTCTTTCTTTCTTTTCTTTTTTCCTTTCTTCCTCTCTTTCTTTCTTCTTTCTTTTTTGAGACAGTCTTGCTCTGTGGCCCAGGCTGGAGTACAGTGGCAAATCTTGACTCGCTGCAACCTCTGCCTCCTGATTCTCATGCCTTAGCCTCCCAAGTGTCTGGGATTACAGGCATGCACCACCATGCTCAGCTAATTTTTGTATTTTTTGTAGAGACAAGGTTTCCCCATGTTACCCAGGCTGCTCTCAAACTCCTGGCCTCAAGCCTTGGCCTCCCAAAGTGCTGGGATTACAAGCGTGAGCCACTGCCTTGGCCTCCCAAAGTGCTGGGATTACAGGCATGAGCCACTGCACCTGGCCTATTCCTTTTCTTTCTTAATAAATTTGCTTTCACTTAAAAAAAAAGTGCCACTTTCTTCTGGCCACTATGGTTCCTGATGAGAAATCTGCCATCATCTGAATTGTTGTTTTGGTATAAGTGATGTGTTTAGTTTTCTCTGGATGCTTTCGAGATTTTTCTTTGTGTTTGATTTTCCACAGTTGGATGATGATATGTCTGGGTGTAAATTTCCTTGGAAAGGATCCCTGACATTGTGTGAAGCATTGTGCATACATCTGCATATTCTGAGGAAGGGCCTGAAGCTTCAGTCCAGGATCACACAACTTTCAATGCATTTTCAAAGGAGTCCAGGACTCCGTGATCATTAGCAACCAGTGGTTTCTATGAAGTTATTGGAGGTGGCTGGAAGGCTTGGGGAGCTTGAGGATAACTGGCAAGATATGATCAACTAGCGCATCTGAAAGGGGTTTAAACTTCCCTGAAATTATTTGGCCACTTGTGTGGTTCAGTCTATTTGACTGGAATTTCCCTGGGTGAGGGGAGCTGAGGAGTTAAAGGTTGTAGGGACTGTGGAGGACCTTGGTGACTCCAAGGAGGCTTTTAGGATCCTTATTCTCTTAATACTCTATATCTGCCCTTCACTCATATAAATACCCATGGGAAGTGAAAACATGTGCTGGCCATACAGACACAGTTTCTGGAGAAGTCCAGGCTTCTCTTCCAGCCCTGTTGCTGCCCCAGAGATTCTGATGCCCCCACAGGGAGGGTCCAGGGAGGAGATTCTCCCCCATCATGGGAGAGGGGTGCGGCCATGTGGGGTTCCCAGGAGCCCAGCTTGAGTGCCAATACCCATCAAGAGGCTGGGCTCCATCATTCAAGAACTCCGTGGGTTGGAAGACAATGCTCAGACTTGATATAAGGAGATGCAAAATATGGACCAGAGGCAGCCCAGCCAGGGGCTCCTCAGCTAGAATGGAGTTGGTCTGGTCTCCCTTGCACATTGGGGTTTTATGGCAAAAAGACTGGGCATGTCCAACTGGCTTGTCTGCTATAAAAATCCAGAATGAGATTACAGGTTTAAATCACAGCATGTTTTTCCAACCAGTCTGGTTCTTAGTCACCCACCATCCCCGACTGGGCTGAGGAAAAGATGAGGTAGGAGATAGGTTGGCAGGACTTATTTCTCAGTCCTGAAGGGACAGAATGAAAAAACTGGCAGGAACCAGCAGATGGCAACAAAAGCAATCCTTAGCTGCCCTCATTGTGCATTAGCACAAGACATTCTCACCAGAGCCATGACAGTTTACAAATGTGTGGAAATCACCCGGAATTTACCACCATTTTCCTAGAAAATTCTAAATGACCCACCTCTCGATTTGCATTGACCTACCCCTTAATTTGCATGTAAGTGAAAGTTGGTATAAGTGGGTATAAATACAGTTGGCAACAGTCCCTACCTTGCCTGCTCTGAGCACATTACCTATGAGATAGCCCTGCTCTGCAAGGAGCAGTACTGTGCAATAAAAGATTGCTGTCTAACGCCACCAGCTCACCCTTGAATTCTTTCCTGGGCAAAGGCAAGAACCCTCCTGGACTAAGCCCCAATTTTGAGACTTGCCGGTTCTCCAGCAGAGAGGGTGCCCCTCTAATGAGGATGCATGTGTGGCTTTGCTGAGTGGTAAGTGCACTGCCCTCATCCTCAGGAGACTTGTTGAAGGTGGAGAGGCCCTTCTGTGTGACCCTCAGGGCTTCTCCCAGTTGGACCATCCTGAAGGGTCCATGTGGACTTGAGTTCAGTCTGTTCAAATTGACACCAGAATCATATTTGGTCTGCACCCAGCCAGACCTTTCTAGGTGGGAAAAAGTATAAGAAGTGAAAGCTGTCAACAGCCTGGCTTCCAGAAATGAAAGCCTCCAAATTGGTTCAAAGAGCAAATTGGAAATGCTTCAAAGTACAAGCTCTGGGTTTGAATTCTGGCTCAGCTATTTTCTAGCAGAGTGACATTTGGCAAATTACTATACCTCGCTGAGCATCTGTTTCTTCTTTTGTAAAACAGAGATTACGATATAGGTTTTTCATGGGTTATGTTACTTCACTTTATTTTATTTTTTTTGAGACAGAGTCTTGCTCTGTCACCCAGGCTGGAGTGCACTGGTGTGATCTTGGCTCACTGCAACCTCCGCCTCCTGGGTTCAAGCGATTCTCCTGCCTCAGCCTCCAGAGTAGCTGGGATTACAGGTGCCTGCCACCACACCTGGCTAATTTTTTGTATTTTTAGTAGAGATGGGGTTTTGCCATGTTGGCCAGGCTGGTCTTGAACTCCCGACCTCAGGTGATCCACCCACCTCAGCCTCCCAAAGTGCTAGGATTACAGCCATGAGCCACCGCACCTGGCCTATCATGGGTTATCATGGGTTATGTTATTAAAGGAGATCATGTATGTGGCATGCCTAGCAAAGTGCCTGGTACAGAGTAACCACTCACAGGTTAGCTGGTATTCTCATTTATAATTGCTGGTCTTGCAGCTTTTCAGTCCATGTCTACAAACAAGGTAAAATGCATCACGGCAGTCCAGGCCTTTCTGCTGGCTCTTTCCCCTGCACTAGCCCTGGAGATGCCTCAGAAGCTGGAAGCAGGACTAATGAGGCAACAGAAGGTGGTTGGGTTCTGGATGAGGGTGAAGTCGTGGGTGGGAGCATTCCCATTGTAGAAAGACTGGTGCCACGGGTGGGGAGAGATTTGGGGTCTGCCCTTCTTTTCCATTAGCATTACCTGACCAACCCCTACACTCCCCACCACCACAGGGAGCCTAAAAAACAGCAGTCAGCCTGGGCGCTGTGGCTCATGCCTGTAATCCCAGCACTTTGGGAGGCCAAGGTGGGCAGATCATGAGGTCAGGAGTTTGGGATCAGCCTGGCCAGCATGGTGAAACCCCATCTCTACTAAAAATACAAAAATTAGCTGGGTATGGTGGCAGGCGCCTGTAGTCCCAGCTACTCGGGAGGCTGAGGTAGGAGAACTGCTTGACCCCAGGAGGCAGAGGTTGCAGTGAGCCAAGATCGAGCCATTGCACTCCAGCCTGGGCAACAGAGCAAGACTCCGCCTCAAAAAACAAAAACAAAAACAAAAACAAAAACAAAACAAAAAAAACGGCAGCCAAAGCTAGGACAGGCAGTATAGCATTGAGAGTTGCTTCTGCCCTGTTGGAGGGTGAAGGGGTGTGATTAACACAGGTGCAGGGTCCTGTCCTGTCCCTAACTTTGCCTTTTAGACTCTTTCCTGTCACTTGCTGAGAGCTAGGGTGTTACAACAGAGGGATACACACACACGGGAATAAGAGAGTGCAGAGGCAGAAGTGTGGACTGGGACGCCCAAAGCTCCGCACTGTGGCTCCTTGTCCCCCAAGCTCAGCAGGGGTACAAGCCAGTGCCAGTGAATGGCCACCAAATACTTGAACAGTGTTTATAACAGTTCTCTTTCCTGTTGCTGGATATAATTAATATTTCACTTTTTTTTTGCTCCATGTACATATAAACATTCGTATCCCAAGGTGGTTTTAAAATACATTTCCATCGCTAGTGAAGCTGCCTATCTCTTCTTAAGTTTGATAGTCATTTGAAGATGATGTCCTCTGTGAGTTGCCTATTCATGTACTTTGCCAATTAAAAAATTGTGTTGAATCCCAGCACTTTGGGATGCTAAGGCAGGAGAATTGCTTGAGCCTAGGAGTTTGAGACCAACCTGGACAACATAGTGAGACCTCATTTCTACAAAAAGTTTTAAAAATTAGCCCAGCATGGTGGCACAGGCCTGTAGTCCCAGCTACCTGGGAGGCTGTAGCTGGAGGATCACTTGAGCCCAGGAGATCTAGGCTGTGGTGAGACATGATCATGCCATTGCACTCCAGCCTGGGTGACAAAGCAAGACCCTATATCTAAAAGAAAAAATGCATTGTCTCTTTTTTTCCTGTTGCTTTTCAGGAACTCTGTGTATATTAGGGATTTTGAGCACTTGCCAGTTGGGTTATCCTTGTCAACGCTGTTGTCCTGGGACACCAATGGGGCCGTTGCCATGAGTGACCAACAGGGGGCAGAGCTGCCCTCGGCCAAGCGGGGACGACGTCTCAGCTCAGAGTTGGGAAGAATATTCAAGGCATCTGCTTGTGCCTGGGCTTGCTCTGGGTCCTTATATCCTTCCTATATCATCTTCTTTTCTTCTTTCTTCTTTCTTCCTCCTCCTCCTCCTCCTTCTTCTTCTTTTTTCTTCTTCTTTTCCGTCCTCCTCCTCCTCTTCCTCGTCTTCTTCTTCCTCTTCCTCTTCTTCTTCCCCTTCCCCTTCCGCTCCTTCTCCTTCTTCCTCCTCCTCCTCCCCTTCCCCTTACTCTTCTTCTTCCCCTTCCCCTCCTTCTCCTTCTTCCTCGTCCTCCTCTTCCCCTTCCCCTCCTTCTCCTTCTTCCTCCTCCTCCTCTTCCCCTTCCCTTTCCCCTTCTCCTTCTCCTTCTCCTCCTTCTCCTTCTCCTTCTCCTCCTTCTCCTTCTCCTCCTTCTCCTTCTCCTCCTTCTCCTTCTTCTTTTTGAGATGGAGCTTTGCTCTTGTCACTCAGGCTGGAGTGCAGTGGTGCAATCTTGGCTCATTGCAACCTCCACTTCAAGCAATTCTCCTGCCTCAGCCTCCCAAGTAGCTGGGATTACAGGCATGCCAATACTAATTTTTGTATTTTTAGTAGAGACAGGATTTCACCATATTGGCCAGGCTGGGTCTCAAACTCCTGACCTCAGGTGATCCACCCACCTCAGCCTCCCATAGTGCTGGGATTACAGACATGAGCCACCCCGCCTGGCCCTTTGATTCTTATCTTTGAGATTTCTTCGTTAACTAAGGGAGGGGCATCAGTGGGGATGGCTATTACACTTTCTGTGGGTCTCATCAGTAAAATCCCTAAATCCAGGAGCAGTGTAATGCAGTGGTTAAGAATGCAGGCTTTGGCATTAGATGTGGGTCCAAATACCAACTCCTCCCCTTATAGGGTGTGTGGCTGGGGGGCTTTTTGAGCCTCTCTGTTCTAGCCTGATGGCCATGGGGATGGAAACTTGCACTTAATTTGGATTCAACTGCTCAGTGCAGGGTCTCACACATTCATTCACAAAATATTTATTGAACACCTACCATGTGCCAGGCACTGCGCTAGGCTTTGGGCATTTACAAGAGTGAACAAAACAGGCAGAGGGGCCAGGTACAGTCACTTGCACCTGTAGAATCACCTACTTGGGAGGCTAACGTGGGAGGATCGCTTGAGCCCAGGAGTTTAGGACCAGCTTGGGCAATATAGCAAGACCTCATCTCTAAAAAAATAAAATAGAATTAAAAAAACCAGGTAGAAATCCCTGCCTTTAAGGGACTGATATTAGGGAGAGCAATCAACAAACACAAATCAGTGGAGAGTGTCACACGGCGATGAGTGTGTTGGAAAGAAATAAACCAGACAGGTGGGACAGGAAGTGCTAGGCTGTACACAGGACAGCCAGGGAAGGCCTCTCTGAAGAGGTGACATCTGAACAGGGTCCTGACTGTGGTGAAGGAAAAAGCCATGTGGCTATCTTGGGAAGAGTGTTTGGGGCAGAAAGTAAAGCAAATGCAAAGGCCCTGGGGCAGGACTGTGCCCTGAGTGTTGATGAACAGTGGAGAGGCCAGTGTGGCTGGAGAGCGGGGAGTAAGGGAGGAAGCGGGAGATAAGGGTGGGGCAGGGATGGGGCCAGACCATGGACCTTGCAGGCCAGTGTTGGGACTTAGGCATTTTCCTGAGTGAGACAGAAGCCACAGGAAGCCTCTGAGCAGGCAAGGGACATGAGACAACTTAGGTGTTAGCAGGAGGGCAGGAGCAGGGAGCCCAGTGAGGAGGCTACTGCAATGGTCCATGTGGGAGATGGTGCTGGTGTGGGTGGAGCTGGTGAGAAGTGGTTGGATTCTGGAGAAATTTGAACGCTGAGCTCAGGATTTGCTGTTGCATCGGCAAAGCTGGTTTCTCAGTAAATACAAGTTTCCTTTTCTTTCCAATGAGCCTCCCTGAAGCTCCTGAAGATTTTCATTTCCTGTCTCCCACCTGAGTCTTCAGACTGGGCCAGATATGCAGGATGAGACTTCTGGCTGAGGCTTGAGCCAAAGACTGGAATCCAGTCAGGGCCAGATTTCAGACTCCTTGTATGGTCCTGGGGGGATCACTTGCTCTCCTGGGGCCTCTGTTTCCCCATTTATACAGCAGGAAGCCAGGAGGGGAGCATGCAGTCCCCTGCCCTCCCACGTTTGCCTACCATGAGGATGATTGGGAAGAGCAAAGGGCACGAATGCTGGGCCAGAGACATGACCAAAGAGGAGAAGTTAATGAGACATTGAACAGTTGTAAACCGAAGAGGGCTGTGCCAGTCCCTCCCTGGCTGGCCACCAATGCCCCATGGGCACGGCCCTCATCATGGGGACAGAAGGCTGGGCCATCTCCTCTCTGGGCTAGGGCTCCGGGCAGGACACACAAATCGGCTCACTCTGGGGTTCTTGCAGTCTGTTCTCCGCAAACCAATGTCCTTCTAGGAGGAAGCACTCCTAAAGGACCCATGGCCCGGTTCCTGGTTGCTCCCCATGGCTGGGGTGAGCCCTGGATGGGAGCGTTGCTCGTAGGTGAGGGTGTGGCTGAGAACTGAGGTTGGGGAGGGCATTTCTCAGAGGTTATATCAGAGCTCTAGTCTTGGCTGGTCCCATTTCCAGCTTCCCAGAGCCTGCGTACCTGACAAATGTGCATTGTCCCAGACTCACTCTATTAAACAATCATGTCTTAAAGGGGAAGTTGCAGGGCAGGGAATCTTTGAGTAGGACAAGCCAAATTAATTTCTTGCTCCACCTCTGTCATCTGTGTGATCTGAGGTAAGTCACTTGACCTCTCTGATTAATTTCCTTATTTGCAAAATGGGGCAATGATTGTACTTCCCCTTCGGGCTGCTATGAAAATCAAAGAAACCCCATTTTGAGAGCCTGGAAAATAGTAGGCAGGAGGCTTTAGGCGATGATGAACAGAAATGATGAAACGATAAAGAAGGTAGGAAAATAGGATAGTCCCGTAACTGATGATACTCTCTGATACTTACCGAGCACTGAGGATGGGCCAGGCCCTGCTCCAGGAGCTTGACATAAACAGTCTAGTCCTCTCAGCTCCTCTACAAGGGGGCACTGTGAATTAATCTGCTTTGCATTGCTATAAAGGAAAACCTAAGGCTGGGTAATTTACAAAGAAAAGAGGTTTATTAGGCTCATGGTTCTGCAGACTGTACAAGCATGGCAGCATCTGCTCAGCTCATAATGAGGCTTCAGGAAGCCTATCATCATGGCAGAAGGTGAAGGGGAAGCTGAGTATCACCTAGTGAAAGAGAGGCAAGAGAGATACCAGGCTCTTTTTTTTTTGAGATGGAATTTCACTCTTGTTGCCTAGGGTGGAGTGTGATGGCACAATCTCGGCTCGCTGCAACCTCTGCCTCCCCGGTTCGAGTGATTCTTCTGCCTTAGCCGCCCAAGTAGCCAGGATTACAGGTGCCCACCACCAGGCCAAACTACTTTTTTGTATTTTTAGTAGAGATGGGGTTTCACCATGTTGGCTAGGCTGGTCTTGATCACCTCAGGTGATCTGCCCACCTTGGCCTCCCAAAGTGCTGGGATTATAGGCATGAGCCACTGTGCCCAGCCTTTATTTTTTTATTATTTATTATTATTTTTTTGAGATAGGGTCTCACTCTGTCACCCAGGCTGGAGTGCAGTGGTGCAGGCTTGGCTCACTGCAACCTCTGCCTCCCAGGCTCAGGTGATCCTCCTGCCTCAGCCTCCCAAGTAGCTGGGACTACATGTGTATGCCACCATGCCTGCCTAATTTTTGTAGAGACAGGGTTTCACCATGTTGCTCAGGCTGGTCTCGAACTCCTGGGCTCAAGTGATTCTCCTGCTCCAGCCTCCCAAAGTGCTGGGATTACAGGCATAAGTCACTGCACCCGGCCTGCCAGGTTCTTTTAAACAACCAGCTTTTGCATGAATGAACAGAGCGTGAATGCCTTCATTACCGCAAAGATGGCGCCAAAGCCTCATGAGGGATTGCCCCATGACCCAAAAACCTCCCACTAGGCCCACATCCATCATTGGGGATCACATTTCAACATGAGATTTGGAGGGGACAAACATCCAAACGATATGACACTGTTACTATGGGCCCCATTTTCCAGATGAGGATGGAGGCCCAGAGGCAGCACCGTATAGTCGCCGATGCCATGGATTCAGATTTGGCTCTGCAATTTGCACTGTGTGAACTTCAACAAGCCATTTAAACTCTCAAGGCCTCAGTCTCCTCATCTGCAAAATGGGTAGCTCTAACCCCTGCCTCACAGGGTTGTTGGGAGGTTCAATGAATTGCCATTTGTAAAGCACACAGAACAGTTCCCGGCACACAGCAAACGATTAATAAGTGTTTAAGAGAAAACAGGCCAGGTATGGTGGCTCGAGCCTGTAATCCCAGCACTTTGGGAGGCTGAGGTGGGCAGATCACCTCAGGTCAGGAGTTCGAGACTAGTCTGGCCAACATGGTGAACCTTGTCTCTACTAAGAATACAAAAAATTAGCCGAGTGTGGTGGTGTGCACCCATAGTTCCAGCTACTTGGTAGGCTGAGGCACGAGAATCACTTGAACCTGGGGGGCGGAGGCTGCAGTGAGCCGAGATCACACCACTGCACTCCAGCCTGGGCAACAGAGTGAGACTCTGTCTCAAAAGACAGAGAGAGAGAGAGAGAGAAGGAGAGAGAGAGAGAGAGAGAGAGAGAGAGAGAGAGAGAGAGAGAATAGCCAGAGATGTGGGTAAATTGCCCAGAGTCACAGAGTCACATAGCCATGTAAAGCAGGTGTTAGAATCAGAGACTGGCTCTGGAATCTTCCCTGTTAATCACCCCATAGCATTGCCTTTTGAGCAATAAGGGAGGGCACTTAGGGACCCTGAGGAGGTACCCAATCTGCTCCCAGGAGGCCAAGAAGCTTCTTGGAGGAGGTGACATCTGAATTTATCCTGGAAGGAAGAGCAGGAGTTAATTGGCAAGGGGAGGGCAGGAATTTACAAATGTAAAAAGCCCAGAGGAAAGAAAAACAGTGCACATTCTCCATGATGTGGATTTAATCTGAATGGCATGTGCTGTTCAAGCAAGTGATCAGCAAAAGACAGGACTGGGGACAGGGCCAATGGATAGATCAGGAAGGGTCATGTGTATAAATTTATTTTGCACATCACAGGTTATTTTCTCAGGCTGAATTCCTGAAAATAAAATAGCTAAGTCAGATTTTAATTCTTGATACATGGCATAAAATTGCCCTTCGAAATTATTGTGGCAATGTAGCCTGCCATGAAATGTACATGAGAGTGCCCATTTCTGAACATCCTTGCCCACACTGGGCATTATTGTTTTAAGATGCTTTGGTGATTTTATATTACTAAAGGTTTCCAAGGGGAGGGTAGACATTGAAGTCCTGGGGACAATGGTGTTTGAGGAAGAGGGGCCTGGAGGGGTGTGCAGGGAAGATACCAGTTGGGAAGGAGGGGAGGTAAGAAGGGAAGAGACTGGTTTGTGGATTCGACATGTAACAGAGGCAACTCCTAATGTCTTTTAGGTTTGAGATGCTTCTGATGGGGAAGAAATCTCAATTAGAAAACAAGACTTCCTGAGAAGGTCCCCATCCTTAACCCTGAAGTGACAGGAAGCTCATCACCTCCCCTCCTGAACAGCCTATTACACTATCTGGTCCCACAGACACGTTTCTGTTACCATCCATACTAGTTTCCAGCGGTGGTTTTGGCAAATTATTTAGGTTGGTGCAAAAGTAATGGCAAAATCTGCAATTACTTTTGTACCAACCTCATACTACAAACTTGTTAACCTAAAACAACAGCATTTTATTCTCTCACTGCTCCAGAGGGCAGAAGTTGAAATCAAGGTGTGCATAGGCCGAGCTCCCTCTGCAGGTTCTAGGAGGAACCTCCCTTGACACTTCCAGCTTCTGGTGGCCCCAGGTGTTATTCAGCTGATGGCTGCATCAGTCCAGTCCCTGCCCCAGTGTTCACATGGCCTTATCCTCTGTGTATCTGTGTATCCGTGTCTTCTCCACTTCTCTCTCTCTCTGTCTTTTTTTTTTTTTTTTTTGAGATGGAGTCTCACTCTGTTGCAAGGCTGGAGTGCAGTGGCGCAATCTCGGTTCACTGCAACCTCCATCTCCTGGGTTCAAGCGATTCTCCTGCCTCAGCCTCCCGAGTAGCTGGGATTACAGGCACCTGCCACCATGCCTGGCTAATTTTTGTATTTTTAGTAGAGACAGGGTTTTGCCATGTTGGCCAGGCTGATCTCAAACTCCTGACCTCAGGTGATCTGCCCATCTCTGCCTTCCAAAGTGCTGGGATTACAGGCATGAGCCACCTTGCCCGGCCTTCCTCTTCTCTCTCTTATAACAACACTTTGTCATTGGATTTAGGGCATAGCTGGACAATCCAGCATGACTTCATCTCAAGATCTTTAACTTAATTACATCACGAGGATCCCTTTCCAAATAAGGCCATATTCTCAGGTCCTGGGTGGACATATTTTTTTTAGGGGGCCACCATTCAACCCCCTAAACCATCATGATCATCTTTTTTTTTTTTTTTCTTTTGAGACGGAGTCTCGCTCTGTCACCCAGGCTGGAGTGCAGTGGCGCGATCTCGGCTTACCGCAACCTACGCCTCCTGGATTCAAGCGATTCTGCTGCCTCAGCCTCCTGAGTAGCTGGGATTACAGGCATGCACCACCATGCCTGGCTAATTTTTGTATTTTTAGTAGAGACGGGGTTTCACCATGTTGGTCAGATTGGTTCCGAACTCCTGACCTCGTGATCCGCCCACCTCGGCCTCCCAAAGTGCTGGGATTACAGGCATGAGCCACCACGCCCAGCCGGAAATTCTTTTTTTCTTTTGAGACGGAGTCTTGCTCTGTTGCCCAGGCTGGAGTGCAGTGGCACAATCTCAGCTCACTGCAACCTCCACCTCCTGGGTTCAAGTAACTCTCCTGCCTCAGCCTCCTGAGTAGCTGGGACTACAGGCGCGTGCCGTGCCACCACACCCGGCGAATTTTTTGTATTTTTAGTAGAGACAGGGTTTCACCGTGTTAGCCAGGATGGTCTTGATCTCCTGACCTCATGATCTGCCTGCCTCCACCTCCCAAAGTGCTGGAATTACAGGCGTGAGCCACTGCGCCCGGCCAGGAAATTCTTAACACTTGGAACCCCGCCTTCATCCCTAACTCCTGCAGCATTAGATCCACCACCCATCATGTGTTTAATAAATGCAGGTTGAACCAGATCCTGCTCCAGGAGTTACAGTGTGATTATGTAGCAGTACAATCTGGTTCAACTTTTATGTAACAAAGTTGTAAGTTGTTTTTAGGTTGCCATGGACCCTCAGGTCACATAAACTGAGCATGCCCAGGTGAACCAAGTACGCAACCACAGGGGAACCTAAGCATTTGGACCAAGGAGCAGGGACAGAATTAAGAAGCAGACATAACATGGCAGGATCCAGGAGCCAATCAGATCAAGCCCTGGCATCACCCCATCATGGCAGGATCCAGTCAGATCATGCCTCCTGGCATCACCTCATTGCAAGATCCAATCACATCATGCCTCCTTACCCTATGCTTATAAAAATCCTGACCCTGCCCCCAGTGTTGGGAGCCGAAAAGGCCAAAGGGATCGTGACCAACTCAGCATTCCGCTGGAGGCTATATGATCAAATAACAAACTGTTTATCATGAATGCAGGATGTGGGCAAACTCACACTGCCCTGCCACCAAAAGGTTTGCTGAGGGACATCATTCCCGGGCTCCGGGCTCCTTGAAGTTATCTACTGAGAATATTAGCGCCTATTGCTCAAAGGATGCAATCTCGAAAGCCTGCTGTGAACCAAACGCCCGACTGACAATTACTCGACAATCACTCCCCACTTTCTCACTATCTCTTTTGCCTAATAAATATGGAGGGCCGTGTAAAGCTCAGGGCGCTTGTCCACTAGAGGCAAGGTGCCCCCTGACCCTTTCTTCCAAATATACTTCTTTGTCTCTTGTCTTTTATTCCCATGTTTGCCCCACTTTGTTCAGTCCAATAGGTCCGCGGCACCCCAGCTCAGAGAGGTTACTGCTTTGGGAACTATCCCTAGTGTGCTCTTTACTTGTTGCAAGTAATAAAATCCCCATGCTAAATCCTCTTTGGTTGCAGTCATTGGGTTGATACCTGCCAAGTGTCTGAACCCACCTGATGCGTGGGTAACAACTGTTGTCAAATGTGTGAGTCTCTCTTGGGAAGAGCAGGAAACACCGTGCTGGTGGGCAGCAGTTGCCTGACTTTATCTTCTCACCCCGAAATCCACCCCCTCACTTATTTCAGTGATTTGAAGTGTCATGAGCCTCCCACCACCGGGCCTTTGCTTACACTCTTCTCTCCATTTGCAACACTCTTTATGTCAGGTGGGGATTTGGTTCAGCTGCATAAAATAGAAACTCAAATAACAGTGGTTTAGTTAATAAAGGAGTGTAGTTCTCTCTCATGTAAAATAAGTTGTGGTTGGTTGATCACAGACACGGCTCCGATTCTCTACTCTCTGTATCGAAGCACCTTGTAATGTGACTTTACAGCTTCTCCCACAAACAGGTGGAGCCTGTTTTCCTGTACCCTTGAATCTTGGTTGACCTCATGACTTGCTTTGACCAAAACAATGAGGTAGAAATAATAAAGTGGCAGTCCTGAGCCCAGGCCACAACAAGTCTTGTGCATTTTTGTCTGTCTCTCGAAGTTCCTAGGTTTTAGAGAGGTTTGTTACATGGTGATAAGTAACTGATACAGACATCTCAGTGTGGTCTGGTGACTTCATGGTCACCAGGTACCCATGCTGTGGGATAATTAAGGAATCAGAGGGACCAAGGGGTTGAGGAGGAATTATTTAATTATTTAGGTGCACCGACCCAGTCAGATTAACATCCAAAGGACTGAGCCCCGAACAAAGAGTCAAGCTACCTTTTAAGCATTTCGTGGGGTGGGGGGAGTTCTGTGCAGGGGGAAGCGTATTACAGAAGCAAGAATTAAAAACAGTTATTCAGTTAAGACATGCATTACATTATTTCTTACTTTTCAAGGAATAATATGTTTTACGACTTGAGATTATCTGTCTAATGACCTTGCAGCTGCACAGCTAGAGAAAGAGTCTTCACAATGCCTGGGAAAGGGAGCGATAAGGCTCACTAGCCACAGACAGAAAAACAGGCAGTTAATTTTAAAGGACTCCAGCTGTTTCTCTTCCTCAAGGGGAATTGGGTTTTCTTACATACAACTGAGTTTTTGCTTAGACAGTCTTTAATTTCTTTTGATTCCTGTTCCACGCAAGCTCCTTCTATGTTTCTGTTCCATTATATCAGACATAGCTTCCTTCCTTAAGTCAGTTCGTCATTCAGAATGGCTGCTGGAGCTCCAGTCATTACACTCTTCCTCACTGTCTTTGTCTACTTAATTCTGACCCATCCTTTAGATCACAGATGAAACATCAGATCTTCAGAAGAACATCTCTAATTCTCATAGCATGATGTATTTTTACTACATACCGCTTATCCTTGAAATCTGGGTAACTTGCAGCGTAACTGGCTCTGTCATTTACTAACTGTATGACTTGAACAAATGACTCTTCTTCTCTGAGCGTCAGTTTTTCTATCTATAAAATGGGGACAGCAAGAGATCCTGCTTCATGGAGTGAGAATTAACTGAGATAATTCAGTGTATGCCTGGCGATAGTAACTGCTGAACAACTGGCAGGTAGAATAATGTTTCCAAATTTGAGAGGTAAAACAGTGGAATGGGAAGGACCATGAACAGTGGATCCAGCCTGCAAAGGTTCAAATCCTGGTTCTGCCTCTTATCATCCATGTGACTTTGGGCCAGTGATTCTGTGTCTCAACTTCTCCATATGATAAATGGAGATGATGATAGTTGTATCTAACTTCTAGGACTGTGGGAAAGATAAAATGCGTTCACCATGTAACAGGACAGCACCTGATCATTGGTGAACAGTTTTGTTGTTGTATTTTACACACACACACACACACACACACACACGTATATATACACACAGAGAGAGAGAATAGATTGCTTCTGTTTCTCTGCAGACAGAATATATGTTGTTTCCACTTTATTTCCTGCTATAAACAATGCTGTCATGATTATCCCAGAAGTAAATATGTTCACATATCTATAATGATTATCTTAAGATAAATGTAAGAGGAACGGTGGGGTCAAAGAGAGTGTACATGTGTATGTTTTTGGATGCATCTTGCAAAACTGTTCTCCAGAGATCGCTAGCACTGGGTGTCGTCATTTAAAAATTCTAGGTCGGTGGTTTTCAAACTTCTGTTTTCTTTGTTTCTTCCATATTCATCAAGCAGTACATATTTGTCAACTCTCTCTGCCCCTGTACCTTGCTTTCCAAGTGGACTGCAGACTTTGAAAACCAAAGATCAAGGTGATTACCAAGTGTCCCTTCAGGAGGTTGCTTTCCTTGTTCATTTTGGGTCTTTGGACCCTGCTGGTGGAAATTGCTGCCATGCAGAATCTGAGGCAAAGAGCCTACTTTGATCTTTTATCTTGCTATCACTTGTTCTGATAAGCTCATGTCCACGTCCTTCAAGGCTGCGCAATATCAACCCCTCCACACTGGGTCGCAGGCCCTTAACAAAAATTAACCCAGAGACCAGGCTGGTGTCAATACCTCTGTAACCCCACCTAGGACCAGCACTGCATGGCTGGCGCCTCAGGTGGCAGAGGGGACCTCTGGAACCAGCAGAGGCTGCCTCACCCACCTCTGGGATAAACACAGGCCACACTCCTTGTCAGCAAATGCAGTGCCAAGCATTCTTTCTGGCCAAAGCAGCACTGGGGCTGGACCTTCTGTGATGGCAGAGCCTGGAGGAATCTGTAGAATTGGTAAGACCCAAACTGGTGCCAGTGGACCCTGCCCCAAACTCTCAGTGTGGAATCTGGGGTGAATGGGAGTGGGATCCAGGGAGCAGTACTGATGGGCTGTCTTCTGAGAGGAGGTAAAACCAAAGACCCTATAGAGGGCGGGGCTTTTCAGACACTATTGAACTTCCCCTAGGCCTGGCCTCCAGCTGGGAGGAGGCAGAAGGACAGCTAGACTGGTGAGGCATCAAAGAAACAGGGCTGGCCCCTTGGAAGGTCCCTGCAGAGGTGGTGGGCTTTGGACATGGCTCTGTCTTGCAGGTAACAGTTACGGATCATAATTTCTGATTTTCTTCCCCACTGATATCTCTCACCTGGATTGTTGCAGTCACCTCCTAAATGGTGTCTCCTGCTTCTGCCTTGCCTGGGGTCACCACATATAGCTGTATGGGTTGTGCACTGCACAGTTGCTGGAAGTAGCATTTGCATTAACTACAATGTGAATGGCAGCTCACTTCGTGGAGCTGAGCAATGTTGCAACTCTACCCTTGAGCTCCAAAATCAATGCAATCTGCAGCCAGAATGATCAGAATATAAGGTACATCGTGTTAATCTTTAACTCAAAACTCTCCAGTGGTTCTCTGACTCCCTCAGAATACAACGAAAAGTCCTTACAGGCTGGTGCGGTGGCTCATGCCTATAATCCCAGCACTTTGGGAAGCCAAGGCACAAGGATCACTTGAGCCCAGGAGTTCAAGACCAGTCTGGTCAACGTGGCAAAACCCTGACTCTACAAAAAAAATATAAACATTAGCTGGGCATGGTGGCGCATGCCTGTGGTCCCAGCTACTCGGGAGGCTGAGGCACGACAATCACTTGAACCCGGGAGGCGGAGGTTGCAGTAAACCATGATCAAGCTGGCACACTCCAGCCTGAGTGACAGAGCGAGACTCTGTGGCAAAAAAACAAAAACAAAAACTAAAACAAAAACAAAAAAACTCGTATAATTATCTGCAAGAGCCTGCATGATGTTCCAAACCAGAGCTAATACTGCCCCCTAGCGGGTATTTGACAATGTGTGGGAATGTTCTCTGGTTGTCTCAATGCCTGGAAGGAGCTGCTGCTGTTGTAGTAGGGAGAGCAAGTGGTGTTAAAAACTCCTTGCAATGCACAGGACGGATCCACAAGATGAATAATTGTCTTGCCAAAAATGTCAATGCCAGTTGTAAGTGTGATCTGTCTCTCTTACCTCTCTGACTTTATCTCTTACCTCTTTCATTTTCACTTACTCAACTCCAACCACACTGGCTTCCCTGCTTTTCCCTCAAAAACAATGATCTTCCTCCTGCCTCAGGGCCTTTGCACATGCTCTTCCCACTCCCACAGTTTAACTCCGATGAGTGAGACTCTAGCAGTGGCTGAGTCTACTGTCGAATGCTGCTAAGTGGCCTCTGTGATAGTGCTCTTTGCTTCCTCCCTTTGCCTTCTTCCTGAGCCTCTGCAAGAAGCAGGTGTCTGCTCAGCTGACGATCACATCCATCCCTCCCTGGGCCGTCGAGGGGGCAACGTCACCCTGTCTGTCCAGGGGATCCCTCAGAATCTCATCTCCTACAATTGGCTCCGAGGAGCAACCACCAATCAGGTTACCCGGATCCTCAATTTTAACTTCTTCAGCCATGGCTACACCCTAGGACCAGCCCACACTGGCAGGGAAACAGGCAGAGCTGATGGCTCCCTGATCATTATTGATGTGCGTGCATCTGACAATGGCATCTACACCCTGCATCTCATCTCTTCTGGTGAAAACAGTTGCCATCATGCTATGCTACTTGTCTCTGGTAAGGATTACCCTTGGGAAGCAGCAGGGAGGCTCTCTGGTAGCAAAATTAATAATAGCATTTAGAAAGTGCTTTCTGTGTACTAAGTATTGTATATCCTTTGCAGATAGAATGTCATGGGCTCTTCATTACAACTTTTAGATAAGATTTATGAGTAGGGGAGCTGAGGCTCAGGGAGCGTAACAACATGGCCAGTGGCACCCATGGAGCTGGGATTTGAACCCAGTCTCTGCTTAACCCTAAAGCCCATGTTCTTGAGTACTACGTTACAGTGTTATTTACATTTAAGTATTTAAATATTACCACCCCCACCTCATTATTAAAGTAACAATGCTCAAATCATCCTTCTTCTGAGTAATTATTCTGTATCCTTCCCTGTGCTAATCCTTTTAAGTAATTATCACATAAAATCCTTGTATAATATATACAATATATAAAGAGTTTCTACAAATCAATAAGAAAAAATACTTCAATAGAAAAAAACAGGAGAAAGATTTGGATAATCAGTTTGCAGAGGAAGAAATATAAAAGGTCAATCATGATATGAAAAGATGTTCAATCTCACTAGTAATAAAGGCAGTCCCTTACTCATAAGCCTGTTAAAACTTTTCAAGTGTGATTCTAATCAATGTTGCCAAGGGTGTGGGAAGTGAGCACTCCCAAGTGGTTGATGGGAGTTTAGGGGAAAAACATTTTCTGAGGGCTACTTTGTTTTTTCTATAATAACATTTTGAAACAGTTTATTTGGAAATAATTTCAAATTTAAAAAAGTTGCAAAAATAAAGAGTACAAAGAACACCCGTATGCCCTTTATTCAGATTCACCTAGTGTTAATATTTGTTCTCATTTACTTTATCATTTGTGCTCTCTCTCCCCCTTCTGTCTCCCCCTCCCTCTCTCCTTCCTTCCCTCCATTTGATAGTAAATTACAAACTTCATGGCTCTTTACCCCTAAATACATCAGTATGTATTTCCTAAGAACAGAGATATTCTCTTACATACCCACAGTTATCACCTTCATAAATGTCCAGGGATAAAATACTTTTATGTGCTCTATCATCCATATTCCAACTTTGTCAATTGGCACAATAAAATCCTTTATAGCCTATTCCCCCATCCAGTACAGGATCCAGTCTCTAGTCAGATACTGGATTTTGTGTCCTCTTTACTCTCTTTTAATCTGAAACTTTCCCACAGTCTTTCTTGTTTAAAATTCATCTTTTTAATTTTTTTTTAAAATTTAGAGATAGGGTCTTGCTCTGTCAGCTGGGCTGGAGTGCAGTGGTGCGATCACAGCACATTGCAGCCTCCAACTTCTGAGCTCAAGAGATCCTCCTGCCTCAGCCTCCTGAGTAGCTGGGACCACAGGCATGCACCACTACACTCATCTAATTTGTAAAAGTTTTCTTTTTTCAAATAATTTTTTTTTTTTGAGATGGAGTCTCGCTCTGTCACCCAGGCTGGAGTGTAGTGGTGCTATCTTGGCTCACTGCAACCTCTGCCTCCTGGGTTCAAGAGATTCTCCTGCCTAAGCCTCCTGAGTAGCTGGGATTGCGGGTGCCCACCACCATGTCCAGCTAATTTTTGTAGTTTTAGTAGAGACGGGGTTTTGCCACATTGGCCAGGCCGGTCTTGAACTCCCGACCTCAGGTGATCCACCTGCCTCAGCCTCCCAAAGTGTTGGGATTACAGGCATGAGCCACCGTGCCCAGCCAAAATTTTATTTTTCATTGACATGTGGTCTCGCTATATTTCCCAGGTTGGTTTCAATCTACTGGCCTCAAGAGATCCTCCCGCCTCAGCCTCCCAAAGTGCTGGGATTACAGGCGTGAGCCACCATGCCTGGCCTCTACAGCCTTTCTTTATCTTTAATGGTGTTGCCATTTTTAAAGAATATACTTCCCCATTTAAAAATTAAAACTATCTATCATCATCTACCTATTATCTATCTATCATCTACCTATTATCTATTATCAGTAAGGACTCATTAATTTCTATTTTCTGATGGTTTATAACTTGTTACTGTACTTAATATTTGGGTGCTTAAATTATTCTGAAGTTGACTAGTGGGAGCCCTTTTCATCTCCCTTGGGACATGCTGATTTTTTAAAAACACTCTGTGTCTGGCATAATAAGATATTCAGGGCTCACGTTGTACATATTCTGCTCCTCTCCGGGAATAAGTCATTTCTCTGGAGAGCACTGCTTCCTTTTAGCATGGAATGGTATTAGAGACCAAAGATCTAGGAGCTAGGTGCTACTTGTGTGTCTTTGCTTTTAGGCTCTTTCAGTGGATAGAACTAGAAAAATGTGTGCATGTGTACACACAGACATACACATATGCCCATATATGCACATAATTATGCATATTTTAGAAATCATGCATTTACACCACCACTCCTAATTCCAGGTTCTTTTTTGCTTTTCCCATTTGCATGTCCCTTCTTCCACAGTGAGAATACTGGCTCCCAACATTAACACATTTACTCATTTGCTTAATATAATAATTTGATATATCTATATACATTATAACAGTATAATATATTTAACATAGTCTTACAATTGCATCAGCCATACCACTACAAAAAACAGTTCTACTAAAATGAATTCAGGATTTGTTTGCAGTTCCCATCCTCCAACCCTGTTAAAGACTATGGGTATATAGTAAAATATACGTAAATTACTAGAGTTAGTCCTTTCATTTATTACCCCCTCCTTCCCTGTTTCCCTCCCTCTCACATTTCCTTCCTTCCTTCTTTCCTTCCCCTTCAGTATAATTATAATATTCATTTGAAATACAATTAGGTTAATTTGCTTTAGTTTGTTTTCCTGTTTAATTTTATTTTTTGAACATTTAGAATATTAACGTGCTTTCAAAAGTCAAACCTCGTTATAAAGACATTTCAGAGAAGGGTCACTCCCTCCTATATTCCTTCCACCTTATTTTCCTCTCACCTCTTACGGGTAACCAACTTCATTTCTTCCTGGTTTATCCTTCGTGTGTGTGTGTAAAGATAAATAGCTATGTGTATGTTTCATCATTCCTTCTTACACAACCGATAGCATACTCTATATGCTCTTCTGCAATTTGCTTTTTTCGCTTGACAGAATGTCCTGCAAAGCACTTCTTATCAGGCCATGGAGATCTTCCTCATTCTTTTGTTACAGCAGCATTCCATTGTGTAGAGGTACCATAATTCATTCAGCTACTCTCCTATGCTTGGGCATGTAGGTGGTTTCCAATATTCTGCAGTGATAAACAGTGTTGTAATGAATAACTTCGTGGACATGTGTTTTCATATTGCCAGAGGTGCTTCTTCAGGTGAACTCCCTAGAAATAGGGTAACTGGTTTGAAAAGCAGATCCATACATAAATTGTTAGATATTCCCCATCCCCACTGCATTGCAATGATACAATTTTGCATTCCTACCAGCATTGTGAATAAGTGTATGTTTCTCATGGTTTTTTTTGTTGCAAATGGTTGATGCTTGCTGCATAACTCAGAGGTCCCTAGCCAGGAGATGCTCTGCTCTCCCCACTTCCCTCATCTGTGAGGCCATCCTCCTAGGGTTGTTTTAGGAGAGGCCATCCCCTGTGCCGTCACTGGAGGGGAACATGTAAGCAGCTGAGTAGACCTCTCATGACCATGGTTTGAGGAAGATTTTTTTTTTTAAATTACTGTGATAAAAACAAAGTAACATATATGTTCATTATAGAAAATACTTGCATGCAAAACAGAAAAATTTCATGTACTTCCACCTCCCAAAGAGGCAATTATTAACACTTAATTTCCTTTCAGATTTAATTTGTAAAATCTTTAATTTTGCTTTTCTTTTTAAAATTTGAAGTAATTATAGATTCACAGGAAGCTGCAAAGAAATTGTATCATGGAGAGATCCCATGTGCCTTTCATCCAGTTTCCCCCAATGAATACATCTTATATAACTATAGTTCAACATCACAATCAGGAATGATACTGGTGCAATGTGTGTGTGTGTAGTTTCAATTGATCACATGATCATGTAAACGCCACTGCAATCAAGTTACAAAACGGTTTTATTGCCACAAAGTTCTCCCTGGTGCCACCTTTTCATAGTCACGCCCACTTCCCTCTTTTCCCCCATCCCTAACCCCTGTCAGCCACCAAGTTGTTTTCCATCTCTATAATTTTGTCATTTCAAGGATGTTATATAAATGGGATTGTACAGTATGTGACCTTTTGCGAGCGACTTCAATATTTTACTCATGCATAATGCCCTTGAAATCCATTCAAATACAGTTGGCACTTGCACAATGCGGGGATTAGGGGTGCTGAACTCCGCCCAGTTGAAATTAATTTTTGAGTCCCCCAAAATTTAATTACTAATAGCTTATTGTTGAATGAAAGCCATATTTTGCATGTTCTGTGTATTATATACTGTATTCTTACAATAAAGTAAGCTAGAAAAATGTATTAAACTCATAAGAAAGAGAACATATGTTTACTATTCATTAGGTGGAAGTGGATCATTATGAAGGTCTTCATCCCCGTTGTTTTCATGCAGAGGAAAAGGAGGAAGAGGAGGGGTTAGTTTTGTTGTTTCAGGGGTGGTAGAGACAGAAGAAAATCTGCTTATAAGTGGACTTGCACAGTTAAAGCCCAAGTTGTTCAAGGGTCAAATGTAGTTATATATCAATAGTTCGTTCCTTTTTATTACTGAACACTTTTCCACGTACTATAGTTTGTTTAATCATTCAGTTATTGAAAGACAACTTGGCTGTTTTTGTTTTTTGGGTATTACAAATAAAGCTACTATAAACATTCACCTATAGGATTTTGTGTGGATCTGTTTTTTTTTTTTTTTTTTTTTTGAAACAGAGTCTCACTCAGTCACCCAAGCTGGAGTGCAGTGGTGCGATCTCTACTCACTGCAACCTCCGCCTCCCGGATTCAACTGATTCTCCTGCCTCAGTCTCCTGAGTAGCTGACATTACAGGCACCTGCGACTATGCCTGGCTAATTTTTTGTATTTTTAGTAGAGACAGGGTTTTGTCATGTTGGCCAGGCTGGTCTTGAACTCCTGACCTCAGGTGATCTGCTGCCTCGGCCTCCCAAAGTGCTGGGATTTCAGGCGTGAGCCACCGTGCCTGGCTTGAGTTTCTATTTCTTTGGGATAATGCTCAGGGGTGCAATGGCTGAGTCATATGCTAAGTATCTGTTTAGTGTTTTAAAGAAATTGCCAAACTATTTTCCCAAGTGGCTGCACCATTTTACATCTCCATCAGCAAGGTGTGGGAGATGCAGTGTCCCTGCATCCTTGGCAGTGTTTCATATCGTCGCTGTGATTGTTTTCAAGTTTAGTCGTTGTAATAGGTATGTAGTTAATGTTTTATCGTGGTCTTACTTTGCTTTTCCCTAATGGCTAATGATGTTGATTAAATATCTTTTCCTGTGCCTATCTGCCATTTGTGTATCTTTTTCAGTGAAATCGCTCTTCGATGAAGAGAAGATTGTGTGCAAAGGAAAAGAACTGAATAACTAAAACAATTCTGAAAAAAAAAGAATAAAGTAGGAGGTAGCACTCTCCCTGATTTCCAAATTTATTATATAGCTACAGTAATCATGACTGTGCGGTACCGTGAAGAGAGATTTCACTGAAAAATATAGATTGTTGTTTGGTTTTGTTTTTACTGTTGAGTTTTGAGAGTTATTTGTATAGTCTAGATAGGTGTCCTTTATTAGATTTATGATTTGCAAATATTTTCTCCTAGTCTGTAGCTTATATTTTCACATTTACTTTTTTTTCTTATCTTTTTTTATTTCCATAGGTTTTTGGGGAATAGGTAGTATAAGTTCTTTAGTGGTGATTTGTGAGATTTTGGTGGACTCATTACCGGAGCAGTATATACTGAACCCACTTTGTAGTATTTTATCCCTCATCCGCTTCCTACCTTTCCCCCACCTGAGTCCCCAAAGTCCATTGTATCATTCTTATGCCTTTGCATCCTCATAGCTTAGTTCCCACATATCAATGAGGACATACGATGTTTGGTTTTCCATTCCTGAGTTATTTCACTTAGAATAATAGTCTTCAATCCCACCCAGGTTGCTGTGAATGCCATTAATTCATTTTTTATGACTCTGTATTATTCCATCATATATATATATATATATACACGTATATATATACATATATATATACATATATATACATATATATATATATATATATATATACCACAGTTTCCTTATCTACTCATTGATTGATGAGTATTTGGGTTGGTTCCACATTTTTGCAATTGGGAATTGTGCTGCTATAAACATGTGTGTGCAAGTGTCTTCTTTGTATAATGACTTCTTTTCCTCTTGGTAGATACCCAGTAGTGGGATTGCTGGATCAAGTGGTAGTTCTCATGTGAAACTATTGAGGCCTGGAGATTTCCTTTTCAGGAGTTTTAAAATTTAAAAACCAGTTTCCTTAATAGTTGTAGGGTTATTCAAATTCTCTATTTCATATTGGGTTAGTGGTGGTAGTGAGAGGTGACAGCGTGCTGGCAGTCCTCAGAGCCCTCGCTTGCTCTCGGCACCTCCCCTGCCTGGGCTCCCACTTTGGTGGCATTTGAGGAGCCCTTCAGTCCCCCACCGCAGGGTGGGAGCCCCTTTCTGGGCTGGCCAAGGCCGGAGCCCACTCCCTCAGCTTGCAGGGAGGTGTGGAGGGAGAGACACGAGCGGGAACCGGGGCTGTGTGCGGCACTTGCGGGCCAGCTGGAGTTCCGGATGGGCGTGGGCTTGGTGGGCCCCGCACTCGGAGCAGCCAGCCAGCCCTGCTGGCCCCGGGCAATGGGGGACTTAGCACCCGGGCCAGTGGCTGCGGAGGGTGTACTGAGTCCCCCAGCAGTGCTGGCCCACCGGCGCTGCGCTCGATTTCTCTCCGGGCCTTGGCTGCCTTCCCACGGGGCAGGGCTCGGGACCTACAGCCCGCCGTGCCTGAGCCTCCCTGAGGAGCGCCACCCCCTGCTCCACGGCGCCCAGTCCCATCGACCACCCAAGGGCTGAGGAATGCGAGCGCACGGCGCAGGACTGGCAGGCAGCTCCACCTGCAGCCCCGGTGCGAGATCCACTAGGTGAAGACAGCTGGGCTCCTGAGTCTGGTGGGGACGTGGAGAGTCTTTATATCTAGCTCAGGGATTGTAAATACACCAATCAGCATCCTGTGTTTAGCTCAAGGTTTGTGAGTGCACCAATTGACACTCTGTATCTAGCTGCTCTGGTGGGGCCTTGGAGAACCTGTGTGTGGAAACTCTGTATCTAACTAATCTGATGGGGACGTGGAGAACCTTTGTATCTAGCTCAGGGATTGTAAACGCACCAATCAGCGCCCTGACAAAACAGGCCACTCGGTTCTACCAATCAGCAGGAGGTGGGTGGGGCCAGATAAGAGAATAAAAGCAGGCTGCCTGAACCAGCATAGGCAACCCGCTCGGGTCCTCTTCCACGCTGTGGAAGTTTTGTTCTTTCGCTCTTTGCAATAAATCTTGCTACTGCTCACTCTCTGGGTCTACGCTGCTTTTATGAGCTGTAACACTCACTGCGAAGATCTGCAGCTTCACTCCTGAGCCAAGCCAGACCACGAGCCCACCGAGAGGAACGAACAACTCCAGACGCGCTGCCTTAAGAGCTGTAACACTCACTGCGAAGGTCTGCAGCTTTACTCCTGAGCCAGCGAGACCAGGAACCCACCAGAAGGAAGAAACTCCGAACACATCTGAACATCAGAAGGGACAGACTCCAGACACGCCACCTTAAGAGCCGAAACACTCACCTCGAGGGTCCACGGCTACATTCTTGAAGTCAGTGAGACCAAGAACCCACCAAGTCCGGACACAGTAGTTTTTGCTTTTTTGAGGAATTAGTTCTTTTTATGTAAATTATCAGATTTATGTGTGTAGAGCTGTTTTGTTTCAATCCTTTATTATCATTTTGTTGTCAGCAAGGCTTGTAATGATATCCACTGTTTCTTTCCTGACACTGGTGATTAATTTTCTGATAAATTGGTGATAAGTAATTTCATTATTTTCTTTCTCAATAATGCTAGAGGTTCATCAATTTTGATTGTTTGTAAGAACCATCTTTTTTAGGGGGAGGGGATCTTACTCTGTTACCCAGGCTGGAGTGCAGTGGTGCAATCACTGCTCACTGCAGCCTCAGTTTCCCAGGCTTAAGTGATCCTCCTGCCTCGGCCTCCCGACTAGCTGGGACTACAGGTGTGAGCCACCGTGACTGGCCAGAACCAACTTTTTGCTTTGTTGGTTTTCTCTATTCAATTTTATTGATTTTTGCCATTTGCTATTTTATTTCTTCTGTTTGATTTGGGTTTCTTTTTTTTTTTTTTCCCTAATATCTTGAGTTGGGAGCTTAGATGACCAATTTGATACTTTCCCTCTTGTCTACTGTAAGCATTTTTGTGCTATAAACTTCTCTCGAAGCACCGCTTTAGTTCCATCCTACAAAATTTGATGTGTTGTGTTTTCTTTTTCATTCAGTTCAATGTATTTTTGTTTTCCCCCAAGACTTTTTCTTTGACCTGTGGCTTAGTTAAAAGTGTAGTGTTCAGCTTCCAAGTATCTGGAGATTTTGTTCTTATCTTCCTGTTAGTTATTTCTAGTTGGATTCCACTGTGGTCAGAGAACACCCTGTATGGTTTCAATTCTTTCAAGTTTGTTGAGGTTCTCTAGCCCAGGACATGGTTTATTTTAGTATATGTTCTGTGAATGTTTGGAAAGAATGTGTATTTCGCTGTTGTTGGATTAAATGTCCTGTCAATGTCAATTAGACCTTGATTGCTGGTGGTGTTGAATTCTTCTATCCTTGCTGATTTTTTTTTTTGTCTAGTTGTTCTAACAATAGTTGAGAGTAGTGCTGATGTCCCAAACTGTAATTGTCAGTTTATGCGTTTCTCATTTCAGTTCTGTCCATTTTTCCTTCGCATATTCTGTAGTTCCGTTGTTTGGTGTGTACACATTTGAGATTGCCACATCTTTTTGGTGGAGCGACTCTACTATCATTATGTTCCTTTCCGTCCCTGCTAATTATCTTTGCTCTGTTCTTTATCTGATGCTACTATAACCATTCTTGCTTTCCTTTTATTAATATTGACATAGTATATCTTTTTTTTAATCCTTTTCAACCTGTGTGTATGATAATATTTGAAGTAATTTTGTTGTGGCTATCATTTAACTGGCTCATTTAAAAAATACAGTCTGTAAATATAAATCCATTAATTGGTATATTTAGGCTATTAAATTTAATGTAATTATTGTTATGTTAGGACTTAGGTCTGCCAATTCATTTTTTTTGTCTTCTGTTTGTTTTTTGGTTTTTTGTTTTTCTGTTTCCTTTTTCTTGCCTACTTATGGGTCACATCAATATTTTTTTAGAATCTCACTTTATTTATCTGTAATGTTTTTGAGTGTGTCTCTTTGTATAGACTTCTTAGCAATGGCTGTAGGTATTATGTATAGAGTTTATCACAGCCTATTGGTTTTGACGTTTTACCAGTTCAAACAAAATATAGAAGCCTTACCTCAGGGCCAGGCCCAGCACAGTGGCTCACACGTGTAATCCCAGCACATTGGGAGATCGAGGCAGGCAGACCACTTGAGGCCAGGAGGTTCCAGACCAGCCTGGCCAACATGGTGAAACCCCGTCTCTACTAAAAATACAAAAATTAGCCGGGCATGGTGGCGCGTGCCTGTAGTCCCAGCTACTTAGGAGGCTGAGGCACGAGAATCTCTTGAACCCGGGAAGCAGAGGTTGTAGTGAGCTGAGATCGTGCCACTGCACTCCAGCCTGGGCAACAGAACAAGACACAGTTAAAAAAAAAAAAAAACAAAAAAAACCTTACCTCCCTTTAATACCATTATCTTCTCCCATTTATAATCATTTATAATATTATTGTCTTAATATTTTCTTTACATACATTGAGAATCACATCAGACAGTGTTACAATTTTTACTTTAACTATTAAATGTAATTTAGAAAATTCAGTTAGAGGTGTGAAGATCCTCTGGAAAAAAAGGGAAAGAAAACTCAAGAAGAAAAAGAAAACCCCTTCCTCTCCCCTCTCCCCTTTTTCTGTCCTCTCCTCCCTCCCTCTTTCTCCTTTTCTTTTCTTCCTTCTCTATCTTTCTTTTCTCCTGATGTTCCAGATTCCCTTCTTTTACCATTCTTTTCTGTTTTAATAACTCCCTTTCTCTATTCTTTTAGGGTAGGTCTGCTGGCAACAAATTCTCTTAGTTTTCCTTCATCTGAGAATGTGTTGGTTTTTCCTGAATTCTTTTTTATTTTATTTTTAAAAATTTGTTTATTTTAATTTTTATGGGTACATAGTAGGTGTATATATTTATGGGGTACATGAGATGTTTCGATACAGGCATGCAATGTGGAATAATCACATCATAGAGAACGGGGTGCTCATTCCCTTAAGCATTTATCATTTGTATTACAAACAATCCAGTTACTCTTGGATCCAATTTACAATTAGATCCAATTTCCAATCCAAATGCAATTACAATTCAATAACTCTTTTAGTTATTTTATTTTATTTTATTTATTTTTTGAGATGGAGTCTTGCTCTGTTACCCAGGCTGGAGTGCAGTGGCGCAATCTTGGCTCACTGCACTTCCGCCTCCTGGGTTCAGGCAATTCTCCTGCCTCAGCCTCCAAGCCTGCCTAATTTTTGTGTTTTTAGTAGAGATGGGGTTTTGCCATGTTGGCCAGGCTGGTCTCGAACTCCTGACCGCAAGTGATCTGTCCGCCTCAGCCTCTCAAAGTGCTGGGATTATAGGAGTGAGTCACCCCACCCGGCCTCTTTTAATTATTTTAAAATGTACATCTCTCTCATTCTTGAATGGTTATATACATAATATATACATATAATTGTATATACATTTATATACATATATACATATTTTATATGTATACCTATAAATGTATATACATTTATATACATATATACATATTTTATATGTATACCTATAAATGTATATACATTTATATACATATATACATATTTTATATGTATACCTATAAATGTATATACATTTATATACATATATACATATTTTATATGTATACATATAAATGTACATCTTTTTCATTCGCTGGTTATAGAATCCTGGGTTGACAGTTCTTTAGAACTTATAAAATGTTATGCTTCTTTCTTCTGGCTTTCATAGTTTCTGATGAGAAATCTACTTTCATTGAAATTGTTTTCTTCCTATGGGTAAGGTATCATTTGTCTTTCACTGCTTTCAAGATTTTAAATTCATCTTTAGCTTTCAACAGTTTGATTATGATATGCCCTGGCATAGATTCATTTGGGTTTATTCTGTTTGGGTGTATTAGTTTTTTTTTTTATTATTTATTGCTGCCTAACAAAATTATCACAAATTTGGAGGCTTAAAATAACATTTATTTTACTATTATTTCTTAATATATCAACTATTTACAATCATAAAGGTATATCACAAGATCAGTTATTACATCAAACATGTATTTTCCATCTACACTCTGTCCTGTAGATGAGAGCCCAAATGAGATTTTCACTGAAACATTTATTTTTTGTTTTTTTTTGTTATTTTTTCTTGTTGGTCTTTAATGAAGGCTAGGCATAAACTGAATTGACTTTCATGCAGTTGCTTTTCATTTTTCATTTTTCATTTTTTTTTTTGAGACAGAGTCTCAATCTACTGCCCAGGCTGGAGTGCAGTGGCATGATCTCGGCTCACTGCAGCCTTTGCCTCCTGGGTTCAAGCGACTCTTCTGCCTCAGCCTCCCCTGTAGCTGGGATTACAGGCATGAGCCACTGTGCCTGGCTAATTTTTGTATTTTTTAGTAGAGATGGGATTTCGCCATGTTGGCCAGCTTGGTCTCGAACTCCTGACCTCAGGTGATCCGCCCACCTCTGCCTCTCAATGTGCTGGGATTACAGGCATGAGCCATCGCGCCTTGCCATGATTTTTATTTTTCATTAGTGCTCATGGTATATGCTGCCCAGTGAGTTGTACCAACTACATTATTGTAACATCTGAATCAACTGTGGGCTACATTGTTTGATCAAGATTGATAGATTGCTTTATTTATTTATTCTTCTTTTACAACTATAGCCTACAGATAAACAACCATTATTACAGAGATTAAACTTGATTATGCTACATATCATATTACATGAATCACTCTGTGTCTACAAAGGCAAATTGACTGGATAAAATTCATTAAGGTGTAATGCCAAATAATTGCTTTATCATGATACAATACAATACTTATGTCTCACTTCCTTTTTTTTTTTTGAGATAGAGTCTTGCTCTGTCGCTCAGGCTGGAGTGCAGTGGCAGGATCTCTGCTCACTACAACCTCCGCCTCCCGGGTTCAAGCAATTTTCTTGCCTCAGCCTACTGAGTAGCTGGGATTACAGGCACACACCACCATGCCTGACTGATTTTTTTATTTTTAGTAGAGACGGGTTTCACTATATTGGCCAGGCTGGTCTCGAACTCCTGACCTTGTGATCTACCCACCTTACCCGCCTTGACCTCTCAAAGTGCTGGGATTACAGGCGTGAGCCACCGTGCCCAGCCTATTTTTTTTTTTTTGAGAGAGTCTCCCTCTGTTGCCTAGGCTGGAGTGCAGTGGTGCAATCTCAGCTCACTGCAACCTCTGCCTCCAGGCTCAAATGATTTTCATGCTTCAGCCTTCTGAGGAGGTGAAATTACAGGTATGCACCACCCCGCCCAGCTAATTTTGATATTTTTAGTAAGAGACGGGGTTTGGCCATGTCGGCCAGGCTGGTCTCGAACTCCTGGCCTCAAGCAATCCACCTGTCTTGCCGCCCAAAGTGATGGGATTACAGGTGTAAGCCACCATGCCTGGCCAGGTCTTACTTCTAAATTGGTTAAAATAACTCATTTATAGTATGTGAACATACTATAAATGGGAAAATCATGCTTCTGCATTTTTGGGTTTTATTGAACACTAAATTAGCTGCTTAGGAGTTGATCTTTGCCAACTCAATTATCATATTTTGTCCTGTCTTTTTTTTCCTATAATTTTTCTACTAAAATTATACCAGACTAATCATTCAATTATAATTTGGTGAGGGTTTACCTTGAGAAAATATATTTCGTGAGATTCTATTTTTTCTTTGATCTTACTTTGGTATGCCCTGACTGCTACAAAACAAGTAAGTGCTGTTGCTATACCGATAACAGAGATTTATTTGGTCCCTCAAGCTGATCAACTGAGGGATTTAGGTCTGTAACCATGTCTAGAAAAAATGCAAATGTGGGTATTTGATAATGTTTTCTTACTGTCAGTATGCATTTGGAAAGCATTCAGCATTACTTCTTGGAGTTAATTGTTTTATAGAGCTAATTATGAAGGTTTTAAGACCTCTTTGCGTAGATGTTGTTTTATTTTTTAGAATAAATTTATTCCTACACCTATTTTCCAGAAAGACACTGGTAGAATCATTCTAATAATAAGATGGAGTGGAATGAAGGGGACACTAATAGAAAATGAAAGGCCATGAAATGTAAATATACGTCTTCCTTTCAGTGGGTGTAATTTATTATTGACACACAGGACTTTTAGGACGACTGAATGATGAAAGAAGAGAAATTCTCGAAATGACTGAAAGAGAGTGGTGAGTACTTCCGCAACCCCTTCCATGAGTGTCTGTGCCTCTCTGATTTCTCTGAGTACAAGAGGATGCAAGCCCCAACTGAGGGCAGGCTGAAAATGTCAGAGAAATTAACATCCTGGGAGTGACCATTAACTAACACCAAGAAGGAATTGGTAGATATATTCCCCTGAACTTAGGGGGAACAACTCAGAGGTGGTTTTATTTTTTGTTGTTGTTGTTTTGTTTTGAGATGGAGTTTCGTTCTTGTTGCCCAAGTTGGAATGCAATGGCACGATCTTGGCTCACCGCAACCTCCGCCTCCCAGGTTCAAGTGATTCTCCCACCTCAGCCTCCTGAGTAGCTGGGATTACAGGCATGTGACAGCACGCCGGGCTAATTTTGTATTTTTAGTAGAGAGGGGGTTTCTCCATGTTGGTCAGGCTGGTCTCAAACTCCCGACCTCAGGTGATCTGCCTGCCTCAGCCTCCTAAAGTGCTGAGATTACAGGCGTGAGCCACTGCGCCCGGCCCTCAGAGGTGTGTTTTGTACCAGTTTTCAGAGGTGAGCTCCAGTTTTCTATAGAGCTAATTTTTCTATATGGCTTCCTTCTTTTCCCTTACTTACTTTCCCACACCTCTGCCAATGCTTTCTCCAAAATAAACTAATTGCACTAAGGTGTGGTGGCTCACGCCTGTAATCCCAGCACTTTGGGAGGCTGAGGCAGGTGGATCACGAGGTGAGTAGATCGAGACCATCCTGGCTAACATGGTGAAACCCTGTCTCTACTAAAAATACAAAAAATTAGCCTGGCGTGGTGGCAGGCGACAGTGCGAGACTCCATCTCCAAAAAAGTAAATAAATAAATAATAAACTAATTGCACTTACATTCTAGTGCAGAGTCTGATTCTGGGTGAACTAAGAGAGTGAATAACATTTACTATTTCAGTTTCTGTACCTCGATGTCCAAGTGTCCTCAACTGGGTTCTCTCACCAGGTCAAAATCAAGGTGTGATGTGAGTTGGCTGGGGTTTACCTGTAGGCTTTGGGAAAGAACCCATATCCAAGCTCATTCAGATGGTGGCAGAATCCTGGTTCTTTTTTTTTTTTTTTTTTTTTTTGAGATGGAGTCTCGCTCTGTCGCCCAGGCTGGAGTGCAGTGGGGCGATCTCGGCTCACTGCAAGCTCCGGCACCCACCAGCATGCCTGGCTAATTTTTTGTATTTTTAGTAGAGACGGGGTTTCACCATGTTAGCCAGGATGGTCTCGATCTACTGACCTCGTGATCCATCTGCCTCGGCCTCCCAAAGTGCTGGGATTACAGGAATGAGCCACTGTGCCTGGCCAGAATCCAGGTTCTTACAGTTGTAGGACTGAGGTCTGTTTCCTTGCTGGCTGTCATCTGCGGGTGCTCTAAGCTCTTGCAGGCCACTCTACCCTGCTCACACATTGACCCCTGCATCTTCAAAGACAGCAAGGATGCATTGAATCCTCCTTGTGTTTTGATTCTCTGACTTTCTCATCTGATCTGCTTTTAAAAGAGTCACCTGATCAGGTCAGGCCCACCCAGATGATCTGTATTTTAAGATCAGCTGACTTTGAGCTTTAATTACAAAATCCCTTCAAAGCAATACCTAGATTAGCATTTGATTGAACAATCAGGAACAGAAATCTGGAAGGACTATATTTAGAATCCTGATTACCACGCTGGCATTGGGGTTTACTCAGTTTCTTGATTCCATAGATGTATGTCTTTTACCAGATTTGGGAAACCAGCCATTATACCCACTTCCTCCTTTCCTTCTGGGTCTCCAATGACATGAATGTTGGCTCTTTTGTTAAAGTCCCACAGGTCCCAAAGTTCTGTTCTTCACTTCTTATCAGTCTATTTTCTTTCTGTTGTTCAGATTTGGTAACTTTTATCTGCACTGATTTTTATCTCTGTCATCTCCATTCTGCAGCTGGGCTCAAACATTAAGTTTTTAAAAAATTTCTGTTATTGTGCTTTTCCATTCTAAAATTTCCGTCTTGTTCTTTTTCATATCTTCTATTTCTTTGCTGAGACTTTCTGGTTTTTCACTTATTTCAAGTGTTTGTAATTGTTCATTGAAGCATTTTTATGTTGGCTGCTCTAAGATTCTTTTAAGACAATTCTAACATCAGTGTAGTGAATTCTTACAATTTTATAGAAACTCAGTATCAATTTTTGAAATGTTATTGTTTTGAGACAGGGTCGCACTCTGTCACCCAGGCTGGAGTGCAGTGGTGCAATCACGGCTCACTGCAGCCTCGAGCTCCTGGGCTCAAGTGAACCTCTCATCTCAGTCCCCCAAGTAGCTGGGACTATAGGCGTATGCCACCACACCCAGCTAATTTTTTGAAATTTTATTTGTAGAGACGGAGGTCTCACTGTGTTGCCCAGGCTGGTCTCAAACTCCTGAGCTCAAGCAATCCTCTTGCCTCAGCCTCCCAAAGTGTTGGGATTACAGATGTGAGCCACTGTGCCTGGCTCAGTATCTATTTTGAATATAAGTTGGACTTTCTCATACCATAAGAAAAGCTTAGTCACCCTTGACACAGTTTCCAGGTCTCCGCCTCCCCCCAGATCCTTAATGTGGCAGATCCAGATACCTGCCTTACACTACCACTTCCTGTTAACCACCTCCTTATGCAACAGCTAGATATAACTCACCTGACTGTCCCCCTGACCCCCAGACCCTGCATAGGCTGTGCAGATATGCCACAGTGATCACCTCCCAGTCAGTGTGACTCCATGCAACTTGTGCCTGCTGGCTCTAAACCCAGTTAGAATTCTCTGTGGAAAACTGCCTGAGCAGTTTCCTTAGACTCCAATAAAAGCATCAGCCCACAGGTCTCTCACTTTCTCTTTCTTGCTCCCCACCCGCTGGTTGAGTGTGCGTGTCCCGACAACTCTCTTCTTCCTGTTGGCTCTGTGAGATGTGCTGCTCTGTCTTCTCCGGAATCTGTGAGTAATAAACTGCCCCTGTTATTTCATGTGTTTTGTTGTGCTGCCTCCTCTGTGTCTCACCTGACTGACACATCCAAACCTAACGTCTTTCCTGGTCAGGGCTGTCCTAAAGCATGGCTCTCTTTGTAGAAATAAACTGGACACAGGTCAGACAAAAGCCTTAAGAATGTCTGCCATTATAAACAAGTGTACTGTGGCCAGGTGTGATGGCTCATGCCTGTGATCCCAGCACTATGGGAGGTTGGGGTGGGAGGATCCCATGAGGCTAGGAGTTCAAGATCAGCCTGGCCAACATGGTGAAACCCCGTCTGTACTTAAAAAAAAAAAAAAATTAGTTGGGTGTAGTGGCATATGTCTGTAATCCCACCTACTCAGGAGGCTGAGGCATGAGAATTGCTTGAACCTGGGAGGTGGAGGTTGCAGTGAGCCAAGACCATACCACTGCGCTCCGACCTGGGTGACAGAGTGAGACTCTGTCTCAAAAACAAACAAACACACAAAAAATAAGTGTACTGTGAGAGGGACACCTGGTCACAGGTCAGACATGTAGGCATTAGGCCGACCACCAAGATAAAGAAGTAACCAGTGAAAATTACACTTTAAACATCTACAACTAAATCCCCTAGAAAACTCAAGACCAAGTTAGAAAACATCAACAACAATCCATGTCATCTCTATTAATTGTCTTTCCTCATTTAATTTCAGGAATGTCTTTCTCATTCAGTCAATTTTTTTTTTTTTTTTGTAGAGATGGGGTCTCACTATGTTGCCCACGCTGGTCTCGAACTTCTGAGCTCAAGCAATTCTCCCACCTCGGCCTCCCAAAGTATTGGGATTACATGTAGGTGTATGACAAGTGATTTTCAACAACACCCTGGACATTTTGGAAATTATGAGACGCTGGATCTCATTTAAATCTTCTGTTATAGCAGGTCTCCTCTGACATCTTGCTGGTGGGGCAAAAAGGGCACCATCTTGTTATAGCCAGTGGGGATGGAGGTCCAGGTTCCCCATTTGGCCTCTGTTGACATTCCAGGTGGGGCGGGGCAACTGTTACTCTGGGCAGTTAGCAGAGTTCAGGCTTTCCACTGAGACATCCTCTGATACCATCTTGCCCAGAAGGGGCAGAGACGCCTCGTTACCGCTCCCTAGTGGCCTCAATGGACACTGCAGGGTCGGTGCTCATTACTGCTGGGCAAGGATGACAGTCCCAGCTGCTTATTCAGCCTGGTGGAGGGGATGGGTGTCTCTGTACAGCTGGCAAGGGTAAATGTCCAGGCTTTTCTGTGGGATATCACAGCAGCAAAGTGATTATCTTGTAAAGATTTGCTGTCTTTAGCAAATCTTGTCAGGCTACTGCTCCTTGTCCTTTGGCTAGAGCAGGCTTTGCTTGAGCCTCTTTTGGATCTACACTCATTGGCATTTCTAGATTGCCAGGCTCTCCAGCTCCCAGTCTGGGATCTGTGAGGCGCAAAGAAAGTCCAGAAAACTCACCACCATGTGCTTTCTCCGGTCTTGAGATCCGCAGCCAGTCTGCCATATTCTCTCCTCCTTTCCGAGTCATCTATTTTTATTTATTTATTTATTTATTTATTTATTTATTTATTTATTCATTCTTTAGCTGCACCTGTGATAGACTGCTTGATATTATTCCCATAGAACAATGATGTTCTGTTCATATTTTTGAGGCTTTTTCTCTATTGCTTTATTTTATTTTATTTATTTTTCCATAGATTATTGGGGTACAGGTCGGTTTGGTTACATGAGTAAGTTCTTTGGGGGTGATTTGTGAGATTTTGGTGCACCCATCACCTGAGCGGTATACACTCCACCCTATTTGTAGTCTTTCATCCCTCACTCCCCTCCCACTCTTCACCCCAAGTCCCCAAAGTCCATTGTATCATTCTTACGCTTTTGTGTCCTCATAGCTTAGCTCCCACATATCAGTGAGAACATATGATGTTTGGTTTTCCATTCCTGAGTTACTTCACTTAGAATAATAGTCTCCAGTCTCATCCAGGTCATTGCAAATGTTGTTAATTCATTCCTTTTTATGACCGAGTAGTATTCCATCATTCATATATATATATATATATATATATATATATATGAACATATATATGAACGTATATATGAACATATATATGAATGTATATATGAACGTATATATGAACGTATATATGAACGTATATATGAACGTATATATGAACGTGTATATATGAACGTATATATGAACGTATATATATGAACGTATATATATGAACGTATATATATGAACGTATATATATGAACGTATATATGAACGTATATATATGAACGTATATATGAACGCGTATATATGAACGTATATATGAACGCGTATATATGAACGCGTATATATGAACGCGTATATATGAACGCGTATATATGAACGTATATATGAACGCGTATATATGAACGCATATATATGAACGCATATATATGAACGCATATATGAACGTATATATAAACGCATATATGAACGTATATATATGAACGTATATATGAACGTATATATATGAACGCATATATGAACGTATATATATGAACGCATATATGAACGTATATATATGAACGCATATATGAACGCATATATGAACGTATATATATGAACGTATATATGAACGTATATATGAACGTATATATGAACATATATATATGAACGTATATATGAACATATATATATATATCACAGTTTCTTTATCCACTTGTTGATTGATGGGTATTTGGGTTGGTGCCACGATTTTGCAATTGTGAATTGTGCTGCTATAAACATGCGTGTGCGAGTATCTTTTTTGTGTAATGACTTCTTTTCCTCTGGGTAGATACCCAGTAGTGGGACTGCTGGATCAAATGGTAGTTCTACTTTTAGTTGTTTAAGGAATCTCCACACTGTTTTTCATAACGGCTGTACTAGTTTACATTCCCACCAGCAGTGTAGAAGTGATAATATCCAAGGTTTTTAACTGTGCTCGGGATGGAATAGGGAAAACTGTGCCTGCTTCATTTTCTGAGATTTTTTAAAAATAGATTTTTCTACATAGTATTTATTTCACAGTGGTTATGAAGTTTGGAGTCACATAGCCCTGAGTTTAAAAATGATTCACCCACTTACAACTTGGTTTTTCACAACTCACTTACCCAACATAAACCTCAGTTTACCTGTTGTAAAATGGGATATTAATAGTCCTTACAGCACAGGGTGGTACCAGTAGTACATGAGATAATGCTTGCAGTGCAAGCAATGGAAGCAATGCAAGCAAGCATCCAGCAGTTTTTTTTCCTTTCTTCCTTTTTTTTTTTTTCATTTTTTTGAGATGGAGTCTCACTCTGTTGTCCATGCTGGAGTGTCGTGGTATGATCTCGGCTCACTGCAACCCCCACCATCCAGGTTCAAGAGATCCTCCCACCTCAGCCTCCCAAGTAGCTGGAATTACAAGTGCGTGCCACCACACCTGGCTAATTTTTGTATTTTTTAGTAGAGACGGGGTTTCACCATGTTGGCCAAGCTGGTCTCAAACTCCTGACCTCAGGTGATCCACCTTCCTCAGCCTCCCAAAGAGCTGGGATTACAGGCCTGAGCCACCACACCCAGCCGGTGATGGATATATTAATTAGCTTGATTGTAGAGATCAACTATCAAAACATCAAGTTGTACACTTTGAACATACAACATTTTTATTTGCTTATTATACCTCAATAAAACTGTTTTTAAAAGTGTAATCATTGGGTCAAAAGTTATATAAACATGTGTAACTTTCAACTTGTATTTCTAAGTTGACTTCAAGAAAGATATTTACTTCCTGTCAGGCCAGCACTTTGGGAGGTCAAGACAGGAGGATCACTTGAGCCCAGGAGTTTGAGACCAGCCTGGGCAGCACAGCAAGACCCCACCCTACAAAAGTTTTTCAAAAGTAGCTGAGGATGGTGACATGCATGGATCTCAGCTACTCAGGAGGCTGAGGCGGGAGGATCGCTTGTGCCTGGGAGGTTGAGACTATGGTGAGCCGTGTTAGTGCCACTGCACTGAAGCCTGGGCAACAGAACAAGACCCTGTCTCAAAAAAGAAAGATATTTACTAATTTGTAATCTAGGTATAAGATTCCTCACTTGAAATCTAAAGTTGGTCTTTAGAGTGCCCCATAACCCCTTGAAATTATATACAAATGTGTAGGTATTTGTGTGGTGTGTGTGTTATTGGGTGTATTTCTGGGGAGAGGATCTGGGATCTCTAGACAGTTAAGAACTTCCGGAAGTAGAGCTGTTGGCTGTGTGTGTGTGTGTGTGTGTGTGTGTGTGTGTGCTTATTGGTCATCTTGGAAACAGCAAAGCCAACGCTGGTGTTTCCAAGGTCCCCAGCCTATTCGTGCTGCTGATCATTCCTAGGGTTCCAGATCCTCCCATGTCCTATAACGCCATTCTTTCTCTTTCCTTCTCCCCAGAGAAGCTGCACCAGCCCCCGGTGGAAGCCCAGAACTTGGCCCCTCTGGAGCACACAGACTCCTTGAATTTGACATGCATTTCTCCAAACAATGACAGGACATTCCAGTGGTTTCTGAACCTTGAGGTGATTCAGGAAGGGGATGGACCAGTAATCTCCAGAGATGGCAGGGTCCTCACCATCCCCACAGTCACACGCAATGACTCCAGCACCTACCACTGTGAGGCCAGGAACCACCTGGGATCCAGGCTCAGTGAAGCCCTCGTGGTTGGCGTGGCTTGTAAGTCTGGGTTTCTTTGCTCTGACTCACCTCTGATCCACACAGAACCTCCAGCCCAACTATCTACTGGTTCATCCATGATTTATAGCTTAGCGTTTAAATCAGAGACTCTACAGACTGCCTTGGTTCAAATCCTAGTGCTTCTGTTTCTTTTATTTATTTATTTATTGAGTCATGGTCTCACTCTGTTGTCCAGGCTGGAGTGCAGTGGCTGGATCATAGCTCACTGCAGCCTTGCCCTTCTGGGCTCAAGCAATCCTCCTGCCTCAGCCACCGGAGTAGCTGGGATCGCAGGCACATGCCTCTATGCCTGGCTAATTTTTACAAGTTTTGGTAGAGACAAAGTCTCACTATGTTGCCCAGCCTAGTCTTGAACTCCTAAGCTCAAGCAATCCTCCTGCCTCAGCCTCCCAAAGTGCTAGAATTACAGGCGTGAGCCTCTGCGCCCAGCCGTCCCTGCTATTTCTTAGCTAGGTGTCCTTGGGCAAGTCACTTCACTTTTCTATGTCCTCAGTTTTCTCATCTGCAAAGTGAGAATCATAATATTATCTATCTCATTGGGTGATTATGAGGATTAAGTGAGTTAGTTCATTTAAGGAACTTAGAATAGTGCCTGGAACATAGCAAGTGCTTCTTTTTTTCTCTTTTTTTCTTTATTCTTTTCCACTACTCTGCACACTAAGTGCTTAATAGACGTTTACAATGACTATTCTCTCAGAAGTTTATCATCATTTATTTATTTAAGGGGCATGTATTGAGCTTCTACTATGTACCCAATTAAGGACTTTCAGACCCATTCAATCTCAGGTACAAAGGTAGATGGAGATTGTAGGAAGCCAAGATCCCAGAAATTCCAGACTCGACAACATAAATATTTGCAGAACTGGAAGGACTTTCAGAGACACCACATTTTACAAACAAGAAAACTGAGATTAAGAAAGGGGAAGGGCTCACCCAAGATCTCACCGTGGTCAAGAAGAAAGATAAGAACTTGAACCCATGTGTTTTTCTCTCTCTGCCCCTCTGTCTCTCTACTTTTGGGAAAGCATCTACTGAGCATCCACTGTGTGCTGTGTGTATTGGGTGTTATTTCTAGTCAAAGCAGTTAACATAACTGACAAGCATATCCCTGTCCTCATGGAGCTGACAGTCTTCAAAGATCAAGGAGGGTAATAGACACAAGAGGGAGGCTACCGCCAGCCATGGTTCGTTTGTTCTTTCCCTCCTTCCTTCCTTCCTTCCTTCCTTCCTTCCTTCCTTCCTTCCTTCCTTCCTCCCTCCCTCCCTCCCTCCCTCCCTTCCTCCCCTCCCTCCCTTCCTTCCTCTGACAAACTTTTACGTTGTGGTGCTGTGTGCCTCCCTCAACATGTCAGGCTTCCAACACTGAGCTGAAATGCACAATCTAGGGGGGTGGTCCTTACTTCTCATACTCTTCCTAATTAGGAAGTCTTTCTCCTTGTTCAGATGGCCCGGATACCCCCATCATGACCGCACTGGACCCAGATTTTGTGATTGGTTCCAACCTCACTCTGGTCTGCTTAGCCTACTCCCACCTCCTTGCCCAGTACACATGGAGCTTCAGTGGGGTCACCACATGGGAGGGCCAGACCCTCTTCATGCCCAGTCTCTCCAGGGCACACTCAGGGGTCTACACCTGCAAGGCCTCCAACTCCCTTTCCGGCTTGCACAGCAGTATGGACACCATCATCACTGTCTCAGGTATGAAGCCAGGGTTGAGGGTGATTGGTTAATGGTGAAATCTTCAAAATCAAAGAAAAAAAAAAGAAAAAGAAAAAAATAAGAGAAAAATTCTTCTCTGCCCCAGGACTTCATTGGCGAATTTGGGTTTGGTTTTGTTTTTTAGAATTCTTTTCTTTGCTGTTTCACTTCTTTATATATTCAGCAAGATTTTTCTAACCTGTGTTATGCAGAATAAATTTTTACATTCTTTAACCAACAAAATGACTTTTCATTGATAGGATTGCTTTAAAAATATTATATGCCACCCGATTCCTCAGGGATCTAGAACTAGAAATACCATTTGACCCAGCCATCCCATTACTGGGTATATACCCAAATGAGTATAAATCATGCTGCTATAAAGACACATGCACACGTATGTTTATTGCGGCACTATTCACAATAGCAAAGACTTGGAACCAACCCAAATGTCCAACAATGATAGACTGGATTAAGAAAATGTGGCACATATACACCATGGAATACTATGCAGCCATAAAAAATGATGAGTTCATATCCTTTGTAGGGACATGGATGAAATTGGAAACCATCATTCTCAGTAAACTATCGCAAGAACAAAAAACCAAACACCGCATATTCTCACTCATAGGTGGGAATTGAACAATGAGATCACATGGACCCAGGAAGGGGAATATCACACTCTGGGGACTGTGGTGGGGTCGGGGGAGGGGGGAGGGATAGCATTGGGAGATATACCTAATGCTAGATGACACATTAGTGGGTGCAGTGCACCAGCATGGCACATGTATACATATGTAACTAACCTGCACAATGTGCACATGTACCCTAAAACTTAGAGTATAATAAAAAAAAAAAAAAAAAAAAAAAAAAAAAAAAAAAGAATTCAAAATACAAGGAAACTTAAAAAAAAAAAAAAAAAAAAAAAAAAAAAAAATATTATATGCCACCTTTTTCACATTTTAAATAAATTTCACAATAATTGTAGAAAAAGTAAATCATATAGATGGGCAAGAAGGCAAAAAATGTTTTCCACAATAAGCCTCCCAGAAAAAGCCACAGGGCTTCTATAATTCCTCTGTTTTTGTATATACATTCAAATATATGTGTGTGGTCTTCTTTTTTTTTTTTTTTTTTGAGACAGGGTCTCACTCTGTCTGCCAGGCTGGAGTGCAGTGGTTTGATCTTTGCTCACTGTAGCCTCAACCTCCTGGGATCAATTGATCCTCCCACCTCAGCCTCCCAAGTAGCTGGCACTACAGGCACATGCCACCACGCTGGGCTAATTTTTGTCCTTTTTGTAGAGACAGGGTCTTGCTGTGCTGCCCAGTCTGGTCTCAAACTCTTGGGCTTAAGTGATCCGTCCACCTTGGCCTCCAAAAGTGCTAGGATTACAGGTGTGAGCCATTGTGGCCGGCCAAATATATGTATTTTTAAACAACAAATAGTATTAGACTATACTTATTATTGTTTAAACTGTTTTTAAATTTCATCTTTTAATCTTTAATGTCTTTCTGTTAATTAATATAGAGCCACATTACATCCTACATTCTGATTATTTCTTTATTGAATACATACTGTATATCCAGTGTAAGAGAAATTACCAATACAAATATTTTTAAAAAGGAAAAGGGTAAAAACTCTACATTCTCAGAAATGACCACTGCTAATATTTTGTTATACCCTCTTACAGGTTCATTCCCAGTACCTATTTCTTTTTTTTTTTCTTCTCTCTCTCTTTTTTTTTTTTTTTTTTTTTTTTTTAAGACAAAGTCTCACTCCGTCACCCAGGCTGGAGTGCAATGGCATGATCTTGGCTCACTGCAACCTCTGCCTCCTGGGTTCAAGTGATTCTTCTGCCTCAGCCGCCTGGGATAACAGGCGTGCACCAGCACATCTGGCTAATTTTTGTGTTTTTAGTAGAGACGGGGTTTTGCCATGTTGGCCAGGCTGGTCTCGAACTCCTGACCTCAGGTGATCCGCCTGCCTTGGCTTCCCAAAGTGCTGGGATTACAGGTACGAGCCACAGTGCCTGGCCTCCAGTATCTATTTCTTATAAATTACTGCATATGTATTTTCCTTTATAAAGAAGAGTTGTGCTATCTTGCTCCAAATTTTTAAAAATATTGGTATAAAAGTTATTTAGGGATGAAAATTTTTGCTTTCAATGGTTACCCTTCTGAGATCCTTTTCTTATTTGTATGGTGTGATTATGACTTAGGAGAATAAAAGGATGTTATAGCACAGTGCATCTCAACATCCAGGTGATTCGTAGGAGCTACAGAGGGTACAACTCAGCTGTGTGGGAGATCACCCTGGGTGTAATGCAGGTCAGCGAGAAAGGAAAGAGGCAGGCAGATGGGCAGCATGAATCCCATTTGCCCCCATGGATCAATGTCCTCATCTTGGGTTAGTCATGGATCATCCCTGAGCCTCAGGTTCTTCATTTTGCAAATGGGGATTTACAGGGTTGTTGTGAAGTCTAATGAATCACACACATAAAACATCTACGACAAATTAAGTACTCAATTGATGAAGGTTCTTTTTATTGTTTGCTCAGTTTTATCACCTGTGAAATGGGTTAAAATCCACCCTTCTCTTGAAATATAAGCATGAGGATATAAGATTGTGTCTGTAAAGCATTTAGCACAAAGCCTGGGGCATATTTGGTGCTCCAGAAGTGTTAATTTATTAAGTAAACAGACAGAAGGGAAGATCAATGGATGGATTGGTGGATGAATGAATAGGTGATTGGGTGATGAATGAATAGGTGATTGGGTAAATGAAGGGATAGGTGGATGAGCGAATTTAGGTGGGTGGTAAGTGATTGGAAAAGATGATTGGGTGGACAAATGGGTGAAAAAAATGGTGAATGATTGAGAAGATGGGTGCATGTATGCATCCCTGGGTGGGTAGGTAGATGGGAAGGTAGATTTATGGATAGGATGGATGGATGGATGGATGGATGGATGGATGGATGACGGATGGATAGATGGGTGGATTGAGGGACAAATTGGTGGATGGATAAATAGAAGGGTGACTGGAAGAGTGAACAATTGGGTGAATGAATGTAGGAAAGGCTGAGTTGGTGGAGAGTAGATGGACTTATGGACAGGTGCATGGATGGATGATTGGCAAGTGTGCTGAATTCCTTCAGCCCTAAGGGTGTTCCCTAAGGGTGTTCTTCTCTAAGCCCATGATCTGGGCAGGACTCAGCATTTCTACCTCTTTCTAATTTTCCTGCAGAGACACTTCCTCAGCCCAATGTCACAGCCAGTAACTTAGCCCCAGTGGAGCATGTGGATTCCATCAGTCTGCATTGCCTTCCTCCAAGGAGCACTGTGGCCATCCGCCGGGATGTCAATGGCCAGAAGCTCTTCATTGGTGGCCACAGGGAGCTGTCCCTGGACTGCAGAACACTGACTCTGTCGAACATCACCAGGAATGACACGGGGGTCTACCAGTGTGAGAGCTGGAACTCAGCCACCAGCAGCATCAGCAACCCCACTCTCATCAAAGTTACATGTGAGTCCAGGACCTGATAAAGGATGGGTGGAGATGTGCATAGGAGTGTGGTTGAGGGGTGAAGGAGCGGCTGAAGTTTAGCTGGTTCTGTTGGCAAAGCTGGAAGTGTCTGTCCTGGACAAAGTGAGAGAGGGCACCAAGGGGAGATTTTGTGGAAGGGAGACTGCAAATGCCAAGCCTGGGGTGGGAGTGTGGTTTTGAGAGAGGAGGTCATAGTGGCTGAAGTAAAGGGAAGAAGGAGAGTGAGGAAGAAGAGGACTGTCTTGCCCCAAGAGAGGTAATGGGACAGACTGTGCAGGGCCTGTGGGCCATGATGAGGGCTTTGGCTTTTACCCTGCATGAGACAGCAGCCAAAGAAGGGTTTGTGCAGAGAAGGGACATGATGTGACGCAGGTTTGAACAAGCTTTGAAAAGGATACCTCTAGCTGCACAGTAGAAGTAGAGAATATGGTATGGGGAGGTGGTGGTGGTGGTAGGGGACAAGAAAGCAACTAGAAGGGAGATGGCCAACAGTGTCAAATGCAGTTGTGCACTGGAGGGGGATGGAAGAGTGTCATCTGAGACAATGGCCAATGCATTGTAATATGGACAAAGGCCTTTCCTCTTCCCTCTGGCCTGGTCTTCTCAATTCTCTGCAGATGGCCCAGACCCTCCTATGGTCAACCCTCCAGACCCAGAGGTCACAGCTGGGGCAGCCCTCACCCTGTCCTGCTTTGCTGACTCAAACCCCCCTGCCCAGTACCACTGGGAGATGGACAGAAGGCCAGGCCCTGCCACCCAGCACCTGGTCATTTCTGAGGTCACTCTGGACCAGTAGGGCAGGTACACCTGTGAGGCCTCCAACAGCATCACTCACCTCTGCAGCTCAGTCAATGGGAAGATCTGGATCTCAGGTGGGTGTTGAGATGCCGTGGTGATAATGGCTCAGAGTCTCTTGCCTGATATAAGTGGGTTCTGGGGCTTGGGTCAATCATATAGTACCTCAACAAAGCTGCATAAAATGCCCCCCCTGCCAAGACCCAGTGGCTCAAGACAATAAGAATTTGTTACAGCTTGTAAGTCTGCAGGTCAGTTGGGTGGTCCTTCTGAACTTGGCTGTATGTTTTTTAATAGAGACGGGGTTTTGTCATATTGGTCAGGCTGGTCTTGAACTCCTGACCTCAGGTGATCCACTGGCCTTGGCCACCCAAAGTGCTGGGATTACAGGTGTGAGCCACCATGCCAGGCCCTAATTATTATTAGGGCCTAATTATTTATCATCAATCTCTCCATCCAGGTGGCCAGATCTGTGACGGTTGAGACCTTGTCTGTTGTGTTGACTGCTGTATCATCAGTGCCTAGAACAGCTTGCTGAATGAATAAATGAATGAATGAATGAATGCTGGCCACTTTGCTCAGGAGACTAACCCCTCTACCAGCTGATCTTGGACTTGTCTTTTGGATCTCAGCTTAAATGTCACTTCCTCCAGGATGCGTTCCCTGATTTCCCCAGACTAAGTCTGGTCCTCCTGTGAGATCCTCGAATAGCATCTTATTCTACTCCTTTATAATGCTTGTCATCACTTTATATATTTGCTCCATTGTGTGTGTGTGTGTGTGTGTGTGTGTGTGTGTGTGTGTGTGTGTTGACAGAGTCTCACTCTGTCGCCCAGGGTGGAGTGCGGTGGCACAATCTTGACCCACTGCAACCTCCGCCTCCTGGGTTCAAATGATTCTCTTGCCTCAGTCTCTTGAGTAGCTGGGACTACAGGCACGTGCCACCATGCCCGGCTAATTTTTTGTATTTTTAGTAAAGACAGGGTTTCACTGTGTTAGCCAGGATGGTCTCGATCTCCTGACCTCGTGATCCGCCTGCCTCGGACTCCCAAAGTGTTGGGATTACAGGCGTGAACCACCACACCTGGCCCTCATTGTGTGTTTTATGTCTCAGTTCCCTCCTAAAGTGTAAGCTCTAGGACATCAGGAATTTTGTCTGTTCTGTTTTCTGCAATATCCCTCGAGTGCCTAAAAAGGTGTCTGGCACACACAGTATGTGCTAAATAAATGTTCGTTGAATGAGGAATGGATGAATGTGATCCTCAGAGGCCACATAGTGCAGAGGTTCAGAGTGTAAGCTCTGGCATCAACATGTTTCAAATTCTAACTCTACCCCATGTGTGATGGTGGATGGGTAGTTTAACTTCTCAGTGCCTGTTTCTTTAATGGGGATATTAACAATGCCTTCCTCATAGGGTTGTCTTGAGGAATAAATGAGATAATATAGTTTACCAGACATTATTCCTGTCATCTGTGAGTGTTATATTTATTATCTGGTACAGACGCTTCCTTTCCCTGGGCCTCAGTTTCCCAATCTGTAAAATGGGGGGAGAGGAGGGTTCGAATTGAGCACATGGAGGGAACAGCTCTGAGGACCTGAAACCCAGAGCCCCAGCACTGACACCTCTCTCTTCCTCTCCCTCCCTCTCTCTCTTTCTATCTCTCTCTTTCTCCTTCTCTCTCTCTTTCCTGCAGAGGTTCCTGGGGATGAACTGCAGCCGGCCTTACTCAGGACCACTATTCCTGCTGGAGGCATCGCAGGGATTGCCTCGAGTGTCCTGATCAGCGTGGTGCTCACAGGGACTGCTGGCTACTGTGTTGGGGTCATAAGGTCCCAGGTACCAGCTCTGGGCCCCTCAGAGGTCACGGAGCCAGGACTGAGTGGGGATCCCAGAGGGGGCTACTTATCTGGGAGCTGCAAACTTCACTGGCAGGGACCAGGGGCACTGAGGACCAGTGGGTGGGCCTGCAGGGGAAGAACCTGCTCAGGAACTGGCAGTCAGCACTGGCGCTGGGGCACCACCCATTTGTCCTGAGTTCGATCCTGGGCTCTTGAGTCAGATGGAAGTGAATTCAAACCCCTCTGTCACCAGCTCCTCGCAGTGGCAACCTTGGAAGGGTGTCCTAACCACTATTGCCTTAGTTTCCTCACCTGTGAAATGGGGATAAAGGTAGCCATTACCTTATAGTTGTGGAGACAATTCACCGGCATCATCAGGACTTAGCTAATGTCTGTATATGTAAATGGTAACTAAATTTGTCTATTAATAATATTGTTAAAATAACCATTATTAGTTACAACTAACATTTATATAGTGTCCGCTAAACCCTAGGTATAATATCATATTATAATTATGGCATGGCTAATCATAAATATCACTACCTAGGTTGGGCACAGAGGCTTACTACTGTAATCCCAGCATTTTGGGAAGCTGAGGCAAGTGGATCACTTGAGCTCACGAGTTCGAGACCAGCCTGGGCAACATGGTGAAACTGTCTCTACCAAAAATACAAAAAATTAGTTGGATGTGGTGGCACATGCCTGTGGTCCCAGCTACTCAAGAGGCTGAGATGGGCGAATCGCTTGGGCCCAGGAGTTTGAGGCTGCTGTGAGCCATGATCATGCCACAGTATTCCAGCCTGGGCAACAGAGTGAGACCCTGTCTCAAAAAAAAAAAAAAAAAAAAATGTAAAGCTATCTCTTGCTGGTTTACAATTCCCTTGAGGTGTTCTGGAGGTTTCTGGGCGTGGGACCCTGGGTCTGCTGCAGTCATGTTTCTGCTGGCTGGTGGCATTCTGTGACTTGTGTCCGGGTCACCTTCTGCTTCTCTTCACATTGCCTTCTCCTCTGTGGGTGTCCAATCTCCCTCTACTCTTTAATGAGGAAACTCATGATGACATTTACTGTCCACTCGCATCATCTAGATGACCTCCTCATCTCATGATCCTTAATTGTATCTGCAAAAACCTTGTTTCCTTATGACGTAACATTTACAGGTTGCAAGGGTTAGGACCTGGTATCTTTGAGCGTCCACTCTCCATCCTACTACCAGTTGTGCAAAGACAAATGACTGCAGCCCCATTTCCTGTGGGCTTGCTGTATTTCACCCTCTGCTGAGCCACTGCATTCAGCGTCTCCTCATTTCATCGAGGAGGGAGGAGCTAGGGTTACACCTATTATGCAGAAGAAGAAACTGGGGCTTAAAGAGGCTCTGTCTCATGCTCGAGGTCACATAGACGGTGAGCAGAGGAGCTGGGGGAGCTTTGAACCCATTTCTCTCTCACTGTAGAGTCTGGGTCCTTAACCACTGTGCTACCTGAAGCCTGGAGCAGAATAGGGGTGGGATGGGACCAAGATCGCTCGTGGTGTGTCATCCCTGTGCACATCTGGGCAGAGAGCATTAGCTCAGTTTCCTGGGATGGACGCCAATATTATTCACCATGATAACACGAGGTTTGCTCTACCTTCAGGGTTCTCTGGGACCTCGGGCTCGCCTAGGAAGCAGAGATCTCAACTTTTTGCCCCCTTTCCCTCCTTCAGAAGGTGGGATGAAGACAGCCTGCTATTGGCTTAGCTGCAGAGGAAGACACCTTTTCCACTCGCCTCTTGGGACTTAACTCTTCTTTCCTTCTCTCCAGCCCAGGAATCCTGTGGAGTTCAGCTCAGCAAGGTAAGGATGAAATACTTACCTCCAGATGCTTCAGAAGCTTCAGATGCCAGACTGAAGAATTAGATGTTCACCCTGTGGACAGTAAGGGATCATGGGAGGGGATTTACCAGGAAAGAATGGCAGCATCCCAGACTTCTTGTAGGGTCAGCTGAGGGTCTTTGAGCCTCTCTGTTTAGAGGGGAGAGAGAGAGACTCTAATTCAGAGCTGGGATTTGGAAAGGTGGCCAGAATTGTGGTGGGCATGTTGGAGGGGTTAAGTATACTGACAGGGAGGCTGGGGGTCAGGGTTGGGGAACTCAGAGCAGTTTTACAGGCGAGAGAAGATGGAGGTATTGCCTAGGGTAAGGTCATGCGGATGGAGAAAAGGGGGCAGAAAAGAAGGTTAATGAGTTTCAAAGATGGAACCCTTAGGAGTTGGTGATTGATTGGATGTTGGAGGTGATTTAGGGAAAGGAGGGTATCGAGAAAGATGCCCAAATATTTTGTTTCAGAGAAAAAAGAGGAATTGAGCAGAGAGTAAGGGCAGCTGACCCTGAGTTGGGAATCAAGTATTCCTTCCACAGCTGGGGGAGGCAGAGGCGTTTCTGGCTATGGAGGCCAGAACAGAAAGTCCCTTTCTTGGGTAGGGTTGAGCAAGGTTTCATATTTTCCAGAGGCATGGAGATGTCAACTGCATTGTGACCAGTCTTCAACACCCTGACCAGAGATTTCAACTCCTCCCAAGGCCAAAAAGAGACACTGAGCCAGCTATTTTAACAGATTTGAGGTGATCTTCATTGAAAGGTAGAAGGTTGTAATCACTCCCCAATCTCTTTCCTTTTTTAAAACAAAAATGCTTTAGACAGGGGATTGCATGATGATTAGGACTTACCTTGTAGCTTCACAGACCACCTCCACACGTTTACTCCACCAGTTAAGAAGTGTTGTCTGTGCGCGGTGGCTCACGCCTGTAATCCCAGCACTTTGGGAGGCTGAGGCGGGCAGATCACCTGAGGTTGGGAGTTTGAGGCCAGCCTGATCAACATGGAGAAATCCCGTCTCTACTAAAAATACAAAATTAGCTGGGTGTGGTGGCACATGCCTGTAATCCCAGCTACTCGGGAGGCTGAGGCAGGGGAATTGCTTGAACCCCGGAGGTGGAGGTTGCGGTGAGCCAAGATGGCACCACTGCACTCTGGCCTGGGCAGCAAGAGCGAAACTCTGTCTCAAAAAATTTAAAAAAAAAAAGAAGTGTTATGATGTAGAATACCCTTTCTTATGTTGCATTCCTTCTTTGCATATTATGTGTAACTCTCTAAGGGCTGTGGCTCAAGTAGCTCAGTCAGCTTTTGCATTCAAAAATTCACAGTTCAGACTAGGCACGGTTGCTCACACCTATAATCCCAGTGCTTTGGGAGGCTGAGATGGGAGGATTGCTTGAGGCCACAAGTTCGAGACCAGCATGGGCAACATAGAGAGACTCCCCTCTGAAACGCTACAAAAAAAATTAGCTGGGTGCCGTGGCATGTGTCTGTAATCCCAGCTACTTGGGAGGCTGAGGAGTCTGTACAGAGTCCTTGGCAGCATTAGCTAATATCCTCATGTCATCAGTTGATCTCTAACATCCTTCAGCTCCTGGGAGCCTCTCACTTTCCTACCACAGAACTCTGTCTGACCCTCATCCATGCTTCTTTGTCCCCACCATCTCCCTTAAATGGAATTTTCATGGCTGGCTTGATAATGCAAGATTGGACACTCTTTTCTTCCTAGTAGTGAGACAAGAGCTAAGCACCTTACAAAATTGTTAATGCACGATCTTGAGGTGAACTTAAAAGTATCCTGCAGGTGGCTGGGCACGGTGGCTCACGCCTATAATCCCAGCACTTTGGGAGGCCAAGGTGGGTGGATCACCTGAGGTCAGGAGTTCGAGACCAGCCTGGCCAACATGGTGAAACCCCATCTCTACTAAAAATACAAAACATTAGTCGGGTGTGGTCGTGGGTGCCTGTAATTCCAGCTACTGAGGAGGCTGAGGCAGGAGAATTACTCGAACCTGGGAGGTGGAGGTTGCAGTGACTTGAGATCGTGCCACTGCACTCCAGCCTGGGTAACAGAGTGAAACTCCGTCTCAAAAAAAAAAAAAGAAAAAAAAGTATCCTGCAGGTTACTTGGAAGATCCAAAGTATTTTACTCTCTAATTGGTGGTGTCCCAAGTTCTAGAAGAAGAAGTCATAGCTCTGACTGGGTAGAGTGGGATGTGGATGCTTATGATGACAGAGTGGGTAGAAGTGGGAGAGTGTTAGTGAAATTGTTATATTGGTGAGGGGAGGATATCTCAGCTGGAGAAGCTTCTGGGAAAGTTTACTCCTTTGAACCATGACTCAGAAAACATATGTCCCTTTCTATGTCAGTGGGCATCATGAGTTTAATAAAATAGCATCTGTGAGCTAATCTTTTGTCTGTTTTCTGTGCCATTCTAGGAATTTAAGGAGTCATGGAAACAAGTATGGTGTAGAGGCTGCAGGGGGCAGGATAATGATGGTGATGATGAGGATGACGATGACGACAACGATGATGATGATGTGTTGTGTGTGCATGTGTGTGTGTGTGTGTGTAGGGGTTCTTGGGTATGAGATGTTGGGATTCTATTACCTGGATCTGCATTATTTATTTTCCCATTTATACTGATCTTGCTTCTTGTACACAGGAAAAGCACAAAAAGTCAACGGTACAAAACTGAGTTTCCCAGATGTTCCAAGAAGACTCAGTTCTATGACCCTGGAGAAAAACTTCACTGTACCCTCTGGGCCCTAGTTTCCCCATATGGGATAAAAGGGAGCTTAGACTGGAATCTCTGTTTAAACAGAAGAGTAATTTTGAGTAGGCTCTTTCTCAAAGTCGATTTTACAAGTTTTAGCACACTTTAAGAAAAAGAACACTACTACAAACTCTATGTTTCTGAAAGATCAGGGTTTTGATGCAAGGTCTTCCAATAAACACTTCCAATGGTGATCTGGAAAGGAGCCAGGTAGAATGCATTCAGCTGCAAACAAAAGACAACCTGGATCACAGCGGCAAAAATCATAATTGTCATTTTGCAAGATGCCCTAGGTTTATTCTATGGCTCAGTGATATCCTCTCATCCATCCCTCCACCCTCAGTGCATTGCATATCCTGCTGAACTTGCTACTTCATGGTCTCAGAATGGCTGCCTGAACTCTAGACATTCCTGCTTTCACATCATGTCATTATGGTAGGCAGAATAGTGACCCCCCACCAAAGGTGCCCACATCCTAGTTCCTGGAACCTGTGATATATATTCACCATGAAATACTACTCAGCCATAAAAAATGAACAAACCTGTGAATATGTTACATTACAAAAGCAAAATGACTTTGCAGATGTAATTAAGGTTACTGATGTGGTTAGGTTTTGTGGTCCCCACCCAAATCTCATCTGAATTCCCGTGTATTGTGGGAGGGACCTGGTGGGAGGTAATTGAATCAGGGGGGCAGGTCTTTCCTGTGCTGTTCTCCTGAGAGTGAATAAGTCTCATGAGATCTGATGGTTTTATAAGGGGGAGTTTCCCTGTACAAGCTCTCTCTTTGCCTGCTGCCACCCATGTAAGATGTGACTTGCTCCTCCTTGCCTTCTGCCATGATTGTGAGGCCTCCCCCGTCATGTGGAACTGTAAGTCCATTAAATCTCTTTCTTTTGTAAGCTGCTCAGTTTATCAGCAGTGTGAAAACGGACTAATACAGTTACAAACTTCAAAATAAGGAGATTATCCTGGATTATCAAGGTGGGTCCAACCTAATCACCCAAGCCCTTCAAAGCAGATAACTTTCCCCAGCTGGAAGCAGAAGAGAGACACGGCAGACAGAGGGCCTGGTGCAGTGGCTCATGCCTGTAATCCCAGTGCTTTTGGAGGCCAAGGCAGGAGGATTTCTTCAGCCCAGGAGTTCAAGGCTGCAGTGAGCTATGATTGCACCACTGCTTGGGCGACAGAGGGAGACCCTGTCTCTAAAAAGAAAAAAAAAATTGTGAAGAGATGCAGCAGACAGGGAATCCAGAGAGATCCCAAGCCCGAGAAGGATTTGTTGTGGCGTTGCTGGCTCTGAGATGTACAGGCTCAAAGGCAAGGACAGGAGAGAGGCCTCCAGAGCTAAGGGCAGCCCTCAGCTGGCAACCATCGCAGAAACAGGTTTCCAGCTTTATAATACCAAGGAGTTTGATTCTGCCAACCACAGCCTGAATGACAGCTTGGAAGCAGATTCTTCCCAAAGCTCCCCCATTAAGAGCTCAGCTGCCAACACCTTTATTTTAGCTCCATAAAGCCCAGAGCAGAGAAGTCATTTAGCCATCCTGGACTTCTATCTACAGAACTGCAAAAGGATAAACTTATGTTGTTTTAAGCTGCCAAGTCTGGAGGCATTTATTGTGGCAGCAGATAGAAAACTCAGTTATTTAAATGCAGGAGGCAGGGAATGGCTCCTTGGGACTCTGCCTGCATTTTTTTTTTTCAGAAGTGAATTAATTCTTAGAAACCTCCAAATGTATGTACATTTTGCCCTCTCACCTCCTTCAAGTCGTTGCTTAAAACTCCATGGGGCTACCCAGACTGCCTGCTTTAGCATTGAATCCTGCGTGCCCACTCTGGCACTCTGACGCTGCCTGCCCTCATCCCCCATGGCACACATCACTTTCCAACATCATAGATAGTTTAGTAATTTTCCACTTATTTATTCATTTATTTATATTAGAGACAAAATCCCAGCTACTCTGTCACCCAGGCTGGAGTGCAGTGGCATGATTATAGCTCACTGCAGCCTCAAACTCCTGGGCTCAAGTGATCCTCCTGCCTCATCCTCCCTAGTAGCTGGGAGTACAGGCACACATCACCATACCCAGCTAACTTTTTGATCTTGTGTTGAAATGGGTTCTCCTTATGTTGCCCAGGCTGGTCTTGAACTCCTGGGTTCAAGCAATTCTCCCACCTCAACCTCCCAAAGTGCTGGGATTACAGTCATGAGCCACTGTGCCTGGCCACATTTCCTAATTATTATTTTTTTATTTTTAATGTTTCTGCATTCTTAAATTTTTTAAAAGCATTTATTTATTTACTTTGAGGTGAGATCCTGCTATGTTGCCCAGGCTGGTCTTAAACTCCAGGCAGTGATCCTCCTGCCTCAGCCTTCTGAGTAGCTGGGAGTACAGGCACACACCACCATACCCAGCTAACTTTGATCTTATGTAGAGATGGGGATCTCCCTATGTTGTCCAGGCTGGTCTTGAACTCCTGGGCTCAAGTGATTCTTCCACCTCAGCTTCCCAAAGTGCTGGGATTACAGGCATGAGCCACTGTGGCTGGCTACGTTTTCTAATTTTTTTAAAAAAAAATTAATTTTAATATTTTCATGTTTTTAAATGTTTAAAAAAGCACATTTATTTATTTACTTTGAGATGGGATCTTGCTACATTGCCCAGGCTGGTCTTAAACTCCTGGGTTCAAGTGATCCTCCTGCCTCAGCCTCCCGAAATGTCGAGATTACAGGCATGAGCCACTGTGCCCAGCCAGTTATTTTCCACGTATCTCAATTATTATCTGTCTCCCTCCTCCCCTCCCAGCACTCATTACATGTCATTTCTATAAAGGCAGAGATCTCTGTTTGTTTCATTTGCTGGCGTGCCCTGATACCTGAAACAGTGCCTGGCACATAGTAGGGCCATACAAATCTTTGCTGAGTGAATGGCCTCAGTGAGGGCACAGTCATAGGGCAGCATCCTGGGCTGGGAGGTCAGTCCCGTGGGAAGACACAATTTTGAGCCAGCCTGCATGGCTGAGACCTGGTAGGTAAGGGTGGGAAGTGGAGAGGACCTGGTTTATTTTCACCTGTTGGAAATAATTGGAAGTTGTGCTACAGGGAGGGGCCCAGAAAGTCCCTTTCTTTCCTTGGGGCAGCAAAAAACAGAATCTGCCCTGGGGGCTGAGTGGGTGAGTTGGTGGGAATTTCAGGAGAGGAAACCCTGCTTTTGCATGAAGGGGCAGATTTGGGAAGTCCATTCCAGCAGCAGCTCTGTTGTCTTGGATGGGGAGGAGGGGAAGAGGGGAGAGTGCCTCAGGGCAGAGGTGGTGGGGAGGGAAGCTGGCTTAGGAGAAGGTGGGTGGTCAGAAGGTTCAGACATTCTGGGAAGAACGAGGTGGGTGGCAGAGGCCTTGAATGCTGGGCTGGTCTGGGTCAGGCGCCTTCAGTACAGGGACCCATAGAGTCTGAAGGCGTGGCGGGGTGATGTGGCCACATTGGTGTTCATTGATCTGGGTGTACAGAAAGGTGTGGCTGGGGAATAGCGAAGGGCCCTTGGAAAAAGGCACACGCACATGGAGGTTGAGGGCCAGGGCCTGAGATGTCCTGTGACTTTATCCAAGTCATCTCACCTCTGTGAGCTTCAGTGTTTTTAACTATGGGATGGAATAATCATATTCCTTACCCCACTCTTTTTTTTTTCTCCTTCCTTTCTTCCTTCCTTCCTTCCCTCCCTCCCTCCTTTCTTTCTTTTCTTTCTTTCTTTCTTTCTTTCTTTCTTTCTTTCTTTCTTTCTTTCTTTCTTTCTTTCTTTCTTTTCTTTCTTTCTTCCTTTCTTTCCTTTCTTTCCTTTCTTTCCTTTCTTTCTCTTTCTTTCTTTCTTTTTCTTTTTTTTTTTTCAGAGTCTTGCTCCATCACCCAGGCTGGAGTGCAGCGGTGCGATCATGGCTCACTGCAGCCTCGAACTCCCAGACCCAAGCAATCCTCCCTCTTCAGCCTCCTGAGTAGCTGCAACCACAGATACGCACCACTATGCCTATTTTTTTTTATTTTAATTTTTTTGTAGAGAGGGGTGCCCAGGCTGGTCTCAAACTCCTGGGCTCAAGCAATCATCCCACCTTGGCCTCCCAAAGTGTTGGATTTATGGGCATGAGCCACTGCACCTGGCCTCGTCTGATGGTCTCATTACCTGCTATGTCCCCAGCACCTAGAACAGGCACAGTAGACACTCACGAAATATATGTTGAGTGGCTCTCGGTCAGTTCGGGCTGCTAGAACAGACCACAGAATGGGTGATTTGTAAAGAACAGAAAGCTATTTCATGCAGTTCTGGAGGCTGGAAGGCCTATATGAGGGTGGTAGCTTTGTCAGGTTCTGGTGGGGGCTCTCTTCTTGGGTGACAGACTGCTGTCTTCTTGTTGCATTCCCCACGTGGTGGAAAGTGAACAAGAGAGCTCTCTGAGGTCCCTTTTATAAGAGCACTAATCCCATTGGGAGGGACCTGATTACCTCCCAAAGTTTCTGCCTCCTAAAACCATCACGTGCAGGATCAGGATTTCTTCAACATCTGAATGACAGAGAGACAAACATTCAGTCCACAGCAGTAACAGAGTGAATGAATGCGTACCCCCTCACAGGGCTGCAGTGAGATTATGATGCAGGGCAGTCATGACATCCAGTGGGAATTCACATTTGTTGATGGCTTACGCTGTGCCAGGCATTGCTCTGAGCACTTTCCTGGCACTCACTCATTCGATCCTCACAACCGTCTTGTGCGGGGAGTCTGTGATTTCTCCCAGTCTGCAGATGGAGCACACGGAAGCATGCAAGGGTGACAAATTTTTCCCAATGAACCATGGCTGGGATGTAAAGGACTGTCTTGCCAGCCCAGGCAGCCAGCTAGCCTAGTGCTTGTAAATGGTGCCACAAGCAAGGGTGACAGATGGCCTGGCACACTGAGGTCAAGTGCTCATAACCACAGAGCTTCCTAGGAGACAAAAGCATCATCATCTACTCTGCTTTATTTTATTTTAATTGAGATGGGGTCTCACTATGTTGCCCAGGCTGGTCTTGAACTCCTGGGCTCAAGTGATCCTCCCACCTTAGCCTCCCAAAGTGCTGGGATTACAGATGTGAGCCAGTGTGCCTGGGCATCATCTCCATTTTAGAGCTGAGGAAAGTAGTCCCTAGAGAGGGGAGCTGACCTGCTGAGGCCACCCAGTTAGCAAGTCGGGGAGTCAGGATTTGAACCCATGCACTCTGGCTCCAGAGCCAGCTGGCTCGGCCTTATGCTTTATCAGGGCAGATACTTTGTGACTGCCTGTAGCAGGAGCAAGACGGAAGCAGGGCAGCAAAACGAGGCAGCTGAGTGAGTCACGATCTCTTTCTTGCAATGCCAAGCTGCCCCTCATACCCTAAGTAACAGTTCCAGAGTTTTCTAAGCCGCCTGTTGAATCATCCATCCTCTCTCACTTCCTCTATTCTAGACCCACCTGACCTTCCTTCTGTGCCCCAATTTCAAAAACTTTTCACATGCTGCTCCCCCTGGCTCACCCCTATGTTGTTCAGGTCTCAGCTACCATGTCCCCTCTTCCAGGAAGCTCTCCCTGATCCTGAAGCTGAGCCAGGCGCCCCCTTTGAATTCCTCCATCCCAGCCCTGCCCACTCTGGGTTGTCACTGTCTGGGGACAGTTCTGTCTCCCCCACTGGACTGTGAGCCTCTGTGAGAACAGGGTTGGGGCTGTCTTAGTCAGAGCTGTGTCCCCAGTACCACCAGGAGCAGGGGTCAGCATAGGAGAGAATTCAGGACTGGGCGCGACGGCTCACGTCTGTAATCCCAGCACTTCGGGAGGCTGAGGCGGGCGGATTGCTTGAGCTCATGAGTTGAAGACCAGCCTGGGCTACGTGGTGAAATTCCGTCTCTACTAAAAATACAAAAATTAGCTGGGTGTGGAGGCGCACGCCTGTAGTTGCAGCTACTAGGCAGGCTGAGGCAGGAGAATTACTTGAGCCTGGGAGGTGGAGGTTGCAGGGAGGGGAAATCATGCCACTGCACTCCAGCCTGGGCAACAGAGCAAGACTCCATCTCAAAAAAAAAAAAAAGGAAGAGAATTCAGGAAGTATTTGTTAAATTAATGGATGGATACATGGATTAATGATAGTTCCCTCAGCTGGTCGGTTCTGTTAAATCTTCTGGGTCTAGGTCTATACACTGTCAAAGACCACCAGCTTGTCTTGTCATAGAGATTTTTTTTTAAGTAACTTTTATATATGGAACCTTTACTATGTTCTCGAAGTTTCAGCTCAGATGTCCACTCCTCCAGGAGGCCCTCCCTGCCCCTTCTCCCAAGACCACGTCAGGCTCCTCCTGGAGGTCCCCCAGTCCTGCTCAGTCTGAGATTCCTGCCGGTCTGACTCCAGAGCTTTTGTTTATGACCAGGATCTATATCACAAGCATGATTCCGGCTCATTTAATATTTATTGGCTGCTTATAATGAACTTGGCACTGGGACTGGTTATTAAGCTCTCGGGGACAAGGAGCTGGTCATTGTTGTTTTTTATTATCATTGCTATTGACTATCGTAATCGCAGTTCCCGGTCTCCAGGGTTCCTGGACTTCCCGCTCTTTGTGCTGGGCAGGGAAGGAAAGTGAGCCCTGGGGGTAGAGGGCAGAGGTGGGGTCAAAGTTACTTTCCTGCCACCACCCCTGTCTGTCCTGGGAGCTGCAGTTACTGCAGTGTGTGTGTGAGTTTGTAGCAGGGTGGGAGAGGAGAGAAGGGAGGTGGAGGGGCTGCACCTGGAGTGAGGACTGTATCTGTGTGTGCAAGCCGGGGCGACAGACGGCCTGGCACACTGAAGTCAGGTGCCGGGACCCATGGGGCCTGCTGACTCATGGGGACACCACTGGATGGGAATCCTGCTTTCAGGTGAGTGCCCTGCTTCCTTCAGATGCGGGAGGAGGGAGGTTGTATGCATCTATTTGTCAGCGGTGTGTGTGTGTGTGTGTGTGTGTGTGTGTGTGTGTGTGTGCACTCGAGGAAAAAGAGATGGAGGCAGAGAAAAAAAATAGAGACACAGAGACAGAGACAGAAATAAAGACAGATACAGATATAAAGATAGGGCCAGGCGTGGTGGCTCACATCTGTAATCCCAGCACTTTGGGAGGCCGAGGTGGGTGGATCACTTGAGGCCAGGAGTTTGAGACCAGCCTGGCCAGCATGGCAAACCCCCGTCTCTACTAAAAATACAAAAATTAGCTGGGTGTGGTGGTACACTCCTATAGTCCCAGCTATTTGGGAGGCTGAGGTAGGAGAATCACTTGAACCTTGAACTCGGAGGTGGAAGCTGCAGTGAGCTGAGATGACACCATAGCACTCTAGTTTGAGTGACACAGCAAGACCCTGTCTCAAAAAAAAAAAAAAAAAAAAGAAAGAAAGAGAGAAATACAGAAATAAACATAGATACAAAAGAGATAGAAGGAGACATAAACAGAGACCAGAGACAGAGAGACAAAGATATATGTATATTTGTCAGTGGTGTGTGTGTGTGTGTGTATACTTGAGGAAAGAGTGACAGAGGCAGAGAGAGAAACAGACACAGAGAGACAGAGACAGAAAAAAATACAGATGCAAGAGACTGACAGAAGGAGACATAAACAGAGACCAGAGACAAGAGAGAAAGACAAAGATGTGTGTTTGTGTGTCTGTGTACACAGAGAAAGAGAGAGAGACAGAGAAAGATGGAGTCACAGCCACAGAACCAGAGACCCAGGGAGAAAGAGAGAGAAATACAGGGAGAAGAGATACGCACAGAGACAGAGACAAAGGGTGAAAAAATAACCTTAGAAATGATACCAGTGGGGCCCAGGCACAGTGGCTCACGCCTGTAATCCCAGCACTTTGGGGGGCCAAGGCGGGTGGATCACGCAGTCAGGAGTTCAAGACCAGCCTAGCCAAGATGGTGAAACCGTCTCTACTAAAAATACGAAAATTAGCTGAGTGTGGTGGCGGGCACCTGTAATCCCAGCTACTCGGGAGGCTGAGGCAGATAATTGCTTGAACCTGGGAGGCAGAAGTTGCAGTGAACCGAGATTGTGCCATTACACTCCAGCCTGTGTGACAGAGTAAGACTCTGTCAAAAAAAAGAAAAAGAAGAAAGAAAGAGGGAAAGGGAGAGAGAGAAAGAAAGGAAAGAAAGAAAGGAAAGAAAGAAAGGAAAGAAAGAAAAGAAAGAAAGAAAAGAAAGAAAGAGATACCAGTGGGAAAAACAGGAAGGGGCAGAAAGAGAGGGAGACAGAGGACAAAGAGACAGGGAAAGAACTGGGTAAATACACAGCCAGAAATAGATTCAGAAACGCGGGGAGAGAGTTGGAGTATCACAGAGATTCAGACAAGCAGATGAGAGACAGGTGGAGGGAGGCTGTGCCAGCCCTGAGCGGCCAGGTCCACGGATCAGGATGGGGATGGATGTGAAATTTCTGCCTAGAAGGCATCTGAGACAAAAGGCAGAAACTAGAATATTTTGATGAAAAAAGTATTTTGGAAGTGAAGACATGATTTTGCAACAGGTCATGTGCAGAGGTGAGGGCTCAGCCCAGCCTTGCTGTGTGTCCCTGAGACCAGCTTCTCCTTCTCTGGGCCGGCGCTTCCTGGCTAACCCTGGAAGGGTGCAGGGGCTCTGTAGTCCTGGGAGGCTGAGAGTTATCAGCCGCATCCACAGTGAGTCTGTAAGTGTTGCCTCTTCCTGGTAGGACAACGGCAGGACCCTGTGAGAAGAAAGCCAGAGGGAAGGGGCCATGGCAGGCTTTCCACAGAGAGGCTTCCTGTCTCGGGTGGGTATGATGAGGCCCCATCAGTGCTTTTGCTTACATCATTTCACTTATCCTTATGACAGTTAAGTGAGGCTGGAACTGTTACTACCGCCATTTTTCAAATGGGGAAACTGAGGCTCAGATAGGGAACATCACTTGACCAAATAAATGGCAAAGATGAGATTCAAACCCAGGTGGTCAGGCTCTGAGGCTGTGAGCCTAACCTCTAATAGCATTTGAGGCAGAGAAACCACAGACACAAGAACTCATCATCAAGACCACCACCATCATCATCATCGTTGCCATCATGGTGGCTGAATATTTGCTATGAACTGTGTTAAGCATGCCACATTTGATATCTCACTCAGCCTTCACAACCACCAGATGAGCTGAGTTCTACTATTATCTCCATTTTTCAGTGGAAGAAACTGAGGCTCACAAAGAGAAAGTCCCTTACCCATGATAGTAGGGCTAGTAAGTGACAGAGTTCATATTTGTTCCTAAGAGCTCGTGCCCTTATTCACTCACTGGGCAGGGAATGGGGCAGTGTTTGGGCCACATTGGGGCCCTTTTGAGAAGTGCAGAGGGTCTGTGTTAATTGAGCTCATGGGAGAGATGAGATCAGTTGCGTGTGAGCACAGCTGCTGGGGTTGGGCCCCAGCAAAGTCTCGTGTTTTTTTTTTGTTTGTTTGTTTGTTTTTGAGACAAGGTCTAGCTCTGTCACCCAGGCTGGAGTGCAGTGGCACAATCTCGGCTCACGACAACCTCTTCCTCCTGGGTTCAAGAGATTCTTGTGCCTCAGCCTCCCAAGTAGCTGAGGTTACAGGTGCACATCACCATACCTGGCTAATTTTTGTATTTTTTTGTAGAGACGGGGTTTCACCATGTTGACCAGGTCTCGAACTCTTGTCCTCAAGTGATCCACCCACCTCCGCCTTCCAAAGAGCTGGGATTACAAGCATGAGCCACCGCGCCAGGTCCCATAGTCTCTTGCAGCCCCCGTAGTGGTGTGCAGAATGATCAAATGGAAAACTGGGAACTCATTTTTTTGTGTGTTTCTATTTTTTTTTTTAAGACAGGATTTTGCCGTCACCCAGGCTGGAGTGCAGTGGTGCAATCATAGCTCACTGCAGCCTCAAACTCCCAGGCTCAAGTGATCCTCCCATTTCAGACTGTAGCTGGGACTACAGATGCGGGCCAACACCCCCAGCTAATTTTAAAAATTTTTGGTAGAGACAGAGCTTCACTATGTTGCCCAGGCTGGTCTCAAATTCCTTAGCTCAAGTGATCCTCCCACTTCAGCCTCCCAAAGTCCTGAGATTACAGGCATGAGCCACCACACCCCGTTGAAAACTGGAAACCTGCTATCTTGTTCTCCTTTCCTCCCCATGCAAGTGAGATCTTGCCTGGGGCACATCAGAGGAAGTACCAAAAGTTAATATTTTTCACCAAGATCACAGTAGAAGTACCTGTTAATCAAGGGTTGGCTGTGTGGCCATCTCTGGGCTGACAGGAGGAATTACAGTGTTGAGAGCACAGTCTTCAGGGCCTGGCAGGCCAGGTTCAAGTTTAGCTTCTGCCATTGACAATACCATCTTGGTGAGTGACATCACCTCTCTGAGCATCGGTTTTTTCTCTATGTGGAATACAGGGACCATCACGTGTCTCCAGTAGAGGGCACATCATTGGAGAGAACACAGTGACTATCAGGGGACCCAGTCAAAGTTTGCCAATATTCATTGCCACCCCCACAACAACCCTAGGAAGCAGGTGATAGTATGCCCATTTTACAGTTGAGGAGATTGAGGCTCAGAGAGGACAAAAACATGCTGCAGCTGGCACAGGGGCTCATGCCTGTAATTCCAGCACTTTGGGAGGCCGAGGCGGGCAGGTCATTTGAGGTCAGGAGTTTGAGACCAGCCTGGCCAACATGGCGAAACCCCGTCTCTACTAAAAATACAAAAATTAGCCGGGCATGGTGGCCTGTGCCTCTAATCCTGGCTACTTGGGAGGCTGAGGCTGGAGAATCCCTTGAACCTGGGAGGCAGTGATTGCAGTGAGCTGAGATTGCGCCACTGCATGCCAGCCTGGGTGACAGAGCCAGACTCTGCCTCAAAAAACAAAAACAAAAACACATACACAAACAAAAACCAAACAAACAAGAAAACATGCTGCAGGTCACATAGCTGTAAGTAACGAGTAGGACTCAGGTCTCTGTGGGTGGAATGCCAGTCCTATGGCCTCAGAGCTCCCTGTGCTTCTGAAGACCTTAGCCGGGCAACCCCCAACACACCTCTCCCTCCCTGAATGCCTCCTCTCTCCCCTTGTAGCCTCGCTTTGTACCGTATGGAGTCCTCCAGCTGCAGCCCAGCTCACCCTCAATGCCAACCCACTTGATGCCACCCAAAGTGAGGATGTTGTTCTGCCTGTGTTTGGGACCCCCAGGACACCCCAGATTCATGGCAGATCCAGAGGTAGGGGCCAGAAAACAAGACGGTCATTCTGATCTCTGCCTCCATGGAGATCCCTCATCCGAACCTCACGCCCAAAGTCCCCAGAGGACGAATCTGATTGGCTCAGCCAGGGTCCAGCAACAACTGGTTCAGTCAGCTGTGCCAGGGGTCAGGGGTAAAGAGGGAGGGCTGTGGCTGTCATGGCTGGGGTGGGCAAAGTTGGCTAAAAAGTGGGTAGGGGGGCTGGGTGCAGTTCCTTACACCTGCCATTCCAGCACTTTGGGAGGTTGAGGTGGGTGGATTACTTGAGCCCAGGAGTTTGAGACCCACCTGGGCAACATAGGGGGACCCCATGTGTACAAAAAAAACACAAAATCCTCCAGGTTTGGTGGTGCACGCCTGTAGTCCCAGCTATTTGGGAAGCTGAGGTGGGAGGATCGCTTGAGCCCATGAGGTCAAGGTTGCAGTGAGCCGTGATTGAACCACTGCACTCCAGCCTGGGTGACAGAATGAAACCCTGTTTCAATAAAGAAAAAGAGTGGGTAGGGGGCCCTTGCTGGCACCCATGTCGTAAGCTTGATTGTCATTGCAGCTGACATTGATTGACTCCTTGTCAGGTCCCAGACCCTCTGCCTCACTTGCACAATCACTTTCAATGGGGCTTGGAGAGGGGAAGTAACTTGCCGAAGATGACACCAAGAATGAGCAGTAGATCCAGCATTCAAGCCCAGGCATCCAACTCCAGAGAGTCTTCTGGCAATTCCAATCTAGTCCTGTTTCTCTGGGTCCCTCTGTGACTATGTCTTGTTTGTTCTTCCTCTACCTGTGTCTCTGCCTCTGTCTCCCTCGCTTGCTTTCAGAGCTGGCCAAACCCTCCATTGCAGTCAGCCCAGGCACTGCCATAGAGCAGAAGGACATGGTGACCTTCTACTGCACCACTAAGGACGTCAACATTACCATCCACTGGGTTTCCAACAACCTCTCCATTGTGTTCCATGAGCGCATGCAGCTGTCCAAGGATGGCAAGATCCTCACCATTCTCATTGTCCAGCGGGAGGACTCAGGGACTTACCAATGTGAAGCTCGAGATGCCCTTCTGAGCCAGAGGAGCGACCCCATCTTCCTGGATGTGAAGTGTGAGTCCCTTTCCATTCTCTCCAACCCCTCACTGACACTCACTTGCTTAGTGCCTCGTTCAGTCTCACAGCTTGAAATACCATCCAGATGCGGACTTGTCTACCTTTGAACTTCAGACATATAACTGTTTGACATCTCTACTTGGATTCTACTGGAAACCTCCAACTTAATGTGAAGCAAACGAGGTACAGCAGTCAGATGGAGATGAAATGTCAGCTTCATCCCTGGGTAAAGTAAGATTGAAAGACATGCCTAAAGTATGCCAGCTGAATGGTTATTGTAGCTCACACCTGTAATCCCAGCATTTTGGGAGGCTGAGGCAAGAGGATTGCTTGGAGCAAGGAGTTTAAAACCAGTCAGGGCAACATACCAAGATCCCATCTCTACAAAAAATTTAAAAATTAGCCCGGTGCAATGGCTCATGCCTGTATGCCTTAATGTGAAGCTCAACTAAAATTGAGCTCCCAAACCTCAGACGTTTGATCCAAAACCTTGCCTGGATAGGGGTGAGCAAAGAGCATTAGCTGGCTCACTTTATTCATTCATTCATTCATTCATTCATTCATTCATTCATTTGAGACAAGATTTCTCTCTGCTGTCCAGGCTGGAGTGCAGTGGTGCAATCATAGCTCAATGCAGCCTCGACCTCCTGGGCTCAAGCGATCCTCCTGCCTCAGCCTCCCGAGTAGCTGGGACTACAGGCATGAGCCATTGCACCGGGCTAATTTTTAAATTTTTTGTAGAGATGGGATCTTGGTATGTTGCCCTGACTGGTTTTAAACTCCTTGCTCCAAGCAATTCTCTTGCCTCAGCCTCCCAAAATGCTGGGATTACAGGTGTGAGCTACAATAACCATTCAGCTGGCATACTTTAGACGTGTCTTTCAATCTTGCTTTACCCAGGGATGAGGCTGACATTTCATCTCCATCTGACTGCTGTACCTCGTTTGCAATTGATCTAGCCTTTGAGTGGGGAGGAGGGAAATAAAGTATTTATTGATCCGTTAAAGACCTCCATAAGAGACCTGTTGCTGATGCTGTTGTTACTGCTGTAATTGTTCCTGTCCTCTCAGATGGTCCTGATCCTGTTGAAATCAAATTGGAGTCTGGTGTTGCCAGTGGGGAGGTGGTTGAGGTGATGGAGGGCTCCAGCATGACCTTCTTAGCGGAAACAAAGTCTCACCCACCCTGTGCCTATACTTGGTTTCTCCTTGACTCCATTCTGTCTCACACCACGAGAACATTCACCATCCATGCTGTGTCCAGAGAACATGAGGGCCTGTACAGGTGCTTGGTGTCCAACAGTGCCACCCACCTGTCCAGCCTGGGTACTCTGAAGGTCCGAGTACTTGGTGAGTCTCCTTTCCCGGTTCCTCTCCTTCATTCTTCTGAGCGTCAGATGCTGGCCATGTCAGAAGGAACCAGGAGTTCTTAATCCAGGGCCTTTGGATACTGTGTGAGGGAGAAATCCCTGCATGACATTGAGTTGCATGAAAAATGTTTGCGCTGTGTTCTAGAGGAAGGATCTAGGATTGTCATCAGATTTTTGAAGGGATCTTGAACTCTGAAAAAAAACCTTAAGAGGCCGGGTGCAGTGGCTCACGCCTGTAATCCCAGCACTTTGGGAGGCCGAGGTGGGCAGATCACGAGGTTAGGAGATTGAGAACACTCTGGCTACCATGGTGAAACCCTGTCTCTACTAAAAATACAAAAAATTAGCCAGGTGTGGTGGTGGGCGCCTGTAGTCCCAGCTACTCAGGAGGCTGAGGCAGGAGAATGGCATGAACCTGGGAGGCGGAGCTTGCAGGAGCTGAGATCACGCCACTGCACTCCAGCCTGGGCGACAGAGCAAGACTCTGTCTAAAAAAAAAAAAAATCTTAAGAGCCAGTGAGCTACACCAATACCCCAGAGTTTGAGGAGGACCCAGGGGGATTTCCAATGCAGCAGGGCTCCGACTACAGGGAAGGCTGGGCACACTGGCTCCTTTGCCTGGCTTGGCACATCCTGCACGAGACCCTGGTGGCTCTCTAGGGGTTGCCCATGATTTGACTCTCTGGAGGTGGGGGGTTTAACTGTCTACATTTAAAAACACTAACACAACATTCACACACTCCGTACACACACAGATAATATCCCCACATGAACAGCACACTCACGTGCATGTACAATACACACAGTAAACACAACTCATATATAATACGTACACAACTGTGCAATACCACAGACATACAACACACACTCACACAAAACATACAAACATATAGCATGCACACAACAGAGGTGTACAACTCACTCATCACAAAGTACGTAACACATCAGACATACAACACATACACACAAACCCACAACACATACAAACCCATAGCACATACACACAAACCCACAGCACATACACATATACACACAGCATATACATACAAACCCACAACACATATACACAAACTCACAACACACACACAAAATGCTCACACATACAACACATGTACAACACACATGACATACAAAACGCAGACATACATATCTCACATACATCTACACAACAAACAAGATCACATATACATGACACACTCACATAAAATATATATACACCTAATATGCACTAATGGACACACACAACACATATCATTGACATTCAGCACCTACTAAACATTACAACCATTAAACATCACAGACACTCAAGATGGACAACATGGAAAACACACCATATACCATACAGTCAACACCCTCAACACATATATACAACAGACACACAATGCACACACAAAATGCACACACATACCACATGCAGCACATACAGCATATGCACACATCACACAACACAAACACATAACACAAACAATACCACAGACACAGAACACACATTCATATACAACAAATATATACACATAGCATATACTCACATACAAAGTGCATATGTGTACCACACACATACTTCATATTCAACACATACACCCAACACACACAAGAGACGCAAAACACTTACACACCACACACTCTCCATACACACAAAACTCATTGCATATTCACATAATAATCACACGACACACATTCATCCACAAAAGACATACACGTACCCCGCACACCAGCATTATGCAAATCATATACACCACCTGTAACACACACACACACACACACACACGCACGCACTCCTGGAAAAACTTGTGGGCCCCACAAGGGCAGGAGATGAGGGAAATCTCCCTGAACCTGACTGTGTATCTCCACGTGTTTCCAGAAACACTGACCATGCCTCAAGTCGTGCCTTCAAGCCTGAACCTTGTGGAGAATGCTAGGTCTGTGGACCTGACCTGCCAAACCGTCAATCAGAGTGTGAATGTCCAGTGGTTCCTAAGTGGCCAGCCCCTCCTGCCCAGTGAGCACCTGCAGCTGTCAGCTGACAACAGGACCCTAATCATCCATGGCCTCCAGCGGAATGACACCGGGCCCTATGCCTGTGAGGTCTGGAACTGGGGCAGCCGGGCCCGGAGTGAGCCCCTTGAGCTGACCATCAACTGTGAGTCACCCAGGGCCTGGACCTTCCCCATCTCCCTGCTTCCCTCCTTCTCTTTAAGTTCTTCCTTCTAGTCATTCATGCTATGATTATTGAGCTCCTGCTCTGTGTCAGGCATGAATCTGGGCACTGGACAGGGCCAAGTGCCTGCCCTCAGGGGGCTTATGTTCTAGTGGAGAAGCCAGACCATAAACAGAGAAGCAGGTGATAAGGCTTAGGGACACCACCAGATTTAGGCTTTCACAGGGTCTCACTGGCCTTTGTCTACAGGGAGGCAAACATAGAAGTGGGGGAGAGGGGGAGTGAGAGAAGGAGTTGTATTTGTCCAGATCCTTGGAGAAGCAGACCCCAAGGTGGGATTAACGGGATTATTCATGCAAGGGTTTTATTAGGGGAAATGCTCCTGTGAGGATAACTAGGGAGGCAGCTGCAGGGAGGCTGGGAGAGCCATCAGACTGAGAGACTGAGATGCAAGTGTGACCCCGAGTGACAGGGTGAGGGACAGAGACTTGAATGGAAGCACCTGGATAACCATGCACTTGAAGGAACACCCATCATGGCTGTTGGGACCTTCCATATCTCCCAGGAAGGGGCCTGCCTTAGTTTCCTGGATGCACTCAGGTACTGGCAGGGTGCAGCCTGTGGAAGGGCTGGGAGTAGATTTGGGGGCACAGCAATTGGGCCCTTGGTCAATTACATTTCTGCCGTTGGAGGTCTTTGAAGAGCTTCTCCTGGTGGCCAGAGTTGCGCAGCAAGAGATGATAGGGCTGGACCAGAATGGCAACTGTCGGGTGTTGAGAAATGGTTGCACTGTGGATGTATTTTGAATATGCTGCTGACTGATATTAGGTGAAAGAGAAAGAAAGGAGTCAAGAATGACTGTAAGGTTTATTGCCTGAGCCACCGAAAGGATGTAGGAGTCACGAACCAAGATGGAGAAGATTGGGGGAGAAGAGGTTTCTGCAGGGAGAGAAAGGAGGGGTGCACTTTCATACATGCGAAGCAGTAGGGAACACAGAGGTAGGGGTTGAGTACATGTCTTTGCTCCTCTTTACACTTCTCTGTTGCTCACTCCTCTTTCCTTTTCAATTCAGTCATTAAACCAAAAATATATGTTTTGTGCTCTCTCTGTGCTAAGCAACATGTTGGGCATTTGATACTTGACATGATTTTCAGCTTTCACAGCCTGCTGGGGATGGGGAGGTCACTAAGCAGGCAGATAAAACATAGCATGATAAATGGGACCCCGGGGGACAAAGGGAGGGTATGGGGAGCCCAAAGGAAGCCTCCATCTGGGGGATGTTGCAAAGGGTCATCATGAATGGGGATGTCCACCATAAGAGCTGAAGGATGAGTAGGAGTAGGCTGCTTAGAGCAGAGTCAGGGAAGAGCATTCTAGACAGAGGGAAGAGAGTGTGCGATGGCCTTGAGGCAAGAGAGAGTGTAACAAGGATGGAATCTCCGAGTGGGATTTAATTCCTGAATGAGAGCAAGAGGTGTGGAAAGGTGGGGCTGGAGGGGGTCTGTAAGAATCAAATTGTAAATGGCCTCTTCAGACATAGGCTTTGTCCCAAGGGCACTGGGGAGCCACAGAGGGTTCTGAACACAGGAGGGACAGTGACACTTTAGTACTTAGGAAGACTTCTCTGGCTGCTGTGTGGAGGATGAGACTGGGATGGGGAGACCAGGAGGAGCTGGGATGCAGGTGAAGGATCCAAGTGTCAATGGGGTCAGGATGGGGAGAAATGAGCAGGTTCAAATGATGTTTAGGAGGGAGCAGAGTCAGGGTATTCCTCCCCTCCTAGAATGTCTCAATTAGCAACCTTTTGCATCCTTTCCAGTATTTTACATTAATTTAAATAAAGTATGACTCTTAAACTCTTTTAGGTTTTTTTTTTTAAATAGAGACAGGGTCTTACTATGTTGCGTAGGCTGGTCTTGAATCCCTGAACTCAAGTGATCTCCCTGCCTCAGCCTCCCAAAGTGCTGGGATTACAGGCATGAGCCTCAGCCCCAGGCCTAAACTCTTTTAATTTATATGAGAAATCCAACAACTACTTTCATTTGTTTCCTTCTTATATGTGGTGGAAGAGAAAAGTGACAATGATCCCCTCTGACATTACAAAGAAAATTTGCACGTGTTTATACCATTGAGAATACACAGTACTAGAAGTTAGGGATTATATACACAGGACGCAGCCACAATTTCCCTCCTTTCCTTCCTTCCTTCCTTCCTTCCTTTCTCTCTCTCTCTCTCTCCTTCCTTCCTTCCTTCTTGCCTGCCTGCCTGCCTGCCTGCCTGCTTTCTTCCTTCCTTCCTTCCTTCCTTCCTTCCTTCCTTCCTTCCTTCCTTCCTTCCTTCCTTCCTTCCTTTCTTTCTTTCTTTCTTTCTTTCCTCTTTCCTTTTGAGTCTCACTCTATCACCTAGGACGGAGTGCAGTGGCACAATCTTGCCTCACTGCAACTTCGGCCTCCCAGGTTCAAGTGATTCTTAGCCACTCGAGTAGCTGCAATTACAGGCATGTGCTACCACATCCAGCTAGTTTTTATTTTTATTTTTCAGTAGAGACGTGATTCGCCACACTGGTCAGGCTGGTTTTGAACTCCTGGTCTCAGGAGTTCCACTCACATCCACCTACCTCGGCTTCCCAGAGTGCTAAGATTACAGGTGTGAGCCACTGCGCTTGGCCTAGCAACAATTTCTGATGCCTGGGTGACCTAAAACACTTCTTTGAATTAACTTTTACAAAGGCAGTTTTTTTTCTTTTTTTTTTTTTTTTGAGATGGAATCTTGCTCTGTCGCCCAGGCTGGAGTGCAGTGGCATGAGCTTGGCTCACTGCAACCTCCACCACCCATGTTCAAGCAATTCTGTAGCCTCAGCCTCCCGAGTAGCTGGGACTACAGGTGCGTGCCACTACGCCCGGCTAATTTTTTGTATTTTTAGTAGATACGGGGTTTCACCATGTTAGCCAGAATGGTCTCGATCTCCTGACCTCGTGATCTGCCTGCCTCGGCCTTCCAAAGTGCTGGGATTAATTACAGGCATGAGCCACCATGCCTGGCCCTTGTTTTTGTTTTGATCTGCCCCACCCCCAGTGTTGTGGACCACACTCTGCTTGTCAGAGAGCTAAGGAGGAAAAGGGAGTATGTTCTGTTTATTTTACTGAAATTCCAAGGTGAAAGTGAATGGGGCAGAATGGGATGACTCGCTGATGGGGGCCAGGGTGCATCACGTTTGGCTTTACACACAGATGGTCCTGACCAAGTGCACATCACCAGGGAGTCGGCATCTGAGATGATCAGCACCATAGAGGCAGAGCTCAACTCCAGCCTGACCCTGCAGTGTTGGGCCGAGTCCAAGCCAGGTGCTGAGTATCGCTGGACTCTTGAACACTCCACCGGGGAGCACCTGGGTGAGCAGCTGATTATCAGGGCTCTGACCTGGGAACACGACGGGATCTACAACTGCACAGCCTCCAACTCTCTCACTGGCCTGGCCCGCTCCACTTCAGTCCTGGTCAAGGTGGTAGGTGAGTCTCTCAGGGTCGCCTTCTCCCAGGACCCGAGGGGCCTTTCCTGATGCTGGTCCCAGCTACCTAGTCTACCCCTACCGAGGGCTGGAGTGTGGCAGTCTCCACACTGCCTGAGCAGGTTCTCAGTCCACAGCTGTTGAATCCCAACCCCTAGTGGTCAGGGAAATGTAGAACCTGTACTTCCTGCTGTGTTCCCTGGAAAACTCTCCAAGCTGTTCTGAGCTTCAGTTTGTTTGCCTGTAAATTGGGTTTGTGATGTGTATTAGTCCATTTTCATGCTGCTGATAAAGACATGCTGAAGACTGGGTAATTTATAAAGAAAAAGAGGTTTAATGGACTCACAGTTCCACGTGGCCAGGGAGGTGTCACAATCATGGTGGAAGGCGAAAGGCATGTCTTACATGGTGGCAGACAAGAGAGAATGAGAACCAAGCAAAAGGGGAAACCCTTTATAAAACCATCAGATCTCGTGAGACTTATTCACTACCATGAGAACAGTATGGGGGAAACCACCCCCATGATTCAATTATCTCCCACCAGGTCCCTCCCACAACACTTGGGAATTATGGGAGCTACAATTCAAGATGAGATTTGGGTGGGGACACAGCCAAATCATATCGTGATGCCTATCTTTCAGAGTTGCTTAGAAGGACAATGAGTCAGAGATATACCCAGTGAGGGAAGGAGTGAGCTATATGGGGAATCGGAAATGATGTTAATAACAACTGGACATGACTGGCAGGGAGTCCCTGTATCTCTGTCTTTAGTTCTTGAGAAGGTAACAGTGTCACTGTTCACTGGGATTCACATCCTTCTCCAATGCTTGTTAGCTGTGTGACCTTGGACAAGTTACTTACCCTCTCTGGGCCTCTGATTTATTATCTGTAAAACATAATAATTCTGCCTATTTCTTAGGGTTGTTGAAGGTTGTGAACATTTGTAAAGTTCTTAGGGCAGTGCTTGGCATATTGTGTTTGTTAAACAAATAAAATTATTCCTTTTTTTGTGTGTGTGGCATGATCATGGGTCACTGAAGCCTCAACCTCCCACACTCAAGCTATCCTCCTACCTCAGCATCCTGAGAAGCTGGGACTACAGGTGTGCACCACCACAGCTAGCTAGTTTTTTATTTATATTTTTTTGTAGAGACGGGGCCTCCCTATGTTGCATAGGCTGGTCTCAAACTCCTGGGCTCAAGTGATCGTCCCGCTTCAGCCTCCCAACGTGCTGAGATTACAGACTTGAGCCACGAAGCTCAGCCTAAAATTATTATTTATTGAGCCTGTGCCACATGTCTGAATCCAACTTTCCCATATATAATATCAGCAAACACTTCTTGGGTACTCTCTGTCAGCCAGTTTTGAGGTGAGCCTGTTGGTTTCTTCATTGTACAGGAAGGGAAACTGAGACCTATAGACTCAAATCCTGTCATTGGGGTTTGAAACCAGGCTGGCCTCCTCAAGTTGTTCACTAAGCCTAGGACACCATTTATATCAACTTCCAAATTACCTCATTTAATCTTCAGAACAATCTTGTGGTCTTATTAAGACCATTTGATGGATGGAGCAACAGGCTCAGGGAAGGCAGCAGGGAGTTCAGTTGATGCTCACGGGGATATTGTAGGATTTGAATAAGATCATGTATGAAGGTCTCTTGGTGCTTAGAGCTTGCTAGATAGCAGCTTCTATCATCATCATCATCATCATCATCATCATCATCATCATTTGTCAAGCATCTGGTATGTATCAGGCACTGTGCTAGTAGTTTTATACAAGATCTCATTAATCCCTTCAAAAGTCTATAGAGGCCGGGCACTGTGGCTCAAGTCTGTAATCCCAGCACTTTGGGAGGTTGAGGCAGGTGGATCACATATGGTCAGGAGTTGAAGACCAGCCGGGGCAACATGGTGAAACCCAATCTCTACTAAAAATACAAAAATTAGCCAGGCGTGGTGGTGGGTACCTGTAATCACACTACTCGGGAGGCTGAGACAGGAGAATCACTTGGGAGGCAGCGAGGTTGCAGTGGTTGCAGAGGAGGGAGAGGTTGCAGTGAGCCAAGATCGTGCCACTGCACTCCAGCCTGGCCTTAAATTTTAAAATTTAAAAATTTAAAAAAAATTTTAAAAAGTCTATAGAGTTTGGAATTCTTATCCTTGCTTGGCATATAAAGAAATGGAGATGCGGCCAGGCATGGTGGCTCATGCCTGTAATCTGAGCAGTTTGGGAGGTCGAGGAGGGTGGATCACCTGAGGTCAGGAGTTTGAGACCAGCCTGGCCAACATGGCGAAACCCCATCTCTACTAAAAATACACACACACACACAAATTAGCCAGGCATGGCAGTGCACACCTGTAATTCCAGCTACTTGGGAGGGTGAAGCAGAAGAATTGCTTGAACCAGGGAGGTGGAGGTTGCAGTGAGCTGAGATCACACTATTGCACTCCAGCCTGGGCAACAGAGTGAGACTCCATCTCAAAAAAAAAAAAAGTGGAGATGCAGAAATGAACCTAAGAATCCCTGAAGCACCCCAGGAAGTTCCCTCCTGCCCCTCCAAAGCAGAGCTCCTTCCTCACCCTCCTGATCCTTGTAGCTGTGTTCTTAACTCAGTGGCTCGATTCCACCCTTTTGAGAGAGGTTCAGGCAGAAGTGAGATGGGCAATCGGCAGGCCAATATTGATGAAAACAATTGCCATTTATTAATCACCTAGTATGTGCCAGGTGTTAACATTCATGATTTCATCTCATCTTTGCAAACATCCTGTGCTATTTACAGATGAAGAAATGAGACTCAGAAATGAATTCACTTGTCCAGGGTCACATGGCCGCAGTGAGTCAAGGGGCTCTAAGTGAAAGCCGGGTTTCTGGTTGCCAAAGCTCTTTTCTCTGGTCTGTGCCTCTATTCTGGGAGGAAAGAAACACAAAGCCATATTTGATCCATTATCCTAACTGACATTGTCATCATGGCCAACATTTACTGATCACTTTCCATGGTTCCAAACAAACACTATATATATAGAAAATGAATACATGTATGTTTAATCTTTCTAGAAGCCCTATAAACCCTATTGTTCCCATTTTACAAAAGAGACAACTGAAGCCTAGAGAGGTTAAGTAGCATGCCCAAAGTCACACTGCTGAAATTTGGACGCAGAAACTGGATGTTTTAGTTTAGAAATGATGCTGTTAATACCACAGACTGAGGTCAGGTGCAGTGGCTTACACCTATAATCCCAGCACTTTGGGAGGCTGAGGTGGGCGGATCACTTGAGGTCAGGAGGTCCAGACCAGCCTGGCCAACATGGTGAAACACCCCCTCTCTACCAAAGAATACAAAAAATC